>NC_000003.12:64555454-64858484 GCF_000001405.40 Homo sapiens | reverse complement strand
AAAACAGTGAAGCTAAGTAGTTGTGTCAGACACTGTGTGGCCCTCACAGCCTACACCTTTTACTATCCGGCCCATTATGGAAAATATTTGTCCATTCCTGGCCTAAACCACTGACTGAGAAATATAAAGTGCTTAATAAACACTGATAGAATGAAGGAGTGGAAGAAGAAATGAATACACGTGGATACAGAGTGTAAGAAAATGCAGATAAATCAAACCTGTGAAGGGGATAGGACTGTGCTTAGATTTTTTTTTCTTTTTAATCCTGTTATATTTTGTTTAACAATATAGGTGGAGCATCCCTAATCTGAAAATCCAAAATCTGAAATGCTGTAAAATCTGAAACATTGTGAGCACCAGCATGGTGCTCAAAGGGAATGCTCACTGGAGCATTTTGGATTTCAGATTTTCAGATTAGGGATACTCAACCCATAAGTATAATTCAAATGTTCCAAAATCCAAAAATATTTGAAATCCAAAATATTCCTGGCTCTGAGGTGGAGATTTGCAGGGGGAGGGCATAGGGTTGAGGGGAAGAATTCTCTTGAGATGAAGCTCAGTGGGAGGTTGCACGAAGGAGAACTGGGCAGAAGGAGATGCTGAATTATAATGCAGTCACAACACGGACTTCAGTTGCTCCCAAGGGAAGCTCTGAAACTAGGATGGTCCCTCAGGTCATCTGGCATCAGGGGACTGGGTCTTTAAACACCTCTCCTTGCCCTTCCACCCCATGCACATTTTGACCAGTTACTGGATTGTGAGCTCTAGAGAGTTCACATGGCCTGAGACAAGCCACCATTTAGCTGAGGACAACTCCCAGAGAGAGAGACTACAGTATCCAAGACTCTGAGCTTCCAGCAGTTGGAGGTCAGAGGAACCCCAGTCCTTTAGGAGGAATCCGAGCAGCATACAGTGGCATCTATCACTCTTACCATCTCTTCATCCTTAAACATTTATGAGGATGATATTTTTCTCCCATGTCACATGCAGCTGATAATTGTGTTTGTGTGTAGTTTTGTTGGTTATTAGAAAAGGGTGGCATATTTGCATTAAAAAAGGGCATGTGTTGACAAGAAATAGACCTATTGCTTTAAATTCATCTTGCAAGTGGTTTTCATTGAAATAGCAGGAAACTAATGTCCTTTTAAAACTTTATTAAAATCATCTGGATATACTCAACCTAATAAAAGCACAGTGCACGGCTGCTGGACTTCCTGCAGCTTTAGATATGGAGCAAAAAGAGGCTTAAGTGATATTGTACATGTGAAATTGTATAGAAAGATGTTATTAGCTTAAAAAAAATGTCCTTTATGAAGCAGATTCACAAATAGCATTTCTGCTCCATTTCCGGTGGCATGACTTTTGTGTCTGTTGGCATTTTGTTGCAGTTGGCCTCTTTTCTCTATGTGTTCATATACATCAGTGCCATTTTATCAGGCCTGCTGCCTCATCTTGTTCAGTCCAAGACATTTCACCTCTCGCTCAAGAAAGATCAATTATGAAGCAAACCTTACAAAGAGCTGTATCATCCTGAGCTTCAGAATAATTTTATTTCCTCTCCCAAATAAAAGAGCAAGTTGCACCTTCATCATAATTTGTTGCTACTTAACCTAGCCATGTTAATGGCTAACTGCAAAAAATGGGAGTTCTGGGAGGGACAGGGTAGCCATATTTAATGAGGTCACTCAAGTGACCATGTCTCTTTCCAGGGTGTTTCATCTATTTTACCAAGTTCTGGTTAAAACAAAGAAAAGTCAGATTTTCCACCCTGTTTTGAGTTGCTTTAGAAAAATACCCCCACTTTAATATTCATTAAAGACATAAATGCATGTAAATTCATACGTGCCCCCAAAATCCAGCATGCAACCTCAATTGCATTTGATTCCAGGGCTTTGAAATGCAAAGAAAAACACCAAACACAGTGGGGTAAAAGTCTTTTGCAACAGGGAACTAGGAGGAGGTCTTGAATAGCACTACTGTGGCCAACATACACAAGCTTAACATTACTTTTTGAACCTATGGCTATATGCATTAAGATGAATATTTTGCCTGTGAAAAATTAATGTCCCAGAGCTCTTACAACCATTGTTTCTTTGTGAAATGGAGTAGGCAAAATGACTTTTTTAAATGCACCCTTTTGGAAAATAGATTGCTTCTCCTCTTCTGGCTTATGCTACTAGTTGGAGAGGCCCCAAAGGACCATTAAGCAAATGAACAAATAGGTACAAAAGAGCCAACCAGATTCACAAGAGCATGAAGCTGGATGAAGTCAGTGAGCGAGACCAATTTTTGTCCTTGTGTGAAACAAATAAAATGTCTCTCCTATTTTCTTTCTTTGTTTTTTTTTTTTTTTGATCTTTTAAAAATGTAAAGGCTCATTAATCTTTTCTTGGCTAATAGAGGTTTAAATAAAGAAGGCTTATTATGAAGGCTAAAGTAAGAAGAGCTAAGCTAAGGAGGAGGTTGGAGCTGGTCTGGAAGCTCTGTGAGTTATCAGATAAATGTTATGTCTAGAGGAGAGACTAAGACAACCAAGCCTCATGGGGCCGCATATCAATTTAATTTTGATGAATGACCAGGTCGGTCAATATTATTTATGTTACTATACAAGTTGGGTCTGTTCCATTCATGTGTGGACAACCCACGTAGTCTGCTGTAAAATAGCTTTGCAAGTAATCCCCACGGGCTTGCTTTCCCCACTGTTAACTTACAATTAGAAGGGCAATTAGTGATGAGGGCACTTTGCTTTTGAACTAAAAACAAAAACATGAGCAAACCACTCAGTAATCTAGAGTTGCAGCAATTCTTGAACCACAAGACCTCCAAATTATATTCTCAATAATTTACATAGGTGGTAGCATTACTTTTCAAATTTTGTTTCTGCTTTTTAAAATATATATATAGTTTGAGTATCCCTTATCCAAAATGCTTGGGACCAGAAATGTTTTGGATTTTGAATATTTTTGGATATTGGCATTATACTTATGGGTTAAGCATCCGTAATCTGAAAATCTGAAATCCAAAATACTCCAACAAGTGGTGCTCACAACGTTTCAGATTTTGCAGCATTTCAGACTTTGAATTTTTAGATCAGAGATACTCAACCTATATTGTTAAACAAAATACAACAGGATTTAAAAAGAAAAAAATTTTAAGCACAGACCTATTCCTTTCACAGTTTTGATTTATCTGCATTTTCTTACACTCTGTATCCATGTGTATTCATTTCTTCTTCCACTCCTTCATTCTATCAGTGTTTGTTAAGCACTTAATATTTGTCAGTCAGTGGTTTAGGCCAGGGATGAGCAAATATTTTCCATAGTGGACCAGATAGTAAAAGGTGTAGGCTGTGAGGGCCACACAGTGTCCGACACAACTGCTTAGCTTCACTGTTTTGTCACATAGGCAGCCACGAACAATATGTAAACCAGTGGGTCTGGAAGTGTTCCAATAAAACTTTGTTTACAAAAAACAGGCAGTGGGTCAGATTTGGCTGGTTGGCCATAGTTTGCCAAACTCTGCCACAAGGCCAGGGGGCTATAGAGACCAACAAAAGAGACCAAGTCCCATTTAACACACGTTGCAATTAGGGGAGGTGGATAATATACAGCAGACAGATAACAATTATTTTGGGAAGTAACAATTATAATGACGGAAACGTGTATGACTCATGTTAGGATTGTAGTATTACTATTACTACAGTTCAGTGCTAGGCTTTACTCAGTATCATTTTGTGAATGCTTTCTGTGTAGCTACTCAGTCTTCCGATTTACTAATGTCCGTGACCTCCTAATATCCTGCCCAGTTGCTATCCCATATTTCACTTAATCCTTCCACTATATTGTACATTTAATTAAACCTAACTTATGAGAATACACATGCAGGAACAAATCAATGCATAATGTGTTCATCTGATAATAAGCTTTTTCTCAATTATTTATTTCTGCTTCTGCCAGAGAAGCCCAACATTCTAGATCAGGAAAAAGGCACAAGTGAGGAAAGCCAATGTAGAAAGTGTTTGCCCTGCGCTAAGAAAGTTTTAGTTAGCTTCCGGTTTCCTAAAATTTCAGGGTGTAAATCAGGATGCAGATGGCCAGAGGGCCCAGAGAAAGGGGGTAGACCAAGGGGACCTCATTCGCACTTCCCACTCAGGGCCAGTATATTGCTACCAGGCAGCAGCCCCTCACTATTTAATCCAATAAGAACACAATATCTCAGAGAAAGATGCTCATCTTCAAACCCATCAAGCACTGCTTGAGTGCCAACTGGATGCAAAGCCCAGTGTGTGGCCCTATAGAATGGAAGCATATACTGATGAATATGACAAAGCTCTTTCTCTCCAGGTAGATACAGGGACCTGCAGAGGTCAGGTTGTTGGAGGCCAACTATGTCAAATAATAGAATATGGGGAAAGTAAACCTTTCCTTCCTTCTGCTCAATGTTCAGCAGAGAGGGAGGGCTTCACACCCCACCCCTCAGGAAGGAGAAGTATGGGAGCAATGCTTCTCTTCCAGTCATCTCATTGGCTCTTCCCCTGGGGAGAGGAATAACCTCTCTGTTAGGGGGTTTGAAGAGGCATGTATGGAGCAGTGCTTTCTAAATTCTCCTCATAAATATTGATAATGATAAACATATATCGGAGTTTCTATGTTCCAGAGATCAATATTTGCACTCATTCAATCCTCACACTTGTCCTAGCAGGTAGTACGACTATCATTCCCATTTTACAGATGAGGAGACTGAGTCACAGAAACACTGAGAGACTTGCATTGCTGCTTGGCTGATGAATGCCACAGCCAAGATGACTCACAAAGTCTAGCTCCAGGATTCAGGCTCTCAACTTCTCTGCTCTGTGATTCACCTGAGGAAGGAGCATGTTCTCCTCAGTTTTTCCCTGATATAAGTATACCTGGGTGAGGACCAGGGTTCATGTCTTGCTCTTACCCTTTGTGAGGGAGGCAAAGGAGAAATTATGATGTACAGATATACAGGTTTCATATTGTTATCTGTACCAATCACTAGATTTGGCAGAAAAGCCAATCCACATTCTTGAAGTTAGCAATATCAGCAATAAAACTAATAATTTCATCTCTCTTGGTTTGACACCTGTATCTGTTTACTCAAATTTTGGTACCCAACTTAGAGGAAAAGGGATGTAATTAAATCTCATCCTAAACCCCAACGTAATATAGGCATGAGTAATAACAGTAGTAAAAAGTAGTTAATAATAAGTATGATCTTGCAGGCATTGTGCAAAATACTTTAGATATATTCTCTCTTTGAATCTCTGCCACAATCCCATAGACGTAGGTACCACATGATATGGAAGAGGACAGAGGGCTTAAATTTGAGGTTGACAAATGGGCTTTTGATACATAAAAGGGCAATGACTGTTTTATTAGCTATGTAATATATTAATAGCCAAATGCAATACTTGATTTCAGTGATCTTTGATGTTTACTCACATAATTCTGCCTTTCACAGAGTCACTCACACTAGTTGATAATTAATATTGCCTGAGAGCACTCAAAGGTCAAAATAACTCAGAGCTACTGGCCAATAAATAACAAAGAGTGAGATTAGGGCACGACATTCCATGTGAAAATCTCTCTGATCTGTCTACTTATCATATTCTTTGGCATTGCCCCAGAGCAAGCCACCACTACCTCTCACTTGTGTTACTGCAACGGCCCCCATCTTGTCAACCATATATGTTCTTGTCCATGTCAAATGCCTTCTCCATAATGCAGATAGTGCGACGTAGCTAAAGGTCACTCTCTTGCATAGGACATCCAATGTCTTGCAATTTTTCTTAGGATGAAGACCAAAATTGTCAACACATTCTCCAAAACCCTGAAAGGTCTGGTGCCTGACTGTCTTTCTAGCCCCGTCTCCTCCATCTCCCATTTCTGCACCCGGCCAGAATTCCTTGGCTATCCTGTGCTCCTGCCTGACCTGCTTACTGTTCCCTCTTTCTGAAACATTCTCCCCAGTCCCAGTATTCACATAATATAAATATACTTAGTCTTCAGGCTTCAACTTAAATACTGCTTCCTCAGAATTTCTTTCCTGCCAGTCCAGAATAGTAGGTCTCACTGTCAGAGGTCCATAGACTATCCTGTTCCTATACTTCATAGCACTTATTTAAATTCATATTTATGTGATTTTTGTAATTATTCATTTTTTGTAGGCCCTTATCTAAAATAAATCTCCATGACGGCAAGATCAAGTCTGTCTTGCTCACTGCTCTATTCTCAATGCCTAGCCTGGAACAGCACCTGGAACACACTCATCCAGTAAATATTGTTTAGTTAAGGCCACTGAATGTGGTTGCGCAGGCTGTGTACTGCTAAGCTCCAGGGGCTTCATCCACATAGACAATGATATGAACGGTGCTGCCTGGAGATGCACAACACAGCAGTCCTGTATTGAGTGAAGGAATGAATACATGAATAAATAAATGGATAAGTGAATGAAACCATTGGTCATTGGTGCAGAATTGTCTCATTGGGGACAACCAAAATTTGATGTCCAGTATTTCCTAAAATCTACAAAATCCTGTGCAGTGGTATATGCCATCATGTATGTCTCACAGAAGCAATTATTTTGGTATTTTATGTGTTCTGAATGAGATCTCTTTTACCCTCATTTGAATTCCTCATATACTTTTTCATAAACTAGAACTTGGTTCACAATCCTCCAGGCACCAGTAAAAAGTCCCACATTCACTTTTTAATTGTACAGGGACCTCATTTTTGACTTGCAGGTGAAAAAGCTGAAGCTGCATTCCATTTGTGAGCCAAAGTACATTTTTAATGTGGTAGTTTTATTCAATGGGACCCACGAGTAATATCTGCAATGTATTATAATATCCTGCTAAATTATATACAATCACGGGGGTGGGGGGGAAGTGACATCCAGAAGAATGTAATGGATCCTGGTGCAAGAGCTGGGTTAACTAAGGCAGGGGATTTCAGATGACTCTGTGTCTATTGGTAACAACAAATTTTGGCCATGACACCAGTCTCCAAGTTTTGCCACAGAGCTACATTCTGTTTCTGACTCTAGGCTTTCTTGCAGCAGAAATTGAGCCATGATTGTTACTAATACCAGTTATTAATAAACTTATAAAGGGCAATGGCTTAAAAAATAAAATGAGAATTCTGTATGCATTTGAGTTCGCTGAACCATGGTTTCTTAGGACCAGGAATCGCTGTATCATCCCAGTACTGTCACCTTTCATTTTACCTTATACCTCATATTCCTGAATTCTCCCAAAATGCTATAAGCTCTCTGAGGACAAGACTCATGCCTTGAATTTGTTTTTGTATCTCACTCACACAGACAACAGTATCTTACATATAGAGGGTTTGCAGGTCTTGATATTCATAAGATGGTTGAATGAAGCTATTAAACCAAATGACTTAATTAAACCAAACTTAAACTTTCACACTGCTTCAGAACGTTACTACAATGATATTTTGAAATGAAGAACAGAGCATTGACTTGAGCAAGTTTCTCCTCTAGACTTTACCCATGAGATGGTAGACATGCCATACCATCCAGAAACCCCTGCAGGAATGAAGGGATTACTCTCCCAGTTACTGGGAGTGTTGTCAGAAGCCAACACTTGGTTGTTGACCCTCTTTGCAAAAAGACTCTGCTGAAGAGAGCACCCTGCCCTTCTTGGGGTAGCCTCAGCCAAAAACTAGTAAACGCCAGTGTATAAAGGCCATCCTCCCTCTCTGCAACTCTGGACAATTCTGAAGGGCCACCCCAGCTCTAGAGCTTCCAATGGGATCAGCTGAGGCCTTTGTTGAGACTGTAACACAGCCCAACTTCTCCCTCTGCCCACCCCACCTCTGTCCCATTCCAATCCACAAGTGTTGATCCCTGGAGCACTCCCTAATAAGCTTCCTGAATGCTAATATTTGTCCTAAAGTTCGTTTCCCAAAAAACACAGCCTACAACCCAATGCCTCTGTGCTTTAAGAGAATCAAACAAAAAGGAATCAATTAAAGGAATATTTTTTCCCCGTTAGAAAAATCTAGGAAAGACCAACATTATAATTGGAGAAAGCAAGAGATCTTGGTAGCAGCTGCGGCAGAGGGTTGAAGTCACAGTCTTCGTGTAACACAATGCAACGGCCCTTTCAGAGCCAGGAGTACCAGGCAGCGTTTTCCTACCATGCACGAGAACGCTGCTCTCAAGACAGCATTAGGAATTTAGGAAATTATGGTGGTGGACAAAAGCACACCCTTAATTATGGGCAGTGTCAGAGTTCTTGTGTTTCTTAACCTCCAGAAAACCATTCTCCTTTAATGCTTGGTTGTTGTCTTTTTATATCCAATTCCGCAAAATAGGCACGAACAAGACAACTCTTCAAGGAGTCTCCAAGACACAAAGGATTAAAAAGTAATTAACTATTATGATGAAATATAAGTACTGATAACACTAGTATAATTACTTTTAATAAACTATTAATATTACAACAACTGATGACGCTTTTGTATAGGAGTCAACAAACTACAGGCCAAGGGAGAAATTCAGGCCACCGTGGGCAGAATCCAGCCACATCCAATCATTTACAGATTGTCTATGGCTGCTTTCATGCTAAAATGGCAGAATCCGGTAGTTGTGACAGAGACTATATGGCCCAGAAAGCCTAAAATCCTTACAATTTGGCCCTTCACAGAAAAAATGTGCTGACCTTTACTCTAATACAATAACATTTAGTGATCCTGATAAGAGTATTAAATGAAATAAGAAAATTTTGTTGAAGGAAAAGTAACACATTATGTATACATGCAAAAAAAAAAAAAAAAAGCAAAACAGAAGAATTATCATCTCTGGGCATTGAGATTAGAGGCAAATCTTTGCATTTTTTTCTTTTTGCATTTTTGTATTTTCAATGAGAAATATACATTGCTTTTATAATAAGAAAATCAATAAATACTACTTGTATTTAAAAAAAAAAAAAGAGGCTGAGCATGGTGGCTCGTGCCTATAATCCCAGCCCTTTGGGAGGTGGATCGCCTGAGCCTAGGATTGCTTGAGCCTAGGAGATCAAGACCAGCCTGGGCAATATGGCAAGACCCTGTCTATAAAAAAAAAAAAATACAAAATTTAGCTGGGCATGTTGGCATGCGCCTGTGATCCCAGGTACTCAGGAGGCTGAGATGGGGGGATGGCTTGAACCCGGGAGGTGGAGGTTGTGGAAGGCCAAGATCTCACCATTGCACTCCAGCTTGGGTGACAGAGGGAGTCTTTGTCCTGCCCCCAGCCCCCCCAAAAAGTATTGCATATATATCATGTTGAGTGTTTTTTCTTCCACACCATTTAGGATTTTGCTGTTGGCTAGCTGGGTGTACAGAAGCTCTGAATTTGAGAATGCTAAAGGATTTGTTTCTCAACACTACCTCGTGTCTAAGGAAAATATGTAAACAATGCAATGTAGAGAAGTCGGCCAGCTACTGGATTAAGCAGCCAGTTGGTCATCAGAAGTTTAGAAAAAACAATAGCAACGCTGGGTTGTTTTTGCGACAGCTGGCTCCATTTGGTAAGCTTATACACACTATGCTAGGAAATAAGAGTTATTCAGCCTCTGGTTTGTAATGCTTTTTAAATTTCCCAGTAGAAAAACAGCCTCCATTTTCCAAAGCCAGGATATTTCTCGACTATAAAAATAACACAATGGTCATGCTAGTACAGCTAACTATTTTTGAGGAATTTTCTTTTTTATTACTTTTTAAAATTTTTATTTTTAAAATGTTATTTTCATTATTATTATTATTTGTTGAGACGGGGTCTTGTCACATTGCCCAGGCTACTCTTGAACTCCTGGCCTCAAGCAGTCCTCCCACTTCAGCCACCTGAGGTGCTAGGATTACAAACATGAACAACTGCGCCCACCCTTGAGCAATGTTTTTAATAAACAGCAAGCTCCAAGCTAGGGACTTTGTACCAGCATCCTCTCAACAAAATGATGAGAAAGAGTCTATCAGCCTGTTTTTTACAGATTAGGATACCAAGCTTCAGGCAAGTTGAGAAGGTGTCCAAAGGGCCACCAGCTAAGATGTGGCTCAGCCAGAAGTCAAGCCATCTCTCTGAGTCCTCACTCATTAGCTGTCCTGCCTCCTGACTATTTGCATGTTCCACAGCATAGTTATAACCCTAACACACACCTTGGTGGAAAGGGATACCCTAACATACATCTTGGTGGAAAGGTATAGTCAGCACTCAAAAAATATTTGCATAATAACCAAAAGACTGTGCTCTTTAACCTGTTAAATAATGACTAGCACAAGGAAGTGGGAGCTGCAGCAGTAAGAAGTGTTGGGAGATAATGATTTTCACGTATCAAATTACTTTGGGACAGTATTTTTTAGAGTTATATAAAGACAATAGCAGACTCATTCTATATGATACCAAAACACTTATTTTAAATAACAGTTTCAGGAAACTTCTTAATATAAACATGATTTCTTTACTCAAATATTAAATTTTATATAGCGTTATATAGAAGTCATATTTGCTGATTCCCATGCTTAATCTATTACATATTATTGTCATATAGAAAAATATCAGAATATGACTTATATTTCCATTTTCTTCCATTCTCTCAGGCATTTTAGAGTGATGAGTTTTTGCCCACTGGGAACTGGGTTTTTGTTTTTGTTTTACTATTTGAATTAAAGTAAATATCATCGTATTTCCAATTTAAAAACCATGGATCTGTGTAGATGCTGGTAAATGTACATGTTAAATATTGATCTTTTCTTAGTAACAGAATGGGTTTTTGACATTTTGAAATTAATATTACTTAGCCATACTAAATGAAAAGTTTTCAAATCCTTCGATCTTATAGATAGAATTACTTATTTTATATCCTATTATGCATTAATTTAAAGAGAAAATAAAATATTGGTTTGGAATGCAAATGGAAATGTTTATAGTTTCCCCTCAAAACACGACAGTAGGCATTTCCACTTAAAGTACACTAATATTAATAGATTAATAAAAATAGAAAATAAGTTTAAAACTTCACAACTACCAGGCTTGACAAAATGCCAACAAAGAAGATGCTTTATCACTATTTTCATCTTCTAGAAGAGATGCCTGAGGCTCAGAGAGATCAAGAAACTTGCCCAAGATCACACAGCCACTAAGGAGCAAACCTAGATGTAAATTCAAGTGTATCAGACTCTAGGGCAGGGTTTTTCTCAGACTCAGCACTATTGACATTTGGAATGGATAATCTTGTGGTTTTTTGAGGGGGTGCTGTGCATTCGTTGCAGGATATTTAGCAACATCCCTCACCCCTACTCATTTGATGCCAATAACACCTTCTCCTCTTACCCCAAGCTGTAACAACCAAAAATGTCTCTAGACATTACCAAATTCCCCTGGGGGACAAAATCACCCCTGGTTTAGAACCACTGCCTTAGAGCTCCTGTCTTAAGCACTGTGTTTTTCTGCCTGCCTTTCAATACAGGTCAAGGTCACCCTTGCAGAATGGACCCCTGGCAAGCTTGTCATAGTCTATGCACATCTGAGCCTCAGCCAATTTAGTTTCTACCTCATTTTACCTAGAAAGGAAATGCCAGGTGCCCACACTCTGGGGTGGTTTGGGATATGAACTCAAAGCTAGGGTTAATTAAAAAAAAAATGAATTGCCTTCCTCTTATTACCAGAAATCTGAACTAGAACTGAATCCATGTGCTTGGGGATGAGATTGTTAAGAAGTGAGGGGAGTGGGAAGACTCATGTGAGTTCAGAGTACTCACTATTTCACATAGAATTAATCTGATGAAGAAATAGAATAAGAATTGCAAAGTCATCAAAGATGATGGCTTTTCTTTATGACCCTTGGCACCAGAACAAAGAGCCTATTTTTTGTGGGTTTTTTGGATTTCCAGAATAAAGAGAATAAAAATGTTTAGGTAATGTTTGGATGGTTTAGAGACTGTGCGTACATTAGTGATAGGTCAATTAATATCGAACAGTTCAAAGAAGCAATTATTTTAATTTATAAATCACTTCAGAGGTAGGGAGCTGCCATCCATTAATGTGGTTTTTACAAATAAGAGAGCTCATGGTTGTGTGTGTTTGTGTGTGCACTTCTCCCCATGTCATTCTATCTGGCCTGAATTTTCCAACCAGATTGCATACCTCCATGATTAATGTATTTGTCTCTAGAGCGCTGCCAAACACATAAAGCATCGAATCTGCAATTTGACCCTTGGCTGAGACCACCCTATTTTTTGACTTTTTGCTGGGCTGAAAGGTACCACCACGGACAATGTTGCTTCCAGAACTGACCTTCTTATGTTACACTCTAAATGGCAAGGTCTGTGAGCTAAGACTCCCCAGGGGGTTACAATGCCTCCTGGTGATCGTGCAACAAGGAAAGAGGGCCAAAGTGACTTCTGGCATGGTGGGCCTAGCAGACACTCGGCAGCTGGTGAAAAGTCTCCAAGCTGAAACTTAGAGATTTCCTAAATAAAGCATCCCTTTATTTTATTTTATTTTTAAATCACTGAGGCTGGATGCAGTAGCTCACACCTGTAATTCCAGCATTTTGGGAGGCCACGGAGGGAGGATCACTTGAGCCCAGAAGTTTGAGACCAGCCTGGTCAACATAGCAAGACTCTGTCTCTACAAAAAATTAAAATAAAAAAGTTAGCCACATGTGGTGTTGCGTTACTGTAGTCCTAGCTACTCAGGATGCTGAGGTGGGAGAATTGCTTGAGGCCAGGAGTTTGAAGTTGCAACGAGCCGTGATCGTGCCACTGCACTCCAGCCTGGGTGACACAGGGAGACCCACTCTCTTAAAAAAACAAACACTGAGTGATAACCAAGTGCCAAAATCCATGCTCAACACTAGAGGTATGCAAGACAAATGCAACCTAATGAGAGAGGCAACCTAGGAAGCTGGAAACAACTGTGTAGTCTGAGTGCTGTAGTGGGTAAAGGTGCAGGAGGAGCCCAGATTGGAAACAGGATGATGGCTGGGGAAGCTTCCAGAAGGAAGTGACCTCGGCTTCAAAGCTGAAACATGAATTGGTGTCTGTGTGTTGAATTGGGGGTGTGGGTGGGAATGGGGGTGTTCCAGGCAGAGGGAAGAGCATGTGCAAAGGCCCAGAAGCGAGAGAGAACATGGTGACTTCAGGAAGTGGAAGGAAAAGTGGCAGGAGCCTGCAGAGGAAGAGAATAGTGAAGCTAGAGGTGTGAGCACAGGCAGGATTGCAAAAGATTCTCCAAGGCATAGTAAAGTTTGACTTTATCTTAAAGGCACTGGCATGTGATGAAACTGGGGAATGACGTGGTCAGGTTGGTGAAAACCAATAGGAAGAAGGCAAAGCAGCTGTGGGGGAAGAGGTGAGGGGATTGGAGCAGGAGGGTGGTACATGGCTTCCATCAGTGAGTTCAAGAACTGGAAAGAAGGAGCTTGTAGATGATGTGTAATGGAAATAAGAGAATTTAGTTGAGACTAAAAGAGATTGAGCTAATAATAAATTCGCTAATAATATTTCCCGTTATAAATGTTCCTTTCCCTTTTAACTTGGGTACTTCTATTGTAAAAACACCCCTGTACCCCCCACCCTCAAAAAACAGTGATATAATCTTCATTTCTGTTCTTGGTTTCATTGCTTTAAACTTCCAAGTATTTATTGAGCATCTACTACATGTCTGGTGCTGTTCTAGGTGCTGACCAGAGACCATTCTTGCTTTCCAGGAGGTTTCCTTTTAGTCATGGAGACAGTGCTATATGTCACAGGGAAACAAAGCACAGGTATCCAGACAGCAATCAGTGCTGTAAAGATGAGAAATCATAAGGTCAGCTGGGAGCGGTGGCTCACACCTGTAATCCTAGCATTTTGGGAGGCCAAGGCAAGTGGATCACTTGAGCCCAGGAGCTTAAAACCAGCCTGGACAACATGATGAAACCTTATCTCTGCAAAACACACACACAAAAAAAAATTTAGCTGGTATGGTGGCACATGCCTATAGTCCCAGCTACTCGGGAGTCTGAGGTGGGAGGATCGCTTGAACCTGGGAGGTCGAGGCTGCAGTGAGCTGTGAGCATGCCACTGCACTCCAGCCTGGGTAAGAGGTCACGTGAAAGGTCATGCCCAGCACAGAGAAAAGACTCTGAAAAGTTGACATTTTAGCTGAGATAGGATCAAAGATGAGCCAACCCTGAGGAGATCGTGGGGAGAGTATTCCAGTGGAGGGGACAGCAAAGGCCTTAAGATGGGAATGATCATGACCTTTTGGGGGACTAGAGAACTGATGGGCACACCATGGAAGGCCTTGTGGACCATGGTAAGCCATTCAGATACTATTCTGAGGGTAGTTTTAAATCTCGGAGTCAGTGCCTTTTTATGATTAGACATTATCAAACTCATTCCAATAGCTGGAAAAAATAAAGTTCTTTGAGCTGTGACACATCCTGGTATTCAATAACAAAACTTTTTTATTATGGGATTTCTACTTTCTACCTCCAGATGATAAAACTCTTGGTGCAATGCATTTCATGGGGAAAGAAGGCTAGATGGTCTGATTTACAGCTCTTAATTGGAGTAATGATCATTTGTAACCAAAGCCCAGGCTGCTGGGCACTGGCCATTTGTCCCAGCCATTTCTCTTAGGAAGAGCAAAACCATGCTCCACAGTCCATCCAACTCTCCACTTAGAGGGAACATACCCAATCCGAGTGGGACTTTTCTATGTGCTGGCCAGCTGCCTCATCAGTAATTAATTCAGTTCTGTAATCACACCCAAAATGTTTAGGCAACTGAAGTAATGAGGAAGAGATCACCCACAGGAATGTGTATGTTCCAAGGACCCCCTCGTGTGTTGCCAACTCTCCTGCCCCAGCGTGGAATGACGGCAAGAACGTGCATTTGCAGGGAGAACGATGTGGGTGTCATCTGGGTTCCACTCCGCACTGGTTTTGTGGCCTCAGGAACAAATCAACATCTCTCAGCTCAGCTTCCCCAGTCTATACAATGGAGATAATAACACTAATACAACTATGATGAGAGAAAACCCAGGAAACTATGATCACGCTCTCCATAGAGTATATTTTCTCATACTTATATAGCAGCTTTGCTTCATTGGGTTCCACTTTTTCAGCAGAATATTCGGCTCCACAGTCTCCAAATAAAACACTGATATTTCTTGTGCAGCCAGTGTCCTCAAGGGGAAATGAGAGTGGAATGCTATTAACTTCGCTTCATTTGATCATCACCAAAGGGTGGTGGTTCATCAAGGCACTGTTTATAAAGGGAATCTTGAGATTCTCTTTCTGATGAAAGACTTACCTAAAAGCTATTGTTTGTTGCTGAAATCCTATCAGTGTCTAGTAAAATTTAAAAATATAAAGCAAGGAGGAGGTTGAGAGGAAGAATTCTCAGAGAAGTTCTATTATATCTGGCTCATCTCTAACAAGTTGCACCGTACTGTTATGAAAACATCACGGTATTACAAAATGTTTGTGAATGTACTATTAAAATTGTTTTTTGTATTCCAATGGCATTATTTCATCACATGAAAATTAAGAACTTTGGCTACAGTGGCAAATAGGTTAATAGCTTTCTGCTTGGAAATTCAAATAGTTGGTTTTTCAGGGGTAGGGTAAACTTCAGTATTAATACCTTCCACCTTTTCCTTCTAAAGTTACATTTTGGCCAGATGCAGTGGCTCACGCCTGTTAATCCCAGCACTTTGGGAGGCCAAGGTGGGTGGATGACGAGGTCAAGAGTTCGAGACCAGCCTGGCTGGCATGGTGAAACTCTGTCTCTACTAAAAATACAAAAATTAGCCAGGTGTGGTGGCAGGTGCCTGTAATCCCAGCTGCTCAGGAAGCTGAGGCAGCAGAATCGCTTGAACTCGGGAGGCAGAGGTTGCAGTGAGCTGAGATTGTGCCATTGAACTCCAGCCTGGGCAACAGAGCGAGACTCCCTCTCAAAAAAATAAATAAATAAAAATTAAAAAAAAGTTATGCTTCGTGGTAGCTGATCTCAGTAAACCGGGCAGTGGGATGGTGTATGACATTGGAAGAAATACAGATGGGAAACTGCTTTGCAATTATCTGCTAATGCTTTACACGATTTGGATGTAGAGCTGCATAGTTGACATCTTGGGCTCTGAATTAGAAAGACTGGAGTCCAAACCCCAAATCCACCCCTTTCCCGCCCTTTCACCTTAGGACAAATTACTTATTATTGCTAAGCCTCAGTTTTCTTATCCGTACAATGAGTATAATAACAACAATAGGGTAATCATATTTACCTTAAACATTATGATTAAATTTTAAAATTATAAGGCTCCACACTACTTAGAATAGAACCTGAGGCCTTGGCACAGTGGCTCATGCCTGTAACTCTAGCACTTTGGGAGGCAGAAGCAGGCGGATCACTTGGGGTCAGAAGTTCGAGACCAGTGTGACCAACATGGTGAAACCCCGTCACTACTAAAAATACAAAAAATTACCCAGGCATGGTGACACATGCCTGTAATCCCAGCTGCTCCAGAGGCTGAGGCAGGAGAATCACTTGAACCTGGGAGGTGGAGGTTACAGTGAACCAAGATTGTGCCACGGCACTCCAGCCTGGGAGACAGAGCGAGACTCTGTCTCAAAAATAAACAAACAAAAACCGAAGAAAAGTTAGAATAGAACCTGGTACATAATAAGTGTTCAAAAAAGCATTAAACATGGTTCACACCAATTAACTGTATTACTTTTAGCAGGTTACTTTACCCACCTGGACTTTAAATTCCTCATTTGTAAAGTAGAAGATTTGGACTAGAATTGGTTTCCCAAATGTAATCTTTCTTATACAGCCTTCAAAATTTTTGCCATTTTGGGGGGAAAATAGTCCCTCAATATAGCATTGAAAGGAATAAAGTCATACACACAGATATTCAGTATGCCTGTGTAAATCTGTAAATTTAAAATCAATCTGTAATTTAACATAGGTGTATTGGCTTTACTTTAGTAGGATAAAACATTATACTTCCCATTCTGAAGATCTTGTTACTGGAGGATTGACCCATTCGTGAGCATACCTGGGCGCCATGCCTGTATCAAGTAGATTATCAGTACTCTGCATACCTTAGGCTTATCTGAAGCAATCATAGCTAGTTATCTTTTTGATTCAAATATCCATCAATATAAACACATGTGAAACCAACAGTAGACGTAGGAGCTGAGAGCACAGATTCTGGAGCCAATCAGCCTGCCTCAAAATCCCAGTTCTGCCACTTGCTAGCTTTGTGATGATGGGCGTGGCATTTAACACCTCTGTGCCTCAGTTTTCTCGTCTGTAACATCCAGACAATGTGAATATCTACTCAGAGTGTTATTGTGAGATTTTACATGAGTTAATAGATGTAAAGTGCTTAGAACAGTGCCTGGTCCCAGCACCTAGTAAGCAAGATATGCCTACCCACATAGGAAATATATCACACTTTCACACCATCTTGGATCATATCCATATTCCATTTTGGATCTGAAGTCTTTAAGGAGTTGAGACAGATCTAGGTCCTAATTCTGTGTACATGGAGTAGACATTTGATATGTCTGGCTTAGATTTTTCCTTCTATAAAATTACTATAATACTGTCTCCCGCTAGGTACTTCCTAAGTGTGGTAAGGTCCCTTATGGGTCTGTATTTGAACAGCTTTCACCCCTACAACACGTGACAGTAGATGATCTTATTGTTAACTTATGGCCTCGTGACTCTTCATCCGGAGCAGAGGATCAACGTGAGAACCAAATGCTGGTCTGTGACTCTCCACTGCTTAAGCAAAACCACAGGGGAAAGAAAGCCATTTCTCTTGCTATGGCTTTTCCGCCAAGAAAACTGAAGAAAATTAGACATAATGTGAATTCCATATGTCCAAATATATAACTACCCCATTCAGTCATAAAAAATCAAGTCTCTCTGACCTACCATATTTGAAACCAAATCACATATATCTGAGACTCGGATCCTTTCTCTAAATCTTCACACACCTGCATCATGTTGACATCCAAAATAAGCATGATTCATTGGAACAGGAGAGATTTCTGACCAAAAGTAAGCTCCACAGGGATAAGGGAACCGATGTGCCTGGAGATTGGAAGTAAAACATGCAGACAAGGTGGTGTGGCAAATAGATTCCAGCTTAGTATGTATTGGGAGAAATTCAAGGGACAAATCAAGTGTTTAAATTATTCAAGGACAATTACTATGTGCTTAATTATTATGTCTCACATGAGAAAGTTTTGTAAATCACAATGAACTGGTAATTACACTCTCAGACACACTGCAGCAAGTTTTAATAGACCACCGAGGCCCTATACCTCTCAGCCTGAATGTGGTCAGGTTTCCTTCTGGGGAACACACGAGTTACCGGGTCAGAACTGTAAGCAGATGGACAAATCCAATCTGAGGTGGCAAAAAGGGATGATGCAGAATGGAGCCAAGTGCTGGGCACACGGTCTTATCCAACGTTGTTTTTTTCAGCTTGAAAAGAGATGCTCTAAAGTCAAGAGAATGTGTGTCATTGGGTTTCACTTCATCTGTTACCCAGCTGATTATGTTTGGGATGATGATTCCCTCATCAGAGATTACCTGATTCTTCAGAATCCACTTACATGTTTTCCACAACCACAGTTGAGGTTGTAGATAATACACATTATATACTAAATTAAAACCCATCCAATTAAATTTGACATCATCTTTGGTCATGGCTGGTGGAATTTGGAGTGTATAACACCCTCTTCCAATACCTTCATTTTGAAACTAAATCTACCTAACTCACAGTATTCCATAACTAGTGAATAATATTCATTATTAACCTGAAGATAATAGTGAATTAACTAGAATGAGTTCATCTCTCAGTTCCACTGCAGCATCTTTCCAGCATTTCCCTCTCTGAGATGATCTTCTTTGCTCTTTGCACCTGCCTTGGCCCAGGCAGGTGAGACCATGAGGTGTTCTTGGCAGGCATAAGGTTCTTGAATGTTCCTCAGAGAACTTAGTTCTATTGTTCTAGACCAGAGCTGGCTGCCCCACCCTTCTAATGAAATCACATTTTGCTTAAATCAGTCAAAATCAATATCTGTCTCTGCACTCAACCCCATCTCATATTAAAAAAAACTAAGCAAAATGTCATATATACATTGTGTATATAATATATAACTACGTATTATGTGTATATATAATATTTATTGAGAATATATCATGCTAAGCACTATTCTAAGCTCTTAGCATGTAGTTATTCTTTTATGCTTACAAGTTTATGGTGATACTCTTCTCTGCACACATTTCAGCACTTCCATTTCGATTCCCTGTTTTTCAATGCATTGATCTCTTTCCAACATACTTTATCATTTTCTTACTAGGTTTATTACTTGTCTGTTTCCCTCCACTGGAATGGAAGCTCACTGATATATCTTAAATGCCTAGGACAGTCTCTGACACATGGCAGGGGCTCAATAAATATGTCTAATTAATTAATTGGCTAATTAATGAGCTACATGCTATTGTTTAATTCATTACAAATATTTCTTTAAATCTACAAGTTTCTCTGACTCACCTTGCAGGACCTGCTTACATAAAATGTTTGTTCCCCTCTTTAAAGCTTTTAAAGTATGGGCTAGATTTTCACATCTGTGCTCTTGCCCAACAACAGGGGACTAGATCAAATGACCTCCTGAGAGCTGTCTGGCCCCTGACATTCTAATTCAATTCCACTTAAATGTCCTAAAAGTAATTTGTGGAGAAATTCTTTTCTTCCTCCTCTCCCTGATTGGAGTATACATTTATCTAATTTTTGCCTTCGTAGATTGACCTAGCTTTTAAGAAGCACTGTGTTGGCTCTTATGCATTTTCTCTAAGCACTCACTTTATAAAACCAAGAGACTAAAGATTCAGCTCTCTAGGGAATTAAATTGCATTCAAATAAGATTAAGGATTTTTTACTCACAAAAGCAAGGACAGAGGCTGAGAATTGTTCAGTTGTTCAATTGTTCAGCAAACTAATCCAGACATATTATTCACAAAAGGGACTCAGAATTGGTCAGAGAAGAAAAATGGCTGTGGAGGGAGGGGTGGGCTGGATTGAGTTAGGGGAGGCTTCTTCTTTCCAGGGCTGAAACCCTCTCCCTTACTTCTAGATGGTG
Organism: Homo sapiens; assembly: GCF_000001405.40. Classification (NCBI taxonomy): domain Eukaryota; kingdom Metazoa; phylum Chordata; class Mammalia; order Primates; family Hominidae; genus Homo; species Homo sapiens. The sequence continues at coordinate 64,838,305 of NC_000003.12, read as the reverse complement.
GATGTGTTTCGTTTCTAAATAGAGTTGGTTGGGCCCAATATATTTTCACTGAACTCAGTGCAAGCGTTAGATTAGATTTTGCAAGCCCGGCAGGTGGTTAGTTCCTCTAAAGAAGCATTAGATTGGTGAAGTGGCATCGGGTGGGGAAACAGTGTTAATGTGTATCTAAGGAAGTTAGTCTGTCACCGCTTGGTTTGGAGCAAGATTTCTTAACCTCTTATGGGCCATGGATTCCTCAGAATAATGCTTTAAATTGCATAAAATAGGTAGCATAAGATTGCCAAGAAACTAATTAGAAATATATTTGTAAAAATATATTTTAATAAACAGGTCAGTATATACATATTTATCAATACATTAAATATCAAGAGCTAGTAGTAGGACTGATAAAAACTATAGGTTTAAAGTATGGATGAGTTTAAATGATAGTTTGAAGTATCTCAACAATTGGAATGTGATATGAAAGTATCTACAAATTATAGAAGTGCTAAAGTCACAGGTACAGCTAATACTACTGTCGTTTGTTGCCTGCATTCATCATTGAAAGAAATGCTAAATCTCAGACGTGAATAAAAATAATGATATAATTTTTCTTCCCATTCAAGTTCATGGACATCCTCCAACTTCTTCCCCAGATTAAGAACTCCTGCCGTAGAGGTTGGAGTGACAGAGTCCATGAAGCCTCTGCTCTAAGCAGCACACCCAGCTTCACTGTGAGATGCCTCTGCTTGCCAACATTTGTTCTAACTATTCCTAGTCCAGTAAGAAAATGTTCTTGCTGGCTTAGGTCAACAATGAGAAAGCTTGAAAAGTTGGAAAACTATCAGTACCTGCCATGTCTGCTTTACACTTAATGAAAAGCCCTCTTTAGACTGGCAGGCAAAGGCCCCAAAGTTGTCGTAATTGAATAAGGAAGAGTTTTGGCACTGGAGTGACCAACTTGTCCTGATTTGCCCAGGACCATCCCTGTTTTAAACAGGAAGCCACATGCTTCAGGAACCCCTCAGTTGCCAGTAAACCTGGATGACTGGTGGGTGCTTTGGAGTCAGAAATAACAGTGTGATCTTGGTCAACTTACCTACCTCTCTGAACCTCAGCATCTTAATCTCAAAATGGGAACAAGAAGACCTAACCCACAAGGTTCTAATAAGGGTTAAAGGAGGTTAAATTTACACAATGCTCAGCACAGAGTCTGTCACATTATAAGCATTCAAGAAACAGTGGCTATTGGTATCAATGCTGCTGCTGTTACTCTGTTAACTTCCTTCACTCTGCTGGAGTCCATCCCCTAGGAACAGCCTCACCTTCCTTTATGCCCATGTAAATCGCATGCAGCCTTGAAGATCCCCTGAAAGTCCACTTTTCCTTAAGAACTTGCTAATATCGTGTGCATTGATAAAACAATGTTTTAGGTTGAATCATAAACTGACAGTTTTGTAGGACAAAAAGAGTCAAATACTGATAACATCACACAGTTCAACCAATTCTTTCCAATTAAGATAATTTGTTAAATGCATAAGTAGAATTATTTTTAATGTGTCATAAACTGCATTTAAAAATTCACAAATCAGAGAAACTATAATTTTGCAACTGTATTTGCTCGAGAGACAGTAGCCATCGTGTATCCCTTGCTTTGTGGCAATGAATACCATACCACTTCGTATTATTCTTATATGCATATATCTTGGGCATAATCTCAGCCATGTAATATTCTCCTATATCTTTTACAATATCTGGTGTTACAAAGAAACATATTAATTGTGGACTATTGAAAAGGGGACTTTAAATGTCACAGAGACTAAATGGAAAATGTATATAGCTGATGTTTGGGGCTCAAAGGAACATTATTAAGAAGCCCCACTCACCCCACCCCCCAGACAGGTGTGGTAGCTCACACCTCTAATCCTAGCACTTTGGGAGGCTGAGGCAGGAGGGTTGCCTAAGACCAGGAGTTAGAGACCAGCCTGGGCAATGTAGTAGGAGAAGTCTTACTACAGAAAATCAGAAAACTAGCTGGGCATGTGGAGGCATGCCTGTAGTCCCAGCTACTCAGGAGGATGAGGTGGGAGGATTGCTTGAGCTCAGGAGGTCGAGGTTGCAGTGAACCATGAGCCATGATCATGCCACTGCACTCCAGCCTGCGCAACAAAGCAAGACCCTGTCTCAAAAAAACAAACAACAAACAAAGAAGGCCCCCAACTAAATCTCTGGAGTGGCACTGCCCAGAATAAGGGTCCTAGCTTCGGGTGGTTATTGAGCACCTGAAAAGCAGTTACTCTGAATGAAGATGTGCTATAAGTGTAAAATACACACTTAGTAGTAAATAAAGGATGTAAAATACATCATTAATAATTTTTATAGTGATAACGTCTTGAAATAATTTTGACACACTGCACTAAATATATCCAATATCATTATAAATCTAGAATATATCCAAAAATACAGAAAAATATTAAACTTCACCTTTTTGTTTTGGCTTCGTTTAATGTAGCTACTACAATATTTAAAAATTCATTTGTGAGACAACCCAAATATCCATCAACAGATGAACGAATAAACAATGTAGAACATACATGCAAGGGAATGTTAGCCTAAAAAGGAATGAAAATCTGATACACTTTACAACATGGATCATCTCTCAAAAAGATTAAGCTAAATAAGTCAGAGGCAAAAGCACAACTATTGTATGATTCCATGATGTGCGGTGCCTAGAATAGGCAAATCCGTAGAAAGAGAAAGAACAGATGTACCCAGTGTGCTGGGGGAGAAGGGAATGGAGAATTATTGTTTAATGGGTACAGAGTTTCTGTTTGCGGCAATGAAAAAGTTCTGGAAATGAATAGTGGAGATGGTAGTACTACATTGTAAAGTGTACTTAATGCCATTGAATTATATGCTTACAAATAGTTAAAATGGTAAATTTCATATCATGTATATTTTATCGCAATTTTTACAAATTCATATGTGGCTCACATGTGTGGCTCACATTTTATTTCTATTGGATAAAGCTGCTCCAGAGCTTAACAAAGGGCCAGGCAAATGTGCCCTTCCATCTGAGATACTGGTGGTGTTTAGGAGCTCGGCCTTGGAGTCAGAAGACCTTAGGGTTTGAGTTCTGATGGCTAAAAAACCTTAGGCAATCCCAGAGCCTCTGACAACCTCAGTTTCCTCATCTGCAAAATGGGGATTATAAAAACATATCTCATCATTTTAAGTTTAGGATTATTGTAAGGGTTGTTGTTTTCAGTTTAAGTTTAGAGTTGTGATAAGAGAATGTATATAGTGAGGAGTAGAAACACAGGAGGTGCTACTGAACGGATGCACTCAAGGCCCAGGTGAAAGCCGGGCCTTCCATTTTGATCGAGACCTAGCTCTTTTGCAAATGCCTGGGAAACAACCCAAAAGCCTCAGTAGCATTCCACTTACCTGAAATCTTCATCAGTAAATGTGTCCCCCTTTCTGGAGGCTGTGGAGAATGAGTTCAGGTCTACCCCATATCAATAGCGCTCATTTCAGAACCTCCCTTTCCTATTGTCCACAGGCACATCACCTCATAATGTGATATATGCTTTCCTAAAAATCCTCTGTTGGGCAAAAGTAAGCCCTAACAATAACCAAGATCATGTTTTATAAGGTTAGGGACAGACCACTAAAAACTCACCCACCTTTGTAACCAGAACACTAACAAAAACATTTGGTCTATGGGGACTAACCCAGGCAGGAAACTTAGCATGGCTGTAGGCTGCTGTGACGTATCTTAAAAATGTACTCATATACATGCACACACTCACACATAAAGTGGGAATTCTGGCAGTGCCTTGGCTATAGCAGCGCTGGCAGGTGCAAATGGAAGTGGAGCTCTGAGTAGTGGGGCTGCCATTGAGATGGGCATGGGAGGAAGTACAATCTGCCATGAGCTGAGAGCTGAGCAAGGCTGGGGGTGCCCATCTCTGAGCCCCAGGTGTGGGGATGTGTGTTAAAATATTCTTCAAAAACAACTGAAATGTCTCCTGCTGTCAGTACAGAAGGCCAAGCTGAGGACATTTTCCTTTTTTGCTGAAGCTTTCAGTTGGACTCCTGCTAGTCCAATTCCCCTTGCCCCTTGCCTAGGAGAAAAACATCACATATGAACCAATGTCTTCTGCATTACATGAAGGACATTCCCCTATTACAGTAACAGATGGCCTAATTCATATTACAGAACCATACATGTCTGTATTTTCTTCATGCCAAGGGCAACGCTATATATATATTATTCTACTTAATATTCACAATATCTCTAATAACTTGTACTACTATATGCCCATTTTAAAGTTGATTACTCTGTTCAAGGATCTCACATTAGCTTTGGGATTCATATTCATTCAACTTATCTTAAAAACCATCCTCTTAACTACCGCACTGTATTTTCTGTCATTTTAGACATTTGGGTTATGACAAATGTGACCAGATTCCTTAGCAGATTTTAGAGTCAACCTTGCCTAAGCTCACCCTTCAACAGACTTCCCTTCCCCTTTCTGAATTCACTGTTGATCATATATTATTAGTGGAGGTAGACTAAATGATCCAAGCATATATATATATTTTTTTCTCTAAAGTACTTGGGGGAGGTGGAAGCTGTGTATCGCTACCTAAGATCTTTCACTCTGAGGCTATGATTGAGTTTATCTCTTGTCATGTATGAACATGAAAATCATTAGGTTATAAGTTTTCTGTGTGCTACTAAGATTTCAAATGGTGAGCTAAATAGAAATGCATCCAAGTAGAACTGGGTGTATGCCCCGACTACCCAATCAGTTACTTTTATTATTCATAATATGCAAGAACGGTGAATACAGCCATACTTAACCAGTATGGCCATACATATGGTTAAGTATTGCTGTATTCTTAAATTTAAATATTTCTTTAGTAGTGGGTAAACAGCCACTGCCCAAGCCCTCCAAACCGTCCCCTCTACCACCTTAGCTTCCCTGGCCTCTTCTCTGTGTCCCCTAAACCTTCACATATTTCAGGAACAAAATGCCTCACTTCCTAAGGGAGGTCCATTTCTTCAGCTAGCATCCATTCTCAGTGGCCTATTCCTCTACCATACTGCCTGTTAAAGATTTTCAATATTTCCCCTGCCTAATTCTCATTCTATAGCTATAGAATGTGCCTGAGATCTCAGTGGCCCATTTTTATATTGACAGATTAAGGAAAATACAGGGAAGTGAAGAATTGGAAAATAACCTGACCCTGCCCAACAATTAATGTGTTATTGGAGTATAGGGGTATACGTTTAAAATAGTTTAAATTCATTTATGTAAAGTCTCTTAATCCAGGTTTAAAAAGTCACGTGAACTAGCCAAATTTAGCCTGCAGATGAGTCTCTTGAGTGGCCAAGAGAGTGCACAAATATCGAATTCACTGATTAAGCCAAAAGAAATGCATTTATCACTACTTCTCTCTACTCTTTTATCTAGTCCTACTCCTCACCTGGACATTTGGAATCCCAGCTTGTTCCCGGTTTGAAACCCTTGTTATAAATACATATAATGCTATATCCGTTCTGGTAGTGTTTACTCATCCATGCAGGCTGACACTCAGCATACTGTCCATGACTTGCACTATAATGCTTCTATTTGGTGTTAAGAAATGGATGTGCAAGGCTACATGCAGAACAGGTCTAATTAGATGTGATTCGTCTCTAATTTTATTATCAATGAGCACATTTTGATGATTACTTTAAGTCTTCTTAACTTCAGGGCAGAAATATTCTCATCTCTTCCTTTGGACTGGTTTTCCTTCCCTCATTTCAGTAATGAGATGATAACTCATCTCAAAGAGTCTATGTACCCCCTAAGTCTTCATGCCATTAAATGAAGCCCATTTGAGACTGGGGGATGGGATCTAGGTCACTAGGGTAGCTTCTGGCTTCGGGCCACCTCCCTGGATTATTCAAGTGGAGCCAGAGTTGGTGAATGTCCAGCCACAGACATCCAGAACCAAGGCCAAGGGGGAGACGCTGGTTTGAAATAATTGCAGAAACCACCACTGGCGCCACTGACTTGGAAGCCCCGAGTGGAACCACATGACTTCAGTTCAGGCCCAGGTGCCCCTTGACCCACTAGACAGCACTCTTGTGTTAAATATGAAAGGAGCTCCGAGGAGCTAAGACCTAGTGTAAACCTGGTCCTTTGAGTTACTCCTCTCAGTTACCCTGCAAGAGGTTTTAGAAAGCTTTGGGATTTTCAGAATAAACAGCAATCCCCAACCTCTAATTTTCCCCTTGCTGCACTCTTGTAATTATCCTATTGGTGTTAAGCTGATTGTATGTTTTTGGTATATTTACTGAGTACCTATTATGCACAAAGCACTGTGAGAGTCCTGGTAGGGGGCTACAAAGGTGAACAGGACACAGATCCTGATCTTCCAGCATGGTAAGTTTCATCTGGAGCCGACCTGATAGTGGAGGCTGGAAGGAAGTCTTCAGAAGAGTTCTAAGGCACCAATGAGAATCGGTGGGAGAGAATGCTGAGATCATGTCATGATGTGTACTCTGGCACAGCAAGGGCGGGTGGCAGAGTATCCTCCCTGACCAACAGCCTAATAAGAGAGACAGCACTCTTAAAATCACCCACACATTTATAATCACATACAAGACAGAGAAAATAATCACTACAATTTACTTTGTACCAAATACATGCAAGATGTTAGGTTGGTGCTTAATAAGTGTTTACTCTCATCTCTTAAGAATACTCGGCATTGTCTCATCTTGGTCACTAATAACTATTTTTATATCCTGAATTTGACGTGCATGATCTTCATGGTTATCCCAGCTCTGGATGCAAAGATACAGACTCTTACCTTTTTCAGTGTGACATAGGAAAAGTGCACTAGCAGTTAGAAGATTCAGATGCTCATAAACCATTTGACATTTACAGCCCCTGGCTTCCAAAATGTAAAGTGTTAGGGGCAACCTGATGATTTCTCAAGTCCCTTTCAGCTCTGCAAGTCCTGTCTCATTTCATTAACGTGTGGATGGACTTAACAAAAGTAGCTGACATAAAATGACCAGAAGCATATGCACTCTTCTCTCCATAAATATCCAAGAACCCTAATTGTTTGCTGTCATCCTGAGAAAGAAAAGGGGTATTGCTCAAGTGACCCCACACAATTCGTCTGGGTAGGTTTTGGAGTCTCTTAGGTCTGGAGAAGATACAGTCAGGAAAGCTGCCTAGGGTACAATGACCTTAGCACACAGAGTAAAATGAGAGAGTTATTTGTCTCTAGTAGTTGTGACCAGGTCACTGAAGGCATGTGGGGAGAATATGTTCTGATAAAGGCTACAAAATTCTTAACACTTTTAATTATGTTTGAGGCACACAGCATTATAGAACCAGCTGAGTCGGCATTATTGAAAACCTTGTCAGCTGCCAGTCAGTGACCCAGCCAGCCAAGGAAACTCTTGGGAAAGTTTGCTCATTTCTTTATTCAGGCTGTTTGTCCATCCATGTAATTTTAGGAGTGTTCTTTCGAGCAATCCAATAGCCGTTAATCCTAACAAACAATAGCTTTTTAATTCCAGACTTTCCTTCATCACATAAGAGTTAGGCTAGAAGATAGCGAGGGACTTTTCTGCTTCCGTTTTTCTATCCTTTCCGGAATACCGTTTTAAACAAATACAAGGGCATTTGGTATGTGGCAGCAGGAGGGTATATTTCATTTTCTTAGATGAACATCGTAGATATTATTCCTTAGTTAAACTGTGTTGGAAAACACATTAAAACTTAAAGATCTAGAGGGTGTCATTTTATTGTATTGATTTTACATCATTTTGATGCATATTTACATTTGAGCTGAAACAGCAGTTCTTAGGTTACAGAAAACAGGTTTTGAAAGCTATAACTTTCTCAGCTTAATATTAAATTGTGTAGGTTAGGGGGAAGGAATTTGCATTACTTCGTGGGTAACTGCTTACGTTCTAGTTGAAGTGGGAAAGAAAAACCCCAAAACGTGCTTTGGTAAAGCCACACATTGATACTTGTGCCAAGGACAGCAGTTCATGTTTCAGAATGTCAAGTGTAAGGAACAGGCCGGCCTACAATGATATTAATGTCTTGTCTCAGAACACAGTAGCATTCCATTAAAAGATAGTCCCTTGGTGTTTAAGTGTGTCAGTCAGACATAAGGTTTCGTTCCTTCAAGAAACCTTTTGGGCTAGGTGCAGTGGCTCATATCTGTAATGGGAGACTGAGGTGGAAGGATCATTTAAGGCCAGGAGTTCAAGACCAGCCTAGTCAACACAGCAAGACCCTGTCGCTATTAAAAAAAAAAAAATAGCAAGGCATGGTGGCACATGCCTGTAGTCCCAGCTACTTGGAAGGCTGAAGTGGGAGGATCCCTGGAGCCCATGATTTTGAGTCTACAGGGAGCTATAATTGTGCCACTGCACTCCAGCCTGGGCAACAAAGCAAGACTCTGTGTCTAAAAGCAAACAAAAAAAGAAAGACAGAAAGAGAAGAAGGAAGGGAGGAAGGGAGGGAGGGAGGGAGGAAGGGCTTTTGAAAAATAACGTCTGAGACAGAGAAGCAAGTTTTATTTCCTTAATATTAACATTCTGTTCTGCTACTCAGTCAAGGAGAGCCCGGCATAGCCATCCAAAAAAAAAAAAAAAAAAAAATGCTGAACAGAGAATAGAATGATCTGAGAAAGGGAAAGCCATCTCTTTCTTTCGTGCTATCTTATCTTTTTCTTCCTTCATCCATTTGCCCTGTCTTTTCATCTCTTAGCCCCTCACGATGTATAGGGAGAAGTCAGCTGCATGAATATATTAGGTGAACAGCCAGCAATCATGGGATGTGTCAATCTCTACCAAGTCAAGATAGGTGTCTCTGTTATCTATTGCTGCATCCAAAGCTTCTGAGCTTAAAACAACCATTTTATTTGCTCATGATTTTGGGTCAGCACTTTGGGCTGGGGTCAGCTTGGTGGTTCTTCCAGCCTCACACACAAAACTGCAGTTATCTAGCTTAGGCTAGATGGCCCATGGTGACCTCACTCATGTGTGGTGTTTGATGCTGGCTGTAGCTTGGCTCACATATCTCCAGAAAGATACCCTGGCTTCTTCATATGGTGACAGCATTTTGAGAGACAAGCTCCAATGCATAAGCCTCTTCTTGCATTACATGTTTTGATGCCCCAGTGGCCAAAGCTCAGTGTGAGAGGTGACTGTACAAGGGCACGGAGACAGAAAGCCATGTTTCATCGGGGGCCATAACTGAATAACCTACCACAGTAGGCAAGAGTAGATGGCAGAAACAAACTTTTTATAACTGACCTATGTAGCATGGGTAATGGAACAGAGGAAACAGACTCCAAGACTTGGGATACTGCCTCTGGTTTTGGCTTCTGAAAATACAAAGGAGAATGATGCTATCATTTTTTCTGAGTCCAGGCTCTATTTTCCTTAAATATTCATTTCTGATGGGTCTGAAATAGTTTCCAGATATTTCCAAAAGCACCTGTTATGCATAGTGAAAGAAAACAAAACTTCCTTTTTTCTTGAGTGAGGTCATGGAGTGCTATTGCTGTGAGCAGAAAGATATAAGTCTAATGTTTTAGGAGTCAATTATTTAAAAAGCTAACAGTGGCATCAGTGACCCACTCCTGGGAGATCAAAATGGGGAAATTTCCTTGGTATGCCCACTAACCTGAGCTTTCCAGCTATGTAATGGACATTCTAAAACATACTTGCTTTAGAAAGATTTGTCAAAGGCACCATGTGTAAGATCAGAGAATTGCAAAGTTGAGAAGAATTTCAGCAGTTTCCTCTTTGGTAGTCAACTTGTGGTCTAAGTTATTCAAGACAGATGGACCCTCATTCCATTTTAAAGTCTTAAACTGATGTTTGCTTAGTGCCAAATTCCTCTCCCCCACTACACATCCTTTTGTTATGATATAAAAGAAATAGTAATCTCTAGCTGTTTGATCTGTTTATGAACCTATACAAGATAAATGGAACCTGGAAATGTTTTAGAATTTGGCCAAATCCATACAGGTCTTGTCATAAAAGACAGAGAGACAGAGAGAAAAAGAGAGAGAGAGAGGGATCGATTCATATGCAACATATCTTCCATAATCAAACTAGTATTTAATTTAAGAAGCATGTGCCTCTTCTAAAAATTTCCTCATGTATATAATAACAGGAGCAACAAGTAACATTTATTGTGTGCTTATTGTGTATCGGGAAGTGGAAAGTGTGCCTTGGGATTTGGGATTTCAGCATAGAAGTTGTGTGTCAGGCTAGGTTCATACTGAACAGTAAGCTCACCAACAGATAAGGGAGATATTAACAGAGAAATACAAGCCAATATAGCAGCCATTAGGGACTGGGCAAATATCAGTCCCATCATTTTATAGCAAAATGGAAAGCCATGGGCCAGGAAGGAGATTTGTAGTGATTCTTATATTGTGAAAGTTTTTCTCCCAAAAAATATCTGAACATACTCACAAAATTTTGCACACAATTTCTGGGGTTCTCGCAGAGAATGAAACCTAATCATGGGCACCTTGGACTCCTGGATTAAGAAAAAGAAGGAAAGAGAGGGAGCCTCATTCTTACAAGGAGCCTTCTGTATGGCAGGCACATGACATACATATCAACACTCCTTCACAGTGGCTTTAAAAGACAGAGCTGTGGTTCCCATTTGGCAGATAAGGAAAGTGAAATTCCCCGAGAAGTTAAACATCTACAGAGATCACACAGCTGACAGGTAGTAGGTAGGGATTCAAAATTGCCTCTTCCTGTTTTCACAGTCTTAGCATTTGAATCTACCATGAAAGATCAAAGAGATTGAAAGACTAAAACACAACAGGGACAGGCATTTTTACAAGAGACAACTTATATTAGAAACTACCTAATTATCCCACAATAGTTACCATTAAATATATCATGACTCATCCATACAAAGGAATATTGTACAGCATTAAAAGTCATATGTTCACACAGCATTTAATGATATGGAGAAATGTTCACAATAGTTAGATCACAGAGTAATATTTACATATGAATATTCAGCATAGTCTACACAGTCATGCATCACTTAACAATGGGGATACATTCTGAGAAATGTGAGAAATGCAACATTGTGTGAACATCATAGAATGTCCTTCCATAAACCCAGATGGAATAGCCTACTACACACTTAGGCTGTATGGAATAGCCTATTGCTCCCAGGCTACAAACTTGTACAGCATGTTTGTACTGTAGGGAGTACTGTAGGCAACTGTAATACATTGATTGGTAAGTATCTATGTGTCTAAACATATCTAAACATGGAAAAGGTAATGTGTTGCGCTACAATGTTATGATGGCTACTGTGTCACTAGGTAATAGGAATTTTTCAGCTCCACTATAATCTTATGAAATCATCATCATATATGCAGTCCCTCTTTGACCAAAATGTCATTATGTGGTGCATAACTATATATGTAATGTGTGTCTATACACACGCACACACACACACGCGCACATGCACACACACACACAAACACACACGGAGAAAACTTTGACAATGGAAAATAAGCTGTTTTTGTTTTCTTATTCATTCATCCTTGTATTACAATGATCACTTATTATTTTTATAATCAGAGAATAGTCCATCTTTTTTAAGTTGAAGTATAATACTTAGAGGTCCTAACTATTTTCTGAAGGAAGCTGGAAAGGACTGTAGCACTATCCCTTTTCAGTGATGGGAAAACTAAGGCCCGAGCAAGTGACCTAAATTTCAACAGGAGCTTGCATAAAATTGGTTGCAATGTTGTAATGTATAGCATAGTGTTCTATTTTTCCTTTTTATGGGTCTTATGGAGGAATACAACCTCATCTGGAAAACAAAATATTCTTGAACTGAAGCGTTGTTCTGAATCTTCGTGGTTACCATGTGTATATGAAAACTAATGTAGGGATGTAATTAGAAAGACAGTTTGCCCAGGCCCCTGCGAACTCTGTGTATTGTCCTTCCCTTCGGTAGTCCTTCAGTGCATCTCATCAAGGGGTTGAGGGCAAGGGGCATCCAGTTTCACCCCATCCAAGATTTGAAACCATGAGAGCAAGGAATCCAGCTTCCATTTTGGAAGGCAATTTATTGAAAGGGGCTCCTTCGTAAGAATCTCCTTCCTGTACACCCCTTCTAGAGCCTGAGGCAGCTTAACAGCAAAACACCGAAGTGGCACAACTTCCTGAGGAGAACCCACCAAACAGACTCTTTCTGACAAATGTTACAATGGATAGATTTCATCTTCTGGAGAATATTCAAATATGTGTACATTTGTTTCCCTAATTGTTGTAAATATTTACATTGTCCTTATCAGTAGATTATATTACATATTTATTTAGAGCTATCATTTGCAGTGCTCTCCTCTAATTGGGAAATGAACCAGCTGTTTGGCACTTAAAAGAACATGTCATGTCCTCTTTGAGTGATCACTTAAAGAGGACAGGGATTATAAGTATTTACTTTAGGATTTCTAAAATAGGGCTGACTGGTTCTAGGCAGAAAGAAAATGATTTCTTAGGAATCTTCTGCTACAATAGATTATAGAGATATATGGGAACCGTGATGAATGAAAGAGCAGTTACTTGGGATTAAATGGCATTTGTCACCAATTTAAATGGGACTGAGCAATTGTATAGCTGGTGTTTGAGTTTGAATTGTGCTATTTACTTGGTCACAATCCTTCCTGTTGGGTGTGTAATAGTGTTTATGCAAGTCCATGGGGTCACTTCTTGATTTGCTAACTAGTTTGCCTCTTAGCAGCTCAAGGGAACTCTCTTCAAAATTGATTGTTTATTCCAAAGGGGGAAAAAAAGCTCTTTTAAGTTATTTTTGCCATTAATTCAAATTATAAAAACATAAAAAATAAAATGTCTAAAGTTGTTTTAAATGGCTAATTTCCATTATATAATGATATTGTATATAAGTAGGGGAAAATACTTAAAACCAAGTGTTTTTTTTTAATTAAACTGGATGGAAAGCCAACACTTCTGCTAATATTTATCTACAGGAACTGTAAAATGCATGGTGAATATTGGCTTTTTCTGGCCCTGCCCACATAAAAATGTATTGTTCATATATGAAAAACTGACTCTAGTTTGGGGAAAAAGAACTAAAAGTGAGTTCACACTCAATGCAGCTACGTTAATGTAAGAGGAAATAGTTGTGTTTACTAATGTATCTAGTTAACAGTGTGAAATTTAATTGAAAAATCTTACATGAATAGTTTATTGTATACAAAATGTGTTTACTTAAGAAAATTTAAGCATAGAAAATTTAAATAATTTGTATCAACACTGCCTTCCAATCCACCATCATTATCAGATTATTTCAGATTATCTTTAAGGGGAAACGGTTTTGCACCCAGTGGTTAACATAGTTTAGTACTCCACTTTCAAGGATTGTGGGGGTTGTGTGTGAAGTGCGGAAATAACTCACCACTTTAGTTCATGGTATTAGACATTTTTGAGTAATAGCCAAAGAGTTCTTGTCAGTTTCAGGAATTTACTGAGTACATACTTTCACTTTTCAGAAGTGGGCTTGGAATCAAACTCTTAATAGAATGAGATCTAAAGTCTGTGTCATAGACTCCAGAAATGGCTTGAGGGCTCTTTTAAAAATTTCCATACACTGGGAATGTTCAAAACAGTCAATAAAACTAAACTTTGGAGCCAAGCAGTCATGGTGGGAAAATGACCACTTGAAGATTGCCAACAGAAAAGGCGGGCATATTAAACTTCAAACGGTGATGGAGAAAACAGACAAGAGGTATGGCATAGTAGTTACCAATGGGGCTTCCAAGTCAGCAGTCCTGGATCAAAAGTCAGACTCGTCTTATTTAGGTTGTGACCTGGGACAAATTACAAAATTCTCTCAAAATGATTTATCTTTCCTCTGCAACCAGTTTAATAGCACCATGTACCTCCCACTGGTAGGCAGTATTTAATGCAGTTGTAAATGTTACATTTGCTTCTGTGGCTCTTTGCTTAATATTTGTCTCCTCTTTTAGACATTATGTTACTTTGAGTCAAGGCCCCTGTTCATCTTTATATTCCGCAGCACCATTACATGCCCTGCACTCAGTACGTATTTGATGATGATTTCTTGAATAACACCTGGTTTCTCTGGAAAATTGTGGACAGCAAATGAAACAATTAATGTAGAGTGTTTATCTTTGTGGCTACACAGAGTAAGTCTTCAATGCATGTGAAATACCATTATTATTATTATTATTATTATTGGTATAAGTGTCTGTGAAATTAATAAATGTCAGGATCTTTCAGAATAAGGCTCACTATGCAATTCAAATTTGGAGGACTAAGGAACTATACTTTATTAATTCATTTTGTAGTTGTCAGGTCTAATGAAATCACTGAAGTCTGGTTTCTGAGCTGGAAGGGAATTCATCAATTTATAATAAAAGATATATTTTTTCTAGGAGTCAGGACTTCCTGAAATCAAGGTACTTGAAGCACAGAATTAACAGTCAGAAGGTTGCTTGTGATCTCTGAATGTTATTGCAGGATGTATGATACAGGCCAGAGACTTACCCTGATTCCACTATCATTTGTACTTTTCTGGTGGTTGAAAAGTTTGTAGCCACCAAATCCCAGAACTTTCTCTCTCTCCTTAGAGAATGAAAGACAAATACTGGCATATCTGTCTTATTTATGCCTAATATAATTTTGAAACAAAAAACGTAGGGATATCATCTGTCTCCTTATACCCAATACCCATTTTATAGATAATGAAAGTGAGTCTCAAATAATTGACTTTTCCAAGGAAACCTAGACAAATTCCAGGACTTGAGCCTGGTTTCCTAACTTCTAGTCCTTCCAGTTCACTATGCTGCTTTATCTCACATTCCCTATTGTAGTAGTCTTAAAAATGCACCTCCCCCCAACATTAATCATGTACTAATCCCTGGAATTTACAAATGGGGCCCTATATGGGAAAAGTATCTTTGCAGATGTGATTAAAATATATATCCGAGATGAGATTATCCTGCATTATCAAAGTGGACCTTAAATGCAGTCACATGTGTCTTTATAAAAAGTAGGCAAAGGGAGATCAGAAACATGTAGAGGAAAGGGTGACATGAAGATGAAGTAAGAGAGATTTGACGATGCTGGCATTGAAGACCGGCATGACATGGCTACCTTCAAAGAATGCAACGCAGGAGCCACCAGAAGCTAAAAGAGGCAAGGAATAGATTCTTCCCAAGAGTGTCTAGGGGAGGGAGGGCCTGCCAACACAGTGATTTCAGCTCTGGATTCAGACTTTTGTCCTCGAGAACTATGAGAGGATACATTTCTTGCTGTTTTAAGCCACCAAATTTGTGGCAATCTGTTACAACAGCCACAGGAAACTAATGCACTTATAAAAACAGAAGTTATATTTTCCTATTTAAAAAATCACAGATGCCAGGTGCAATGGCTCACACCTGTAATCCCAGTGCTTTGGGAGGCTAAGGTGGGAGGGTCACTTGAGGCCAGCAGTTCAAGACAAGCCTAGGCAACATAGTGAGACTCCATTTCTACAATTTTTTTTTTTAATTAGTCGAGCATGGTGGCATGCACCTGTAGTCCCAATTACTCAGGAAGCTGAGACAAGAGGATGGCTTGAGCCCAGGAGTTCAGAGCTGCAGGAGCTGTGAAAGTGCCACTGCACTCCAGAATGAGTAACAGAATGAAACTGTCTCTAAGTAAATCAATAGAAATCGATAGAAATAAAATAAAATGAAAATGAAAAATCCTAGGCACATGATATAACTACAGGACAAAAAAGATTTCATATACAGACAGTCATGGAAATTTCACACAATTCTCTGTCTAAAAATCACCTTTTGTAGCATAATGTTCCAGTTAAGTGGGCTATATTGTGTATTGTACAAATATTTACAAGGGATTCTTGCTGATGAGTTTTTTTTTTTAGATGCCTTTAGGGGACACACTTGTCTTAAAAGCAATGCATATGTAGATTATTATTTATTATGTTCCTTTTGCAAAGAACTAATCTCATGATATTATGTTGACATTAGTAGCTTTAGTTTCAGAGAATAATTTTTTGAAAACTTTCTCTAAAACCTGGGTTTACTCCCTTTGGAGGAACCACACCCCAAATAATCCCCATAGCAAGAGTCTCTCACCATTCTTCCCATGCACAGATTCAAATGCATTGCATAATCTTGGCTTGTATTTAATTGGATCATTTTTTTTTTACCTTAAGAAAAATACTGCTTTTTAACCTTAAATCTTAAACATATGCAACCCAGAATTGTGAAGAATGTGGTAGTATTGGTTGAATATTAGTAGGCTGCGTCTTGTTTTATAAGAAAGCACAGTTATTTAAAGTAAATGTCAGAACAAAAGGGTATTTATGGCTAAAACTAGATGTGTTTTAAAATAACTTTAAACTGAGAATAGTATTTTTAAATAGCCAACAGGGTATTGGAGCAAAGGCTTTGTGATTATTAATAGTTCACATACTTCTAGGCATTAGCTTTCAGTGGCAATCAGATTTTATCTTCTGGAGTTATATTGTTTTGTTTATGTTTATTGAAAGTACCATATGGAAAATATAGGGAACAAAGTTAATACAACTTATACAATTAACTCACAAATAAAAAACTAAATATTGTGACAAAGTTTGTCTACTCATCTGTTAGATATTTCATCAGAGGAACCATCAGAGAAAAATCTGACATCCACCCACTAAAATAAGGAGAAAATACTCACAGGAAAACGGGGAGGAAATGAAGGTTATGTTCTCTTAAAGAACAGCAAGAATCATCTGTTATTTCAACCCTAGGAAATTGTCATTTTGTAGGTCAGAAAAATGGTAGAATGTTAACAATTCCCTGTGGTTAAATTTAGCAGTCTGCTTGAAATCCAATGGCTTTGGATGGTATAAAAGTGATCTTATTCAAAGTTATGCCATGGACACTTGACTCGTTATGATGTTTCTCCACTTTGACCCTTTGAACCAATGTACCTTTTATTTACAAATAACAGAGTTTTTTTTATAGGATTTGGTGTCAATATTTAAAGATAAGAGTGGAGGGTTATTTACTGGATATTGTTTATCCAAAAAGATGGGTTTTTTGGCTTTTGAAATGGCTAACCTACATGGAACAATTTTGAGACTCAAAAATGATCAAAAGCCCATTCCCTCTGCCCCCAACCCAACCCAGGGAGAAAAAAAATCTTCAACTGTTTCTCATACTGGGTTCATTATCAGGTCATTTATAATCTGTGAAATCCAAGTGAAGGACACACCACCATGCTCCAGAAGAAAGTATAGGTCTTCTTAAGAAGGTAATTATTTTAAACATTAGCTACATTTAAACAAAATGTCTCCACTCAATCTGGGGAATTTCCCCCGTTATCTACAGAATTACAAGTTCATTTATCTCAGCTGATTTTTTTTTCTTTTTTTAAATCTTTTTATTTTATTTTATTATTATTATTATACTTTAAGTTTTAGGGTACACGTGCACAATGTGCAGGTTAGTTACATATGTATACATGTGCCATGCTGGTGTGCTGAACCCATTAACTCGTCATTTAGCATTAGGTATATCTCCTAAAGCTATCCCTCCCCCCTCCCCCCACCCCACAACAGTCCCCAGAGTGTGATGTTCCCCTTCCTGTGTCCATGTATTCTCATTGTTCAATTCCCACCTATGGGTGAGAATATGCGGTGTTTGGCTTTTTGTTCTTGTGATAGTTTACTGAGGATGATGATTTCCAATTTCATCCATGTCCCTACAAAGGACATGAACTCATCGTTTTTTATGGCTGCATAGTATTCCATGGTGTATATGTGCCATATTTTCTTAATCCAGTCTATCATTGTTGGACATTTGGGTTGGTTCCAAGTCTTTGCTATTGTGAGTAGTGCCGCAATAAACATACGTGTGCATGTATCTTTATAGCAGCATGATTTATAGTCCTTTGGGTATATACCCAGTAATGGGATGGCTGGGTCAAATGGTATTTCTAGTTCTAGATCCCTGAGGAATCACCACACTGACTTCCACAATGGTTGAACTAGTTTACAGTCCCACCAACAGTGTAAAAGTGTTCCTATTTCTCCACATCCTCTCCAGCACCTGTTGTTTCCTGATTTTTTAATGATTGCCATTCTAACGGGTGTGAGATGGTATCTCATTGTGGTTTTGATTTGCATTTCTCTGATGGCCAGTGATGGTGAGCATTTTTTCATGTGTCTTTTGGCTGCATACATGTCTTCTTTTGAGAAGTGTCTGTTCATATCCTTTGCCCACTTTTTGATGGGGTTGTTTGTTTTTTTCTTGTAAATTTGTTAGAGTTCATTGTAGATTCTGGATATTAGCCCTTTGTCAGATGAGTAGGTTGCGAAAATTTTCTTCCATTTTGTAGGTTGCCTGTTCACTCTGATGGTAGTTTCTTTTGCTGTGCAGAAGCTCTTTAGTTTAATTAGATCCCATTTGTCAATTTTGGCTTCTGTTGCCATTGCTTTTGGTGTTTTAGACATGAAGTCCTTGCCCATGCCTATGTCCTGAATGGTAATGCCTAGGTTTTCTTCTAGGGTTTTTATGGTTTTAGGTCTAACATTTAAGTCTTTAATCCATCTTGAATTAATTTTTGTATAAGGTGTAAGGAAGGGATCCAGTTTCAGCTTTCTACATATGGCTAGCCAGTTTTCCCAGCACCATTTATTGAATAGGGAATCCTTTCCCCATTGCTTGTTTTTCTCAGGTTTGTCAAAGAACAGATAGTTGCAGATACGCAGCGTTATTTCTGAGGGTTCTGTTCTGTTCCATTGATCTATATCTCTGTTTTGGTACCAGTACCATGCTGTTTTGGTTACTGTAGCCTTGTAGTATAGTTTGAAGTCAGGTAGCATGATGCCTCCAGCTTTGTTCTTTTGGCTTAGGATTGACTTGGTGATGCGGGCTCTTTTTTGGTTCCATATGAACTTTAAAGTAGTTTTTTCCAATTCTGTGAAGAAAGTCATTGGTAGCTTGATGGAGATGGCATTGAATCTATAAACTACCTTGGGCAGTATGGCCATTTTCATGATATTGATTCTTCCTACCCATGAGCATGGAATGTTCTTCCATTTGTTTGTATCCTCTTTGATTTCATTGAGCAGTGGTTTGTAGTTCTCCTTGAAGAGGTCCTTCACGTCCCTTGTAAGTTGGATTCCTAGAGCTATCTATGACAAACCCACAGTCAATATCATACTGAATGGGCAAAAACTGGAAGCATTCCCTTTGAAAACTGGCACAAGACAGGGATGCCCTCTCTCACCACTCCTATTCAACATAGTGTTGGAAGTTCTGGCCAGGGCAATTAGGCAGGAGAAGGAAATAAAGGGTATTCAATTAGGAAGTGAGGAAGTCAAATTTTCCCTGTTTGCAGATGACATGATTGTATATCTAGAAAACCCCACTGTCTCAGCCCAAAATCTCCTTAAGCTGTTAAGCAACTTCAGCAAAGTCTCAGGATACAAAATCAATGTACAAAAATCACAAGCATTCTTATACACCAATAACAGACAAACAGAGAGCCAAATCATGAGTGAACTCCTATTCACAATTGCCTCAGTTGATTTTTTGAGGGGCCCTCATCAAGTTAATGATGGCATCATGTTTATCCTTAATGTCAGGGCCAGTCAGGGCCCCAACAGGAAAACAATGGTAAAGTCAAATTGGGTAATTTGAGGAGAAATTAATAAAGGAGTAATTAGCAAAGTTGAGGGCAGGGGGTAGGGACAGCACAAGGGATAGTGCCATGCTGTGAGGCTAGTAATGGTCAGGGTGCTGTGTATGCTTCTAAGCCTTAAGGAACAATGAAAGGAAGTGGTTATCAGGAGAGAGAAGGGGAGTGAAGAAAAGAATGGGAGGTGGGTGGAGAAGGCTGTCTGACAAGAACTCCGATAAGTTTACAGGAAGAGAATTTTTGGAAGATGAACTCCAAATTGAATCTATTTCCTCCCTGCATCTCTTGCTGGCTTCCTATTTCTTTGAACCTACTGTTAGGTAGAGGGCATGGGAATCAGTTACTGCAATCCTAAAAGGCCAGCCTCCCAGGGTGCTGGGCACAGAAAAGAATAGTTACGCACAGCCCAATCAGAGCTTCCAGTGCTGTGGTCAACAAGTAGTCACTATGCGTGTAATAAAACAAATCAATTTCATGCTCTTATTAGAAACAGTGTGGTTATATACAAAGGAGGAGCGGGAAGAGAGAAAGTAACTGGTATTTAGTGAGTGTCTATTATATCCCAGGCACCATTTTGGGTAATTTCCGTGTGTGAACTCAGTTAATTCTCACAAAGACAATATGCAGTGGATAGGTCACCCTCCTACAGATAAAAACATGAAGGCTAAAATATTTAAATTACTTCTCTGTTGTCATACAGCCAGTAGGTGGCTGAGCTGGGATTCATACCAGGTCTGAATGAATTCAGAGTCTCTGCTGATTGCACCATTGTATGTAATGTGTCCATGCTTACATATAATTTGAGAGCTGAAGGCTTATGTATGTGAATATTCAGTAAATACATATATACATCAATGACAGGGAAACATTTCAGGCCTCAAAGGTCAGAAATGTCATATTTGTATCAACCTATAAGTCCTCAATACACACTGGTCTAACGTTCTCCGGAATGTGCCACCCCCTTAGAAATCTCTGAGTATATTTAAACATTGCTCCCTCTGCCTAGAATGCCCTGTTCCAGCCTCCCCCTTATCCTTCAAGGCCCATCACAGATGTTGTATTTTCTAAAATCCCTCACTGATGTCTAGATTTTCAGAATTAATGGCTTTTCATCTGTGTTTTCCAAATATCTCACTTGAAACACCTACCATCATTAGGTTTTTATGAGAGTAAGTAGTGTATGTGTCTCCTTCCTTAGCCTGGGTAGTAGACATTTATGGGTTCTGCCCTCACAGCCTCTATTCCCCCTTCTTTGGGTGTCAGTATCCTGGGTTTCCTTTGGGGAACCACCCCACCCGCAAGCCCCATCCCTGTGGTTAGGTTTGAGCTGCCTCTACTCCAACTCCAGGACTGGGCACAAGATCCAAGCTTAGCCAATCAGAGCAACACCTCATCCTGGACTCAGTGATTGTCTCAGAACTGGGTCCATGACCCAATCACAGCCAATCAAGCAATGTTAGCAAGGAGACCCTGGACTTCCACTGGAATGAACAAGAGAAAGGAGCTGGGGGAGGGGGCAAGGGGAGTCTTTTTCTTTTCTTTTTTTAAAAAAATATCTACTAGAAGATATAAAATCTGGAGCCACCACATAGAGAAAGCTTGTGTAGAAGTGAAGCAGACACAGAGGATAGAGGAGTAAAAAGACTGGAAGAGGCCAAATACTGATGACATTTGCTTGAACCATTTGGTTTGGCTAGCACTGCCTCAGATTTTCTGAGAAGTGAGCTGATACATTTAAATCTTCACATACTTACAACCAAAAAATCCTAACTACAGCTACCTAACAGAGCGTCTGTTGTACTGGACATGCTCAGAAAACATTCCTTAAAGTACACAGAATCCTTGTAAACTGACATCTGCCTATGCATCCAGGTCCTAAAACTAAAATCAAGTGGATCATCAGGTTTACCCTCTTCCATTTGGTTTTCAGACAGACAGTACTTGAAACATGTTTGCTAAAGACAGACAGAACTTCACATTCTCCTCCAGCACATGACACAATCAGAGGGAGATGCATTGTGCTTAAATAATGCATGAGGTAGCAAGGGCCAAGCCTGATGTATCAAGGTGTTGAAAACTGATGATGAGCCTGTCGCTTTTTTCAACCCATCTGCTAAGCTGCCCCCATGGATTATTTGTCAGTTTCTGTGAAGGAAAATGTGTGGGATGCTGACTCTGTAGGAAAATAAAATTGGGATTTTCCTTTCTAGTGTCTTGTTATTGTCCCTTACCCAAATGCATCTGTCCCTGGGCATTCTCCCCCAACAATAGTAGATAATTTCTTGGTGAATCTGAACAGCTCACAATTATTCCCTTCATTTTCACCTAACCCAAAGCAAGGAACTGACAGAAGCTACGCTTGGAAATTTTGCAGCCCACTGGACCAAGAGTGGGAGCCTGAAGTGAGCTGGGTCATTTTTCCCCAGGAATTTGAAACTAGAGCAGAGATAGAGAACAGAATGGATTCCGTCATTCCACGTGGTTGGAGCTCTAACAGATGGCCTGGGGAGCTGTGGGTGGGCATCCTTCCCCACCATGCGGGATGAGGAGCAGAGATGGTGAGTCTGCTGAGGCAAAGAAATAAAGCAGATGTGCAGATAGAAGCAGAGAGGAAGAGCATGTTGCCTATTCTAGTATTTCCTGAGCCCTCGCTGTATTTCTGCTTACACTTCCATTGCACAATCTCTCCATCTTTACACTAGATCCTCATTTTGTGAGTGAGCTAACACAAGTTGATGTCTGTTCCAGGCAATCAAGAAAAAAAAAAAAAAAAACCCTCATACATTAGCCGAAAAATTCTTAAGATGGGAAATCACCCAGGTGAGAAGAAATATCCCAGTTGAGAGAAACAAAACAAAAATTATCAAAAAGAGTTGGCAACAGTCATTCCAAAACCATTAAAGAGACGTCACTCAGCTCTAAGAAGAGAAAAATAAAGCTTCACAGTCGGCCAGCTGTGCAGAACTGAAATAGCATGGACCTACTCCATGAATTCACATAGTTGCTGAAAGTGAATTCCTTCCTGCAGTCTTCAGTCTTGCAGCTGAGCTATGAAATGTATTCCCAGTTTAAAATTCCTTTCCAAGTGCTATCCCATGACTTCACAAAGTTGTCTGCACACAAGAGCAACTCTCAAGCTGAGAGATGTCATGTTTGCATCATCGCTGACATGTAGACAAGTATTCAGATGGCCCATTAAGTAAATGCCCCTTGCAAGTATGGGGCACATCTGCTGGTTTGACAGCCTTTCTCTGCCTCTATAAGTTGGAAATCCCCAGCCTGGCTCATTAAAGAGAAACAGGCACGATTATTGTGTCAAAACACATTAGTGTATTTTATTCTGCCATTGCAGTTGCTTTTTGGCATTTGATGAAGCTAAAGAGATTTCAGGTTATGAAATCTGCGTTTCCTGCTTGTCTTTGTTTCAAAATTATATGTGGGATGATGTGGAAGAGGAATGTCAGTTAAGCTTCTGGACAATTCTCCCCAACCCACGAATGAATTGACATTCTTATAAAAAAAATCTGTCCCTGCTCCCTTTTTCTTGTCTGTTTGCTGAGCAAATGAGCTATTGGAAACAACAGAAAACATGTCCCTTTTTCTCCTCCAAAAAAAAGATAACCTTTCCCTTACTTTAATTGTAAGATGATTATCCGTATTATTTGACATCCTTTTAAAATATCTGGATAAAAGTGCAAACAACACGTTAATGAATTCTACAGATGATACTAAATTGGGAAATGCTGTTTTTCTTATTAATGACAACAATATATCAGGCAGCCATACCCAACAATAGCATCTGTGAGAGGGAAGGATGAAGTAGAGAAAGTCACATTTGTGACAAAGGCAGAAGGAGCCATGCAAAATATTAAAATTAAAATATAAAACCCAGATGTGTGAGTAGTGGACAGGTGAGCCTTGAAAACTTGTCAAACTAATGTGGCCATGTAATGGATGGACACTTAGAGAACTGCGTGCCCTGGGGACTGAGAGCTGAGCTATTTTTAGTTCCACAAGTAGAGGCATTGTGTCTCAGAACAGATAGTCTTTTCTTCCAGAACTTTAATAAGACCGCACCTGGCATAGGGTGTTCAGTTCTGGAACAGCACCACATGATGCACAAAAAAAAAAAAAGAATCCTTATATGTAAGATTTCAGGCTTTCTTTTTCTAGAAAGTAATGCAGCCACTTTTTTTTTTTTAGTAATTCCTAGCAGTAAATTGGCTGTTTTTACTAATTTGGTTCATCCTTGAGAGTATGAAAAAAATTGGATGCCTATTAAGCACCCCAGAATGAACACATTTAAATCTAAACTCTGGTCCCTTCCCTGATACCTCCACTGAAACCTGCCCTTTCCTCAGTCTTCCTGGCCTTGGTTCTTGGAATTCCATCCCTCCAGTTACCCCGGCTTTAGAATAATCCTAGACTTCCTTGTTTTCCTCAAACCCCAAATCCCATATATCAGCAAATCTTGGTAGTTCTAGTTTCAGAATAGATCCAGAATCTGACCATGTCTCACAATCTCCACTGCTACCACACTGATCACCAGGATCCCTCTGATCACGTCACTTCTCAAAAGTCTCCAGTGGCTTCCAAATCAGGGTGTCCAGGCCGGTATGATGCAGTGTGGCACTTCATACCTCTTAGATCACATCTTCTACACCTGCCTTGCCCACTCAGCTCAACCACACTAACACGCCGGGCAGAATCTGGTTATGTCTTTATAAATGCGATTCCCTGGTCTTAGAATTCTCTCACCCAGATATCCACATGGTTCACTCCAAAATCACCTCTGTAGTAAGGCATTTCCTGACTGGGAAGGGAAACTGCAGCCCACACTCACACCCCAGGCCTTCTCCACTCTCCCTGCTTTGTCTTTCTTCATTGTCCTTCTTATCAGCCAACGCACTATATATTTTGCTTATTTATTCATTGTTTGTCTCTCCCATGATATACACACCCAGAATATGCATTCCTGTTGTTTGCTTTTGTCTGTTTCATTCCCACACCTAGAACCGTGCCAATTGCACAGAAGGGGCTCTGTAAATATTTGCTTGGAAAGCTGAATGCAACTGGATGCCTGCTGCTAACGTTCATAATCAAAACACTTGATCAGAGTGAGCAAATTCTAAAAAGTATCTAAGTTCAAATCCAAAGAGCAAATCTATGGCAGAGCTAGGAATAATTTCAAAGTAACTTCCTTTGTCCATACAATGCAAGTACACTCCTTTCAGAGGCTAAATAGAGTTTTCTATACTGGCATCATCTCTAGCTAGAATATTGATCTGAAATTTGTTTAATCAGAGGGAATATATTTACAGAAGCATGTAATAGCTAAGGTAAATAGGCTTTTAAAAATCTCAAAAATGGGCTGTACGCAGTGGCTCACACCTGTAATCCCAGCATTTTGGGAGGCCGAGGCGGGTGGATCACCTGAGGTCAGAAATTTGAGACGAGCCTGGCCAATGTGGTGAAACCCCATCTCTACTAAAAATACAAAAATTAGCTGGGTGTGATGGTGCATTCCTGTAATCCCAGCTACTTGGGACGCTGAGGCTGGAGAATCGTTTGAACCTGGGAATTGGAGGTAGCGGTGAGCCAAGATTGTGCCACTGCACTCCAGCCTGGGCTGAAGTCTCAGAAAAAAAAAAAAAAAAACCCTCAGAAATATGGACAGCAAAGCTTGGAAAAGTGAATCTAGTGGAAAGAGTACTCACTCACAAATTAGACAAGAGCTAACGGATCTGTGCCCACCTGTTTATCATTCATAACACCCCTAGAATGAATGTAGGAACTGTTTCTATATTGCTTATAAAACTAGTGCAGACAAAGTGGGAATAATTTGCCCAAGGTCCAACATCTCTTCCTATATGCCCATCAATGACAGAGTGTATGAAGAAAATATGGTACACATACACCATGGACTACTATGCAGCCATAAAGAAGAATGAGATTATGTCTTTTGCAGGAACATGGGATGGATGGAGCTGGAGGTCATTATCCTTAGCAAACTAACCCAGGAACAGAAAACCAAATACTGCATGTTCTCACTTATAAGTGGGAACTAAATGATGAGAACTCATGAATAGAAAGAAGGAAACAACAGATGCTGGGGCCTACTTGAGGGTGGAGGATGAGAGGAGGGAGAGGAGCAAAAAAAATAACCACTGGGTAATAGGCTTCGTACCTGGGTAACAAAATAATCTGTACAACAAATCCCCATGACATGAGTTTATTATCTACATAACAAACCTGCACATGTACCCCTAAACGTAAAATAAAATTAAAAAAAAAACCCAGCGATAATAGGATATACCCAGGCAGGCCTGGCTCCAGAGCCCATGTTCTCATGCACTAGGTAGGATCCTCAAAATTTTGCTCTCAGGAACCCCTTACACTCCTAAAAAGTATTAAGGACCCCAAAGAGTTTTATTTATATGTATTATACCTATCAATATTTACTGTATTCAATCTTAAAACTAAGAAATTTAAAAATATTGCTTTATTCACTCAAAAATAACAATAAACTCCTATGTTAACATAAATAGCACATTTTTAAGAGAAATAATGATATTTTCCAAAATAAAGCATTTAGTACAAAGAGTAGCACTGTTTTACATTTAACATCTGGATTAACAGAAGACAGCTTGATGATCATATCTGTTCTGCCTTCAGTCTGTTGTGATACGTGGTTTTGATTGAAGTAGATGAAAAAGATCCAACTTCGAGACATAATTGGAACAGAGGGGAACTGTTTAGTAGCTTTTTTAGATCATTGTAGCTGTTCTTCTTTAATAGTACACAAAACTTGAAAAGTGATATTTCATAAAGGTTAGTTGTAATGTGGAATCTAAAACCATATCAATGAACTTTCCATACCCAAAATCCATGGGTCCATTTTATATTTTCAGCAGTTCTTTTACCCATGCATGATTTTTAAACATTATACAATGGACATTTGGAAGCTCTTGGTTCACTGAGCTTTACAGATCTTCACCCCCCGGCCCACCACCAATTTTTTTAAACCAGTCTGTTAATGTCAACACTACTCTCATTTTAAAAGGACATCAAGAACTAGGAAGCTGACAAGCTCATAGCAGCAGATCCAAGGTTTCCAAAGTTCTAATTTTTGCTTGAAAGCTCTCATGATATTATTGGCAACAATTACTTCTGGGGTGTCATCCCAGAGGCCTTTATGATAATTGATCTATCACATATTTCCAGGCATTTGTTTCCAGTTGCAGTTATGTTTTTATCTTCTGAAACTTTATCTGTGTGAGTGTATTTATAAGAAATCCTTGGCTGGGCCTGGCGACTCCTACCTGTAATCTCAGCACTTTGGGAGGCCAAGGCTAGAGGATCACTGGAGCCCAGGAGTTAGAGATCAACCTAGGCAACATGAAGAAACCCTGTCTCTACAAAAAAATGCAAAAGCAAATTAGCCAGATGTGGTGGTGTGCACCTGTAGTCCCAGCTACTCGGTAGTCTGAGAGGTGGGAGGATCTCCTGAGCCTGGGAGGTGGAGGTTGCAGTGAGCCAAGATTGCACCACTGCACTCCAACCTGGGTGACAGTGAGATCCTGTCTCAAAAAAAAAAAACCAAAAAAAAATAAAATAAAATAAAAATAAAAACTCTTATACCTAGGGAAAAAGCTACTTCGACTTACACAATTAACATCACTAATAAAAAATTATTTTGCTAAAGATTGACATCTTTACTCACCATTGCTTTTGAGTCGTCATTACAAATGTCAACACAATTTTAAAAAGGTAAATAACATCTTAGTGTTAGTATGAGAATAGTTTTGATGACCTGCCCCCTGAAAAGGCCTGCAGACTACACTTCGAGAACTGTTGCACTACACTAAACAACCTCTCAAACCCATGCCCTACCTCTTACGAATTTTGCCACTTAACCTTCTCCAAGTTTCATTGTCCCACCAGTAAAATGCAGATATTAATATATAACTCTGATCTTGCAAAATAATCATTTGTTAAGCCTTAGCAAAGTATGTGGTAGACAGAAAGTGCTTGAAAAGTGGTCACCGTCATGACCACTGTCCAAACCCCAGGCAAGTTACTGGCAAAACTAGGGCCCAAAGTCATGTTTCCTCATTCCTGCCCAGAGCCTTCACTGCTACATCACACCAGCAGGAGCAGAACAGTTCCCAATATGGCTGCTGTTAAAACAAGGAGCTAAGAAGCTGATACAGTTGATTCAGCAGTCTTTCTGGTTAAAGTCCTGGATGATAACTTGAAGCAGTTAAATGGTTCTGTGTTTGGGTAATGAATTTGCTGTGTGCTAGCTGTGTGACCTTGTGCAAACTCTCTGAGCCTCAGGTCTCTCCACCGTAACATTGGATAACAACAGCACCTACCTTAGGAGGTTGCTGTGAGAATTAAATGAGATAATGGACAGATGTATACCTAGTACTGGCCCAAAGGAAATGTTCAAATCATGGCTAGCTGCTCACTATGATGATAATAATGACTACTGTTCTTATCTTCATAGCTCAATACCCTTCCTCAGGGAAACCTTTTCCAGCCTTCTAATGAAGGCACCTATTTTAAGATCTCATAGCACCTGTACCCCTTCTTCATTAGATTTACTACAGCTGCAATATTTCAATATATGATTATTTGATTAAAGTTTGTCATACATACTAGGCTCCAAGCTCAATAAAGACAGGCACAGGATCTGTCTGCTCACCATTTTATCCCCAACATCTGGCACATTGCCCAGCACAAAGCAGGTTTCAATAAATACCTATTAAAGGAAAAAATAAAATAATTAATTTACTAGATTGGCAAAGCATAGCTTTACTCCATTATATAATTTATCTGAACTTCCTCCAGCACTTGTCACTCAAAGTGATCTGCAGACCAGTAACAGTACCCTAACCCAGAAGCTTGTTGGAAATGCAGAATCTATAGACATATGGAGTCAAAGTGTGCATTTTAACAAAATCCAGAGGTAATTCATATGGTCATTAGAGTTTCAGAAGTACTAACCCTTGACTGCTCTTCACTAATCTTAAGAGAATGAGAGAGAGGGAGAAAGGAAAAGAAAAGAGAAGATAATCACCAAATTTTCTGAGTAAAACAGCACTCACTTCCAAAATTCCGGGTCTCATTCTATTCCTAATACAAATATTAGTACAAACATTACCATTTCTAAAAACCAGCTGCATTTTTTTCTCAGCCCCGGCCAGGCTGCTCTTATTTTCTATTCACATATGATTATTTTCCAGAGACTATTTTGGCCTCAGTTGAATAATTTATTTCAGAAACTTTACATCCAAAAATATTCTCTGGAGGAGACAGAAACACCATCTGTGCCTGATACTGGAAAAACAGCCCCCAACCATGAAGTAGGGGTGTCATTTTAGAGTTGCAAAATTTGAATTCCTGTTTGTCCACCACAACCTCAGAAAGAAGAGAGAAAAATACAGCAAAACCCCTTCTGCTATTATAACACCAAACCAGTGCTTCAACAGCCCAAAGAGATTTATAAAAATATGCATGTTATCCATTTGACCCCTGGAAAAATTATAGTCTAGCTTTCTAATGAAAAGGTTATTATTTTTAGGATTTATTCCCATGTGTGAATGGTAAAGCATATCTATCATTGGATAATAATATACAAGAACTTCAAGGGTTCTGAAGAATGGTTCATTTTCCTGTGTTCTATCTTATATAATCTTTGGGGCCTGACTTCAAAATTCCCTTTGCTGCAATGTCCTCTCCTCCATAGGGTAGAAATGTGCCTGGCCAGAAGCAAAACACTTCACTGGATTGGGTGCTCCCTCCCATCACTGCGTTGGCTTGGTAAGACCTGAGCCGGAGAGTTGGTGAAGAGCAAATGGCACTTGAATTTATTGCTGCATATTCTCCCGCAGCTTCTTGCTTGCCTGGGACTCTTCTTTCTCTGATTCTCTCCCTTCCATCTCCTACAGATGTGGGGAATACCTGCTTTGAGAAATAAAGAAGCTGCTGAATCTACAGAATTAGGCTCCACAGAATCAACTCCTATGTGGGTGTTCCCCTGTGGTCATGGAGCTCCCACCCATAGCTTTTTACATGCGTTCTCATTCTCCCAGGGTCACAGGCATAGACATTTGTTGAGAAGATGATGATGGGAGTTAGGGCACAAGATAGAGACCCAAACTGAAATCAGAGCTGTCCTGATGGTCTAGTCTAAGCAGGTGAGCCAAGGGGACCAAGGGGCCTTTGCCCCATCTGTAGACACATCAAACAGAGTATCACTGATTGGTTGGAAGAGGGCAGTTACAAGCCACCTCAGTGTAATGTAAAGAAATTGGACTTTGGAATCACACACCTCATAATTTGAATCCTGGCTGTCATTCTTGCTAGCTATGCTTCCTTAGCAAAATTGTATTTTATAATCTGAGCCAGGTTTTCCTCATTAAAAAAAATAGGTATATAATATCCCTACATGGGGTTTTGTATGGATTAAAGGAGATTCTGTGACACAATGCACCTGGCATGCAGGCAACTCTCAAGGAGGGTTGGTGGTCCTTCCTCTCCCCTTTTCACTTCTCTGCTGAGGGTACCGTGATGTATTTTCCTTGCCCCTGAAAATGCTGATTGGAAAAGAAAAGAAGAAATAGGGGAGGAGCACAGGAAAAGCAGAAAAAGAAAAGAAGAAACTTCGAGCTAGTACTTATCTGCAAGTATGACTTAAAAAACTTGACTATCAAAGTAGCTGTT
Organism: Homo sapiens; assembly: GCF_000001405.40. NCBI lineage: Eukaryota > Metazoa > Chordata > Mammalia > Primates > Hominidae > Homo > Homo sapiens. The sequence goes on along the minus strand of NC_000003.12, from coordinate 64,807,830 downwards.
GTTCTTGAAGTAGTGTTTAAAGTCTACCTTAGGCTTGTTTATTATTTAATTTTTTCCTCAATATCTCCCCAGTAATTTGAGCATTATTCACATTTTAAAAGCCAGGGTTGCCTCTCCTACATAATTACTATTGAAATAAACTCTCTTTTCTGGTAGCCAGACATATCATTATTGGTCCTAACCAGAGTTCAAGAAGAGGATGACTGTAGCTCAGAGTCAAAGCTTTGAGTCTTGCTCCAGTGGTACTGGGGCCCCGTCCCAATAAGCCACCTCCTTGCCATCATACTCAGTCTGCTTTATCAGAGAAACAAGGTCAAGAAGAGGGAAACACTTGGAAAGATTGATGGGGAGCCAGAAAAGGAGGCTTAATCCATGGAGTTCTTGGCGCCAGTCATCACAGACAATCTCTAAATTGTAGCCAAGAGAGAATACCAGTCTCAAGATGTCTGTCAGCCTTGCTTCTACAGACAGTGGTGTTTCAGAAACTAAAAGTCTAAGCTGACAGGAAGGGAATCCTCCTACAGTCCTGTGGTGCATTGTTGATGAATGAAGTTGGTTTGCCTGGTGAGGGCAAGAGGGGTGAGCTATGTGGACTGAAAAACAAAATGGAAAGTTAAGGGTAGTTTAGCAGCTACAAGAATCATCCACAGGCTATTATAGAGGCTGGCTGACTTTGGCATCATTCTATTCCAGAAGTCCTAACCATCTGGAATGTTACACTAGTTAAAACATTTCTGTGAACACTTCAGTTGTTTTAGTATGATCACACCACCGCCAGCAGGCTCATCATACTTTAATTTTATCAAAAATAGCAAGACCTGTTGATTTACATAACTTTTCATCCTGAGCCACAGTTTAGTCTTCCTGTAGGTTTTCTAACCCAGTGGTTTAAACCTACAGCTGGACATTGGAGTCACCTGGGGATCCCATGCCCAAGCCATTCCCCGTGTTAATTATTAATATATCTGACTCTTTCAGGGCAAGACACAGGCATCAGGATTTGTTTTTAAAGCTTCCCAGGTGATTCTCGTGTGAAACCAAGTTTGCAAACCAGAGTCATAGTTTAAAGGTGGTGAGAGTGGATGGGGGAGTGAACAGACCTAATACAACCACGAAATAACTCAGGCAGCATTCTCAATATTGATCACCCTCTTACTGGGCAAATTAGTGAGGCAATACGAAAGTTGTCTGTGTCTTTTTGCATGTTTTATGAAACATTTTATGTAAAGTCAGGTTTGCATAGGGTGAGTGTCAAGTTCTACAAGAATTATAGTATATCTGTCCAGAACTCTGACCTTTTAAAAAAGTTTTTACACTTATACCCATGTTCTCTGTATCAGGCACAATACAAGTTGCTAAGGATGCGATGATGATGATGATGATGAAACATGGAGGTAAATGTTATTAGCATTTCCCTGCGATGCGTGAGATTTGAAGAGGTTCAATAATTTGCCCAAGGTTACACAGCTAGTATATGTCAGTGGGGGAGGCTTTAAGCCAGGGATTTGAAATCTCACTTGGCATGCAATGATGAATTAGGCAAATACGGCACTGTCCCACTTTTTAATCAGAGTTTATTATTCTATTTTGGCATCACCAGAATTAACCCAATGGTAGGCCTGTGATATTTTGTATAAAATATTTGCTGAATCAGGTATTTTCTCACCCTCTCAGCCTCGTATGGAAAACAGATACATACATGATGATTATAACATAATGTATCAATGGATGCCCAAAGTATTGTCAGAGGAGAAATAAAGGGGCAGTTAATTCTGCTTAAGTGGAGAGGATGGTGTCAGAGGAGGCTTACAAATAGGAGGGTGTTTTTTGGAAGGCTTTAAAGACTGAACAGGAGTCGGTCAGTTACAGAAGGAGGAAGGATGCTGAATGGAAAGAACAGAAAGACCAAATACACAAGAAAGAAAGTGTGAGGCACACTGGAGAAATGATCAGCGTGTATCAGTGTTAAACTAAGAGTGCACTGGAATCGCTTGGAGGCTTGTTATAAACACAGGTTGCTGGGCCAAATCTCTTAGGGTTCGGATTTAGTAGGGCTGTGTGAGACTGAGAATTTGCATTTCTAATGACTTCTCAGGTGCAGCTGATGCTTCTTGTCCAGGGATCCACTTTGTTGGGAGCCTGTGGTGTATATGAGAGCATCCTCTGGAAAGCCCCACAGCTTTTGTGTGTATGAGAGGCATGCCAAGGTCAGCAAGACTTGCACCAAAAGCAAATTCCCCAAAGAGATGAGGATCTTCTTTTCCTGCAAGGAGTGGAGGTTAAATTTTACTGTTGGTTTTGGGAGCAATTCATACTGAAGCTGTCCAGTGGGAGGAAACGGAAAAACCACAACTTGGGACTGAAACAAGGGAAGCTGGGATTTTATCGCATCTCTGCCCCATCAGTGCCCCTATTCACAGGCTAGTGAGGCCTGAGGCTAAGGAGTTGAAACACACTAGCTCTTTGTTGAACTGGTGAGTGTTTGTGGCACTTTTTGCAGGGAAGATGGCATTTTTCACAGTTCTTCCTCCATTTTTGGCCCTGAGGGTGCTGACCATAGGTGAGTTCCTGTGTTCATCACCAAAGTGATCTGTTGACCATCAGTGCCCGGCCATGAGGGATGAGGGGATGTGTCGAGAATGTTTTCGTGCAGAGAATGAAGAGGGTAGAGGAATGTCAGGCTATGTTGGGTGGGACTGGGACAGATGACAGCCTTGTGAAATTCTTTTTTTCCCTGCTTCTAATTCAATTACCTTGCTTTGCTTCTCTCATTTTCCATAGAAAAACTTAGGATGCATCTGCCATTGTTCTCCAAACCCTTTAAATGGGATGAGCAACTTGGAAAGGTCAGCCTCCAAGGATGCTCTCTATTTCTCTCTCCCCACCCCATCCACCTAGGACAGACAAAACCAGGTCTGGAGGTCATATTTGTCCAATAATTGAGGAGCAGGTGGCATCTAGCTCCAGTACTCCCTGTATCCACTGGGTTGCTGTGCCAGGTGACAGCCATCAGAAGTGTGTGTTACATTCCAGACAGGGACCCCTCTAAGCCCCACCATAACTGCCAGGAGTGACAGAGGAGAGTGGGAATCACCTGCCAGAGACAGGGAAAGAAAACAAAATCATGAAGTTTGGATTCTGTGTTCCAGCTTTGTTTTCTTCATAATGCAGTTCCCCATGACTCCATTGCAATCTTCTGGAATACTTCTAGAAACCCACTTAGTAGTCTGCGGAGTTACTTGGCCAATATTGTCCTGGAGATAGTTACGTTGCAAGGTTTTAATTTTCCTGCTGTTAAGCAGGAAGCAGGGAGACAGAATCATCACCTAAAAGGTAAATATTCCCTAACACAGGGTGAGCATGGTGCTGTGGTTTGCACTGGAGGCCTGTTCTCCATTTCTCTGGAGGATGGGATCTTTATTATCAAGATTATTGATGAGACTCTGGCTTCCTTTCCAGAGATGAAGTATTTTTGTCATCATGTCTATTATCCCTCACAAGAACCCAATTAGAAGAGATTGCCTCAACAGAGGAGGCTGATTAAATTCACAGATTTATTGCAATACCACTTTGGGAGTTGTGGAAAATGAGTTTCACTGCTAAGCTACCTTCCTTTAAAAAACAAAAACAAAAACAAAAACAAATCAAGCTGTGAGCCTGCACCTTGAATTATCCGTCTATAACAGATCATAAAATACCTATAACCTTGCATGCAGCTTATTCTTCCCCAGAGAGGCTCAAAATGCTTCTCCCAGGCTCATAGTACCTCCCCAAAGAGCAGGTGATGGATTCTATGTTCATGGGACACAAGGGGAAATTCTGATCCAGCAGTAGGGTAGAGAAGACAGAGGCCTGCTGCCTGTAGACTAAAGAAAAAAGTCAAGCTTTGAAAGAATTAGAGTTAGCTATATTCAGAAGTCTTACAAGGACTATAGACTGAGCCTGGGTATTAATTCAGTTCATAATAGGGCAGTATTTCAATTCACAGTTTACATATAGGTGGTGAATATTCAGTACGTGCAAAATCACGGCAAGGTTTGGGGGTGAGAAGACATCTGGGTAGAGATTACAGAAGAGTAATTACTAACTCGGCCATGTTATCTCGAGTGGAAAAAAAGGCAAGGACTAGGGCCCTTTACTTCTTAAAGAGTATAGTGACTCAGGCAAGAGACATTGCGGGTGTGTGGGTTTTGTCTTCAGAGCGTCCCTCCGGAGAGCTGCATGTTGTCAGAGTTAAGGGCTTTGTGAAATTATGCTGGAAAGCAGAAATGACCAAACATAGATTCTTACATTTGCTATTTTGTCTCACACCTGGATACGGGTCAAAAAAGAAGAGTTTCCTTTGCAAAGTTTGCGACCAACTTGGGCAAGGAGTCTTTGTTTTAGTTGGGTCCCGGAAAAGCTGCTGTTAAGTGGCAATGATATCTACATAATCTGATTCTCCACAGAAATGACGACTGTACTGATGCCGCAATCAATCCTGTCCCCAAAACTCATGCCCCGAAGTTACAGGAGTAGCCACAAGCACCACTGTCAAACTTCTAATTTTCTATTCAAGACAGCCCCTTTCCCCCAAAGTCTTCTGTTTATTTAAAGCAGCATTTCCCAGACTGTTTTTAGCAGAACCGTAACCTCCCAGGGTGTTCTGAAGGAAAAAACCAGGTTTTATGGAGGTAAATTTTGCATAGTACTGTATGCTCTATACCCCTCAAGATCCTTACTAACATACTAAAGATAAGAGCTAACTCTCAATGAAAATCTACCTGAAGCCAAACACTAAGTACTTTTTATAGGTTTTATGTTATCAAATCTTCAAAAAACAATACTCTGAGAAAGGTATTAATTTATCCCATGTTACACATGTGGAAATTGAGGTTTGGCGTGGTTAACTGAGTTGTCCAGTTAAAGGTAAAAAGGCAAAAGGTGGAGCCAGGTTTGAAATCTACTCTCATTCCCGTCTGTGCTCTTAATCGCTAAGCTTTATCTTCTTCCCACTAACTATACAGACACTTTCTTATATTGCTGTTAATGTCTTTTGCATTACTGCTTCTTTACACAAATGAGTCCATTCCTAACTGTAGCAGTTAGTCATCTTTTGTTTATCTTTTTTTTGTTTTGTTTTCATGTCATTACACTGGCCAGCTCAGTATCATTTTAGGTAGTATCTTCCCTTAACATCAGGCATTTCCATTCCCATCTTATTTGGCCTTCGTGTAACCGCTTCAAGCATGCTTTAGTGGATTTTCATCTGTATCTTCGACAGTTTATGGATAAACAAAGATGTAAGGAAGACAGGATGTGACTGAGTTTATTTACCCTGCCTTTGGCAAAGGAGGCTTTGTTCAGTAAATGAAAGTCAGTAAAAAGTAAAAGTAGGATAAAAACTGATGCCAAGGGTATATAGCTAGCTCTCCATGTTATGTAGGATATGGATTTCTTCCACTATTGAGGTCTTTGTAATTAGTAGATAAGTCGTTTTATTGTGAGAGGTAGGACAAGGAGAGGGAGAGAGGAAAGAGTGATTTTGTACCCTTCAGTTTTATCTGAAAGTATTCACTAAACTTGGGAACCATGTTGACCGCTAATGACCTTACCAAAGCATATACTTGCTCAGGAAATGGGCTTTTTGAGAGGAGAGAAGAGAAGAATGTGAGTTATTAGCAGTGGCCCTGTCTCAGCAGGGGCAGGGCCAAAGGGAAAAAGTACTAGAAGGTGTTATCTGTGGTTCCATTAGATTGCACACGGTTCCTAATCTCCCCTATCATGCTTGACCCTTATTAAGTCAGCTTCCTTCTATAGCTCTGTGTTCTCTGAGAGCCCACATATGATAAGATTAACCCTCTCTTTCCCCCCTTGATCATTCAGGACTAATTTCTTGAGCATCTACACTGTCCTCAGTATGTCCTTTATACGCAGGCCAAATGCCCTGTGTGGCTTGCATCATGTTTGAGGAAGTGTTTTGTGGCTGAGACTGTGCTTAATGCTCTCTAGGGATGACTGATCTCCTTCCATCTTCCCGACGGTCTTACCACGTACAGCCTGTTATGAGCTGTGCTTTAGGAAACAGTCCACTGAGTCTGAGAGAGGAGAAATGACCTGAAGGACACTCAGCTAGTAGGGCGTAAGCAGGGACACCAACCTCACTCCTTTGATTCTGAAGCCTGCACCCTTTATGACTATCGCATAGCCCTGCCTCCCACATTACATGATATGTGAGTGAGAGCTCCTCCACTGCCATCCCATTCTTCCTGCAGGGTATTCTGTTTTGGAAATGTAAAAAAAAAAAGAAAAAGAAAAAAGGAAAAAAGAAAACTGACTCATGTATTAAGAGCAAATGTTATTACTAACTAGGTAAGTGGGACCTCCAGTGCTGCTAGGAAAGAAATAAATCAATCAGGCGATCATTAATTTTGGAGGAAATACTAATTATAGGAATATAAATTCTTCTGGGTAAAATTGCCAAGAACACCAATGTTGCCTGAAGCCCAACAGACCTTCTCTAGTTTTACTCTGTGATTGAGATACTAGAATTCACTTTTATTTCTCTAGCTTTGCAAAAGGTACTTGGAACTGGTCTGAAATGTCATTTAATTTTCTCAATGCATACAGTAAGCCACCTTTTAAAACACAGGTAATCTCTCACAATTAGGGAAATACCCATAAAGGAAGAGATGAGGGTGGGGACAAATATACTGCCGTTTTGTTGTTGTTGTTTCTGGGTTTTTTTTTTTTTGTTTTTTTTTTTTTTCTGAGACAGGATCTCACTCTGTCACCCATGCTGGAGTGCGGTGGCACAATCATGGCTCACTATAGGCTCTAGCTCCTGGGCTTAAGCAATCCTCCCACCACAGCCTCCTGAGTAGCTGGGACTACAAGCGCACACTACCATTTCCAGCTAATTTTTGTATTTTTTATGGAGACAAGGTTTTATCATGTTACCCAGGCTGGTCTCAAACTCCTGGGCTCAAGTGATCCACCGCCTCCGCCTCCCAGAGTGCTGGGACTACAGGTGTTGAGCCACTGCGCCTGGACTATACCGCTTTCTTACATTAAACACTTTGAAAATTAAGCAGAAGCTATTCAGCAACAAAAATAAATGAACTATTGAGCCACACAAAGTCATGGAGGAAAGTTCAATGCATATTGCTATGGGAAAGACATCCATCTAAAAAGGCTATTTTTTATATATATATATATGTATATATATGTGTATATATATATGTATATATATGTGTATATATATATGTATATACACATATATATACACATATATATATACACATATACTGTATGACTCCCAACTACCTCACATTCTGAAAAAGGTAAAACTGGAGCCAGCAAAAAGATCAGTGGTTCCCCAGGGGATGGGAGGGAGGGATGCACAGGAGGAACACAGGAGATTTTTAGGGCAGTGAGATTCTTCTGTATTGTACTATAATGGAGGATACAGGTTATCATATATTTGACAAAACCCATAGAATGTACAAGCAAAGAGTGAACCCTAATGTAAACTGTGAACTTTAGTTAATAACGTATGGCTGTTGGCTCATCATTTGTAGCAAACGTATGGAAACAGAGATGAAAGGGGTGAGAGAAGATGGGAACTCTCTGTACTTTCCCTTCAATTTTTCTCTAAACCTATAACTGCTCAAAAAATAAAAGTCTTAATTAAAAAAAATTAGAGCAGAAGAGAAGCACATTATTTCTCAGCATCATAGCATCTCTGTAGATGATGGTCTCCTTGTCATGGGGGAAAGATCCTCTCAACACATTATAACAACTCATTGCTCTTATTGTGACAACCAAGGAATATATGAGAGGCCAATTTAAACATCTCAGTGGGTTGGAAGGACAAAGCAGACTTTGTGTCACAATAGAATTCATCTCTTGGAACGTGGAGATGGCAGGAGATAAAACAATACTCTTTATCACCGGCAGATTAACCGGCAAGGACATGTTCTTTCTGTTTATCCTATAGGCTCCAAAGGACAATGAGCCTTTTGTCTTTACACCTGTTGCGGGGAAGGAGCCCAGGACAGAGGTGTGGTGGGGTTTATGTGAGGCCACGCAGTTCAGGTTTCTTACCTGCGTCTCTGATGGTACACCCTGTTTCATAAAGGAACTTGGAGACTGAGCCCTCAGCGTTTGAAGGGAAAGGAGCAGGTCCAGGTGTTACTTGAGGAGAAAGCGAAAATATACAAATCCTTGTTGGAGAGAAATATAGCAAAGTTGCGTCATGCTTCGGCTTTCAGCCAGACATCAGGGTTTCTTGGGGGTCTTGCTCTTTCCTTATCCTCAGCTTCTCACTCAGCGCATGGTAAAGGCTGGTCAGAGGCTTCCTGAATGAATGAACCTCGAGGACTTTGCTGTAAGAAAAGAGTGTGGAAAAGTGATTTGTCAAAATTGACACCAGGTTTATCCAGCTGTTTCACTAAAGTTTCCAGATACCCATTTTTTGGTGGGACTGTGTGCGTTGATGGCTTCCTTCATTCTAAACCCTTGCTTGTAATGGGATCTGTTGGTTTTGACTGGCTTCTTCAGGAACAAACCCTCCAATTTCCTTTGAGGTAACCAGCCTTTCCCCTATTCTTAGTATGGGAAGTCGGAACTTAATAATTCCTTTTAACACTTTCTTTTTTCCCTGGAAAGCTGCTGGATTTGCATATGTTCAGCCGTATCATCCCAAGGGGATGGTCTGTGGCCTCAGCTCAGCCAGAGCACTGTCTTCCTTTGCTGTCAGTAGGATCAGAGAAGGACACATAAGTTGGACCCATGAGAATTCTACCTGAGATTTTGCTGGAATGATGTGAAGTGTTCTTTTTTTGACTGGGATTAATAAATTAGCAAAATGTAAGCCTAGAGTTCTGAAACCAGCCAAGCCTAAAGTCAACACATTTCCTGGACCCTTGAACAATATCAGCCACTAAATTCCTAGGACTTCAATTACCTTACAATGAATTATAATTTACCAGTGTGTCCATTTATTCTCCCTTATATTGAAATTCTAAGTCTCCATTGTTCTTTTACATGCTGATGTCCTTCAGATTATAATTTAGAGGGGAAATTCTAACTGGGAGATGGTCTGCCCAGACCCTCAACCACTCCCTGGTCTAATCACACCTCCAAATGGACAAAGAAAATGTCTGAAATGGAGAGCCCTACAAACACCACTTCCAAATTCCAATAAAGGCAGAATTCTTTGCTGAACATCTCACTACACCATGAATTCAAAACAAACTGTGGCTTAGACAAAGTTGGCATGGGGTAGAGTCCTGCTGAACAGATTGAGACATCAGAGAATGGGCCCTTGGGCCATGCCTGGCACACGCTCCGAGGACATGGCCCGATGCCATGGCTCCCTCTCTGTCTCAATGCTCCATCAACACCTGGAGTGGAACTCAGGAGCTACGGCAGCTTGTACTCAAAAAATGACCTCAGCATTCATGGATGGGCTTGAAAAATGAAGAGCGATGTTCTGTATCTCTTGACCCCACTCTAGCCATTAAATCTAGTAAGAACTAACACCTATTGTGTGTTGCTGGACCAAGCAAGGTACTGAGTACTTTTCTGGCATCAGCCCCTCTAACCCCCCTCACAATCCTGTGTGGTATACGTCAAATGGGGCCTAGAAAACTTACAGAGCTTGCCCTGGATCATTCAGCAGGGCTCAGACCAAGTAGAAGGACCCAGGTGCTCAATCACAATATTGACTGTTCTTTGTAGCAAAGAATAAAAATGGTGCCTGGATCATGGCTTTAAAATTGTGAAAATTAATGTTACAACTAGGAAGAAGCCTCAAAATCACTTAGCATGATGGAAAAGCTGAGGTACAGGGAATGACATGACTTCCCCAAAGTCACACAGCAAGTTAAAGCACTAGATGATGAAATCTGGTCCTGGTCCACCAATTCTTTCTCGGCACATACCCTGTTGTTTTAGGATATATGCACACCACACCACATAACCAGTTGTTCAACAGGCATCACCAGTACAGATGCACAGATAGCAAAGTTCTAAAGTATTTCCAGACCAGGTAGCAAACTGCAGTGTCCAGAGACTATCTCCTTCTCCCCTCATGATTCCTGACCTCCCCACAATTCATCAATTAAAGGGTTAATGTTTAGCATTGCAGGGGGCCCCCAGGACCCTGCTCCATCCCAATGGCCAGCATCCACTCCGAGTAGTCAACACCTCTGCTGTTTCAATTAAGTATTTTTAATATGAGTCTTTCACTAATACAAAAGCCAGCACGGATTATGGGAATGTCATGGGTGAATTGCAGGCCACATCTCAGTCATTAACATTGTTATCTCAAATATAAGAGGTAGACAAAAGCTGATAATGCTAACTGTGCCCAAGACAACAGGGAGAGGCCAGAATGAGGAAAGTTCATCTCTGGCATTCAGGGACTCTGGAGGCCTTTCCCTCCTCTTCCAGGCAGCATTCAAGGGTGCTAGGTTAAGAGATGCCCTCCCTGCAGACAGGAAAAGTTCAGGGTGTTTGAACTGCCTGTGGGAGGCAAGACAGGTCTTGCCTCTCTCACCTTCCCTGTTTCTTTCTGGATGGCAGAGCCATCCCTCAAGCCATGGGAGCTAAACTGACAACTGGGAAATACAAGGACAGGAAAGCTTGCCAGACACAGGGACATGCAGGCCAAGGCTCCTTTCAAAGTCAGCAGGAAGTAGAAATACACATCATCTCTGCCAGTGACTAGAGACCAAAAAAGACCAGTGGAGCCACACTTGCTGACTCTTCTTAGCTGCAGAGATGGAGAAATGAATTGCTTATGGAAGTGAGGCCCTAATGCATATCTTGCCCACCGTAAGTCAAGTGTGCCCTGCTAGCCAGTCTGAAACCGCCTAGATTCTAATGGTCTGCCTTCATAAGATGATGGTATATTGGTCAGTTTTCACGCTGCTGTAAAGAACTACCTGAGACTGAGTAACTTATGAAGAAAAGAGGTTTAATTGACTCATAGTACCGCAGGCTATTAACAGGAAGCATGACTAGAAGGTCTCAGGAAACTTACAATCATGGCAGAGGGCAAAGGGGAAGGAAATGCATCTTATCATCTTACCATAGCAGCAGGAGAGAGAGTGAAGGGGGAAGTGCCACACACTTTTAAACCATCAGATCTTGTGGAAACTCACTATCATGAGAATAGCAAAGGGGAAATCCGCCCCCGTGATCCAATCGTCTCCCACCAGGCCCCTCCCCCAACATTGAGAATTACAATTCAACATGAGATTTGGGTGGAGACACAGAGCCAAAACATAGGAGACAGTTAGCAGAGGCCTGACTGAGATTATTGCTGTCTTAAGACCCTGAGTATTGTGGTGTTACAAAGCAATGGATAATGTTTCAAAGCAATGGATAAGGTGATGTCTTTATTTGCATTTAGCTTTATGATTGCATTGGAACTACACTGTATTTATTACAGGATAATGAGAAACGAATCAAGGCAGACTTAATAAATGTATGTCAAACAAGGGATAAAGTTTTCCTGTGGTTTAAATAGAGAAATGTGATAGGAAACTGGCTCATCACACCCAACTCAGTGTTTCAGATGGGCTGATCTCAAATGAATCTATTTTTTCTAAGTGAGCATCTATACTTTTAAAATTGATACATGGTATTTGTACATGTTTATGGGCTACATGTGATATTTTGTTATGGGCATATAGTGTGTAATGATCAAATCAGGGTATTTAGCACTATCCATCACCTCAAGTAGTTACCATTTCTTTGCATTGGGAATATTTCAAGTCCTCTCTTCTAGATATTTATTTTGAAAGATACAATAGATTGTTATTAACTATAGTTACCCTACTCTGCTATTGAACGTTAGGCCATATTCCTTCTATCTAACTGTATGTTTGTACCCATTAACCAGTCTCTCTGTATCCTTCCCTCAACCCCCACACCCTTCCCAGCTTCTGGTATTTGTCATGGTACTCTCTGCCTTCAAATGAATTTTTGTTCAGTCAAAACCATGCTCATGGCCCGGCGCAGTGGCTCATGCCTGTAATCCCAGCATTTTGGGTGGCCGAGGCAGCTGGATCACTTGAGGTCAGGAGTTTGATACTAGCCTGGCTAACATGGTGAAACCCTGTCTCTACTAAAAATACAAAAATTAGCCAGTCATGGTGATATGCACCTGTAATCCCAGCTACTCGGGAGGCTGAGGCAGGAGAATCACTTGAACCTGGGATGTGGAGGTTGCAGTGAGCCAAGATTGTGCCAATGCACTCCAGCCTGGGAAACAGAGCAAGACTCTGTCTCAAAAACAACAACAACAACAAAACCACCATGCTTATGTAGCAAACAGCTACTAGGTTTCAGCAAAACAACTTTGCAACTACATTTAACAAATGCAGTCATTTTTTATTTTATTGGTTTTGTGTTGCTTTAATTTTTCCTCTGATTCAATTTGACCTTTATAATTGTTTACATCTAGTTTTATATGTATACATTTAAGTAACACAAGATGATTCAAGTCAACACCAGAGACCTACAATTATTTTTTCTTTAAATGAAATCTTAAGTTTGAGAATCAGTAAGAAAGGCATAGGTATCTGTAACATACTAGCATCTCATTAACCACTGTTAAATGAAGCACTATTCATCCTAGAGCATTCTTCATAATTGCCCACATATGAGGCAGTTCAATTGTACGTCTTGGGGTTAGTGTATGCGCATTTAAATCTCCCAGTTTAAGCCTTGTCTGAAATCCCTGTTAATGACAATGGTTTCCAAGAATGTTAGTACCTAGAGCCCTACTTTTTTGATTGACAGTCATTTATTCCTCCTGTTTACCAGTTGATTGTTTATTACCATAATAACAATACAGGTTAAGCATCCCTAATTTAAAAATCCAAAATCTGAAATGCTCCAAAATCCAAAGCTTTTTGAGGATCATCATGACACCACAAACGGAAAATTCCACACCTGACCTCATGTGATGGGTCCCAGTGAAAACAAAGTCAAAGCTTTGTTTCATGCACAAAAATATTTAAAGTATTATATAAAGTTACCTGCTATTTGTATAAGGCATACATGAAACATAAATTCATACAAATATGAATTTATATATACCGATATTCCAAAATTAAAACCCACAACACTTCTGTTTCCCAAGCATTTGGATAAGGGATACTCAGCCTATAATACCAATCATTTATTGCAGTATTGAAATACTTGCACGAATATGGTGTTAAACATTTTATCTATATTATTTCATTTAACCCACACAATTTACTCAATGACTTAAGTAAAATTGTCATTTTAGAGACTTAGAAGGATGGTCATTTGTCCAAAGTTAACTGGAAATGAAGGAGCTGAGATTGAACCCAGGTATGTCTTCCTTTATCAACTCAGTTTTCTAACTTCTTTAAATTCTCTCTGTTGTCCTTACTTTCTGGGTATACCATATTTCCATAAAGCTAAGTTGTCATCAGTTGTAAGACGACAGTCTATTGTGTATGTGCCAGTACAGTGAGCACAGGCTGACAAACTATAACACTGAGCTTTATCACTAGAATTTTTATTTCATATTGATCAAAAGTGCTCTATTTAATAAACAGTCCTAGTGAGATATATATAATATATATATATTTTATCTAACATTACTTCTGTGCATGTGAAAAAAAAGGAAAGCAGAGAAGTCCAGCTTTTCTGAATCATTTTTTAAATCAAGGTCACCAGTGTCTGTCTCTTCACAGCATCATTCTCCATGTCAACAAGGGCATTGATGATGCAGTGTTTCTTAAAAGAATGTTCCATTATTGAATCTAAAGTTTTCTTCCAATCTGCTGTCATTCTTTCCACAGGTTTTGATATGTATGTGCAGGAAAAGTCAACACTTCTTATTCAAATATACAAAATACACATCTTGGAGTCAATGAAATATGATATTATTATGCTTACTGTAGACTATGTTAAAAAATCAACCATCCACAAATGTAAGGAGTATTTTACAATGTTTTGGTTACACTGGGCACCTAGATCTAATATCAGATTTTAGCCTGCTAAGAATCATTAGAATGTATTTATGTTCCTTTACTTACATTATCTCTGTTTATTGAATGCTTATGATATATTGGTCTGGAGTCTTTGCTTGCATTAACTCATTAAACTGAAGGAAGAGGTACATTGTCCCATTGAAGAAAATAAGGTCAGAGAGTTTAGATAACATGTTCAAAATCACATTGCTGCTTAAGTGGCAAAGCTACAATTTGACTTCAATCTCTCTAACACCAAACTCCATTCTAGTAACTACCACGTGACACTACAGTCCACATAAACACACACATTGGTAGTGTCAGAATTGGCAGCTGATATTAATGGTCCTTATTATGTGCTATGTAATAAGGTATTTCTACTTCCCTTAGCCTTCCTTCTGCCTGCATGTGAGTATATAAAGTATTATGAACACAAATTTTTATTGACTCCTGTCCCCAAAGCCAAATATGAACAGTAACCCTCGGGGACTGATCTGGAGGTAATGGGCCAGTATTTCCTGCATCCTGGCGATGTATCACTCCCCTGACCATCTTGCTTTAAAGGTTTCTCGGAATTATCTATAAAAATGACCACAGTCCTGGCTACTTTATAGTACTCTTACAGGAGATAGGCCCATGCATTCCCTTTTTTGAACAAACGATCAGAAAATTTCATTTTGGCAATCATTCTATAGGAAATTCACGTTGGTTTCTTTACATGTTTATGGCCCAAAATATGAAAGGAAAATATGCAGTTGTTTTATGTTGCACTCAAAGCAAAAGATTTCATTACTTAGCTGCTGTGCAATATAGCCATACTTACATCATTATTTTGCCTTTAAAAAGAAGAAAAATAATTTCAGAGGAACTCTGACCTCATTTTATATTCTGGAAGTCAATGGCACGAATAGTTAGCAATACTCCTAAACTTTTTGCTATGGAAGTAATGAATCTAGGAACTACTTTGAAAATCAAGTGAAACAGCTTTTATAATGTTAGCTCACGGATTTGGGAAACCTTTATTTAAAGGTTCCTCACATGGTAGCTGTAAGGAGTCTTTTAATAATTCAGTCCAAGTGTTTAGAAACAAGAATAGGATATCTGCCATTTCTGGAGCGTGTAAATTAGACTTGGCTGGAGAGATGTCAGGTTTATCTGTGAAGGCTTTGAGATACTGTGAACCAATGTCTAGCCAAATGGAATGAGTCACTTAAGAAGATTTGCATATTCTTTCTCCCAAGTGCCCAAGTCTCAGTGTCTGTCACTACTATCTCCTTAGCTGCCCATATAGAAAATTATTCTCAGTATTCCCCTCTTATTTGATCCCTATATCCAATCGATCTTTGAGTCTTACTAATTCCACCTCCTCAATAACTCCCTAATCTGCGTACTTCTCTCCATCCTGACTGTCAACACTTGCAGTCACCACCATGGCTCACCTGGACAACTGACCCAGCTTCTACCTCATCTAACTGATGCTTTCTGCTTCTGGTCCTGCTTTTTGTGAAGGAAAAAAATCTAATTATATCACTCCCTGGCTTAAACTCTTCAGTGACTTCCTGCAGCTCTCAAAATAAGGCCCCAAGAGTATCATACATTGTCCAAGTCTCCTAATGATGAGGCCCCTGTCAAATTCCCAAGCCCCATTTCTCTCCCTTCTTACTCCCCTGTTTCCCTGCTCCAGTCAAATGGAGCAACTCCAATATTCTACCTTCAGTTTCTTTTTTTTTTTTTTTTTTTTTGAGACGTAGTGTTGCTCTGCAGGCTAGACTGCAGTGGCGCGATCTCGGCTCACTGCGAGCTCCGCCTCCCGGGTTCACGCCATTGTCCTGCCTCAGCCTCATCAGTAGCCGAGACTACAAGCGCCCGCCACCATGCCCGGCTAATTTTTTGTATTTTTTTTAGTAGAGACGGGGTTTCACTGTGTTAGGCAGGATGGTCTCGATCTCCTGACCTCGTGATCCGCCTGCCTCTGCCTCCCAAAGTGCTGGGATTACAGGCGTGAGCAACCGCGCCTGGCCCGTGAGCCACCGCGCCCGGCCGATCTTCAGGTTCTTAACGCATGGAGCTTCCCTGCCTAAAATATCTGTCTGTTTGAAGGGCAAGGTTAGATTTTACATCCTCTTAGGATGACTTCCGCCATGCCCAGGCTGGTTTCATGCCCCCTGCCCTGCGTTCTTACTTCTTTATGATTATCCTATCACTTCGTGGATTCTATTATAATTACCCACGTTTGTGCCTCCCCTAGCAGCCATAAATTTCTAGAGAGAAGAAGCAGTCTCTTACTCACTGTCATATGACGGGGCAGTGATTTCCATACTTTGTACAGCACTGGTGGTACAGAGAATGATTTCACAGATGCTCTCTTTAAAGCTTTTTAAAATTGTTCTACTTTTTGAAATACATACTTTCTCTTTATAAAAAGTGGTGTTTGTTTTCTTCAAGAACCTCAGATGCACAGAAGTAGATTAACTACAATACTTGTTCTATGACACAGCCATTATTGGTCCTTGCATCACCCACTTATATTTATTTTGCTAGTTATTTTATACCGTAATCAGTACCCCTAAACTCACCATGCAAGAGAAAAGCTAAGCTCTTCACAGTCGTGGATATTATTCATCTACCGATACCACACCTGTTCTGTCCTTTTGCCTCCCTCTATCTGACCCTGTGTGCTATGCTCACCATTCTCTTGCCTTCTTTTTAAATTGTTTAATTGCCTCTGTATTTATCTCTAAGCTTTTTCCCTTATGTTTGGTTGTTTTAAACTTTATAAAAAGGGTATCATGCTTACACAATATTTAGGAACTTTTTTCACTTAATATATTGCCATATTGTTGATGTTGCTGCAGGTCATTTAGTTTGACTGCCATATTTCATTCCATTTATGAATATACCACAGTTTATGCATCCACTCGCCAATTGATGAGCACCTGGGCTGTCTACAGGCTTTTGTCATTGTGAGCAGCAGTGCTCTGAACACTTGTGTGCATCTCTCCTGAGCGTGTGTAAGCTTTTCAATGGGGTAGAACTGCTGGGTCAGAGAGTATAGGAATAATGAATAATGGATATGGAGAGGGGATAACGGGTTTGGATAATGCCAAACTCGAATCCAATGGGATGGCACCAATTTGTACTCCTACCAGTAGCGAATATGAAATCCTGTGGTTCTCTATCCTTTCCCATACGTGGCATTGTCAGCCTTTTTTACATTTGGGCCCCTCAAGTATCTATAAAATGGTATCTCATCTAATCTTGATTTGTATTTTCCTGGTCACTAATAATACTAAAAATTTCTTCATGCATCTGTTGCATACATGTGTTTATCTCTTCTGTGAAATGCCTACTGCTGTTTTGTGCCCATTTTTCTTTTGGCTTGTTTGTGCTACTCTTACTGATTTTTAGTCACTTTAACATATTTTGATTCTAATTATTTGTAGATTGTGTGTAGCTAGATATTGCAGATTATCTTATTGCAGTCTGCAATTTACCTTTCAGTATCTTTAAGTTTTCGTAATGAATAAAAGTTCTTACTATATACATTTATCAATCTTTTCTCTTATAGTCAACTGTTCTTTGTGTCTCCCTAAAGAAATATTTCCCGACTAGTATTGGTTTTCTTTTTATAAAAGAGTAATATAGCATTTGCTTTAAAACTACATTTGAGTAAAAATGAGACATTTTAAGGAAAAACTAAAATGCTCCAAATTATACAGATTATATAGCACAATTCATAATAGTGATGTGTAAATGATTGAAGTTTGGGAGACATTAACCATGTTCTCATAAATAGTATAAATTTATATTGAATGAATGAGTTCAGTTATTCATTCAGTAATTCAATTAACATATGTTGCAAATGATTCTCTCAGAGTTTCTATGTTTGAGACCCCAGCTGGATCCTCTAGAAATGTTTGCTAAAACTATTTGAAGAAACTCATCTAAGAGGGGTGTGTATGTGTGTGTGTGTGTGTGTGTCTGTGAACTGTGGGTATGTATAGAAGATACAAAAGTAGTAGAAGAGAAGCAAAGGCTATATGAGAGCTAGGTGAAACCTTAAGGATGCTTGTTTTATGGTACATATGTGAAAACCAAACCTAGACTTATCCAAGTTCAGGAACAGGTTGCACCAGAGTGGGATTAGAGTATTGCTTAGGCATTGACTCCCAGCACCTCCCCTGGTGAACTTCAGCCATAAGGATATGCTTCTCAGAGTGAGCAGTAAGTCTTTGCATTTATCAGCACTGAAGGCTTAGTTTGCATGTTTTTTTTTCCTTCTCTTTCCATATCAAAAAATATGCAATTCCTAGTCCTTTGCATTAAACTCCATACCTCACATATGACATTCAACAATACCAAAGTAGACTTTTCCATAATACGGCAGTGAGTGAAATTACCCAGCTCCTTAACTCATGAAGTAGGTTGCGGTGGAGGTTTCTGTATTTGAGCTGCTTTTGAACTAGAACCTACCGCTGTCCACGCTTCCTTAAGGTGTTAGGCACATCATAGGCATTCAGCCAGAACTTGCTGGAATGAACTAAAATACTCTGTGGAAACAGTCAAACTAATAAGAACATTCACCTTCCAAGTTGTTTAAACACATGGCTTATTTTTGAAAGACAAAAAAAATGTGTAAAAGAAACTAAAAAATAGGAATGATCTCAGTTGATCCTCATGGTGCTAGGGAAATGGTGTTTTTGGCAGGCTGTCATGTGATTAGATTGGGCCATTTTTCCCCTTTTTCTAAAATTATATTTTCGAGACATCTTGGTACTGGCATTTCTTTACTGACTCATTTGAAAGAGACATACATATATTGTAAACATTATGTCTAGAGCTAAAGAAAGGAAAGAAATAGAATTAAATGCTTCTCTATCTTAAAAGCTACCCATGACCTCAAGTCCACCCCAAATGGACCTACCTGTCTGTTTCTTTTTCTCTCTTTAGCTCTTACGCAGGACAAGGCGGGACACAGCAACATGGTCATTTTGATGTAAAATTGTAATGTAAAATGCTTTTTTCAATCTACTTTTTACCTAAAATATGAGAATAACCAAACTCTCTGAGGCTCATTTTGTGACTCACCCACCCTGTACCCATTGATCCTACCCTCTTCCTTTGAGGGCAAATGTAAGACCCAAGGCAGAGGCAACAGGAAGTTGGGTCTGAGGGATGGAGTGAGGATGTCTGTTTTTTTCCTCACTTTGATAATATTTTCAATATGAAAGTTTAACAATGTATTTTTTAATTTTAAAATTTATTACATTTTATGGCTGGATACAGTGGGTCATGCATGTAATCCTAGCACTTTGGGGGTGAGATTGGAGGGTCGCTTGAGCCAGGAGTTTGAGACCAACCTGGGCAACATGGTGAAACCTTGTCTCTGCAAAAAGATACAAAACATTAGCCAGGTGTGGTGGAGTACACCTGTAGGCCCAGCTACTCAGGAGGCTGAGGTGGGAGGATCACCTGAGCCCAGGGAGGTCAAGCCTGCAGTGAGCTGGAATTGCACCACTGCACTCCAGCCTGGGTGTCAAAGACCTGGTCTTCAAAAAAAAAATTATAACATTTAATAATGTAAAAGTCTATATACTCACATCCATGTAATATACAGAATATTGTTATATACACCCTGTGTACCCATCATCCAGCTTAAGTAATAAAACTTTTCCAGTCCTTCTGCAGCTGCCCATATCAATCCCCCTCTCCTCTTATTTATTTCTTCAAAAATGTTTATTTGAGTGACTATTATATATCAAGTAATGTTCTAGGAACTGGAAAACAGTAACATTAAAAATAAAACAGACAAGAAGCCCCGAACTCATGGAGCTCTTATGAAAGGAAACTACTATTCTGAATTTTGGGTTCACCATTCTCTTTTTCTTCCTCATACTTTTCCTATGTGTATAAGAATTTCTAAACAATTTATGTCACTTTACTATCATACTGCATGAGTTCTTCTAAGTTTTGTTTCTTTCACTTAATATTTTTGTGCATGAAGTTCGAATTCATTAATGTTCAGTTTTCATGGTCTTCCATTATGTGAATATTTCAGTTTATCCATTTTCCTGTTTATGGATATTTGGATTATCTTTAGTTTCACTATTGCAAACAATGCTCCTATGAAATGGTATCAACCATTTGAATACAGGTAGCCCTTGACCAACACAGGAGTCAGGGGCACCACCCCCATCACAGTAAAAAATGCAGGCATAACTTTTGATTTCCTTAAAACTTCACTACTAATAGCCTGCGGTTGGCCAGAAGAAACCTTACCAATATCGTAAACAGTCAATTAACTTACAAATACACTAGTATCGACATATATTTTATGCATTCAGGACATACCTTTTCTTAATTTTTGCAACATTTCTAGGCTACGTGGTTTGTCTGTGAGTTTTTTCAAATTGTTGCAAATCTCCAAAAAATTTTCCAGTATATGTATTGAAGAAATGTGCATGGAAGTGGACCCATGCAGTTTAAGCCTATGTTGCTCAAGGATCAACTGTATACCACAATGTGTTTCTCCATTCTGCTATTGATAGGCATAAGGGTTGTTCTCACTTGTTGCCTATTATGAACAAAGCTGTTGTTGACATTAGTCTTTTAGTGGGTATATGTTTTCATTTCTCTTTGTTAAATGCCTAGGAGTGAAATTGCAGTGTCATATGGTAAATGCATGTTTAACTTTATAAAAAACTGCCAAAATGTTTAAAAAGAAAAAAAGCTGTACTGTTTTACACACATAGTTGCAATGTATGGGGGGGGGTCCCAGTTGCATCCTTGCCAACACTTGCTATTATTAGTCATTTTAGCTCTAGCCATTCTAGTACTGTGAAATGGCATCTTGTTGTGGTTCAGTGTGCATTTTCCAGAAGGCTAGTGATGTTGGGTATGTTTTCATGGGTTTATTAACTTTATATCTTCTTTCATAAAGTGCCTTTTCAAGCCTTTTGCCTGTTTTTTTTAATTGAATTGTTTGTCACTTATTATTGAGTTTGGGAGTTCTTTATATATTCTGAATCATATATTCCAGATACAAGTCCCCTGTCAGAGTCGTGTATTAAGAATATTTTCCTCCAGTCTGTGGCTTGCCTTTTGATTTTCCTAAAGGTGTCCTTTGAAGAGTAGAAAGTTTTCATTTTGATAAAGTCTAATTTATTTTTTTCCTTTATTTTAATCTAAGAAATCTTTGCCTACTCTAAAGTTAAAAAGAAATCTTTTAATCTACAAATATTATAGTTTTGGCTTTTATATTTAGACCTAAAATCCATTTTGAATTAATTTTGGTTTATGGCATGAAGAAAACATCAAAATTAATTTTTAATATGAATGTCCAGCTGTTCCCACATCAGTTATTATAAGAAAAAAACTTTACTTTCTCAATTTAATTACTTTAAAACCTTTTCAAAAAATCAATTGTGGGTATGTGGGTCTATTTCTGAATTTTCTTCTGTTCCATTGATCTATATGTCATTTCTATTTCAAGACCACATTGTCATGATGTGAGCTTTATAATAAGCCTGAAAATTAGGTAATGTAAGTCTCCCAACTTTGTTCTTTTTGAAAATTGTTTTGGCTATTCTTGGTCATTTGTGTTTCTGTATAAATTATAAAATAAACTTGTTAATTTCTACATAAACATTTCCTGATATTTTGACTAGGATAGAACTAAATCTGTAAACAAATTTGATACAACTAACATCTAAACAATAATCAGTCTACCAATCCATGAACATAGTATGTCTCATTATTTATCTAAGTCTTTTTCAATTTCACTCAGCATGCTTAACGGTTTTCGATGTGGACATCTTGAACATGTTTCATTCGGTTTCTTCCTAGATACTGGCATTTTTTAATGCTTTTGGTTTACCTTTAAGATAACCTTTTAAGTTTGAAATATTTTTAGACTTACAAAAAATTGTCAGGCTAGCACAGAGAGTTTCCATATACTCTATGGGAACCAATATATAACCAGTTTCCCCTGTTATTAATATCTTACCTTAGTGTGGTACATTTGTCACAATTAATTAATCAAGATTGATAAATTATTATAAACTAAAGTCTATACTTTATTTAAACTTCCTTAGTTTTTACCTAGCATCCTTTCTCTGTTCCAGGATCTCATCCAAGGTACCATATTACATTTAGTTCTTATGTATTCTTAGGCTCCTCTTGGCTGTGACAATGTCAACTGACTTTTTATTATCTTCACTATATTACAATTTTTCTCCAAAATGGTAGGGATACTGAATATCTGCATGTAAAAGAATAAAGCTGGACTCCAACCTCATACAACGTACAAAAATTAACATTAAATGTATCAATGACCTAAATATGAAAGCTAAAACCAAAACACTCTTAGAAAAAAGCATAGGACTAAATCTTCGTGACCTTGGATTTGGCCTTAGGTTCTTAGATAAGATACAGCAACAAAATAGAAAATAAATAAACTAGACTTCACCAAAATAAAAACATTTTTGTAATTTCAAAGGCCATTACCAAGAAAGTGAGAAGATAGCCTATAAAATACAATAGAATATTAGTAAATCATATATCTGATAAGGATCTAGCATGGAGAGTATATAAAGAGTTCTTACAACTCAACAATAAACAACAAACCAATTTAAAAGTACACGAATGCCTTGAATAGACATTTCTCCAAAGAAGATATATCCAACCAAGAAATGGACAACAAGTACATGAAAAGACATTTTGTATCACTAAGCATAAGCAAAATGTAAATCAGATACACAGTGACAGCTACTTCACACCTACTATGATGGCTACAATCAAAAAATAGAAAATAAAAGTATTGGTGAGAATGTGGAGAAATTGAAACTCACATACATTTTTGGTATGAATGTAAAGTAGTGCCAGACACCATAGAAAACAATTTGACATTTCTTCAAAATGTCAAATATAGAATTACCATGTGATCCAGCAATTCTATTGTTAGGTATATACCCACAAGAATTGAAAAAGGTACTCAAAGAAGTACATGTACACGCATGTTCATAGCAGCACTATCCACAATAGCCAAAAGGTGGAAACAACCCACATGTCCATCAACAGATGTATGGATAAGCAAACTGTCGTATATCCATACAACAGAACATTATTCAGCCTTAAAAAAGAATAAAGTATTGATACATGCCACAATGTAGATGAACCGTGAAAAGATTCTGCTACGTGAAAAAGGCCAGACACAAAAGGTCACATATTATCCCATTTATAGGAAAAACCTATAGAGATAGAACATAAATTGTGGTTACCAGGGGTCAGATTTGGGGAGTAGAGGGTGACTGATTCCCAGGCACATGCTTTCATTTTGGAGTATGAAAATGCTTTGGAACTAGATAGAGGTGGTGGTTGTACAACATTGTTAATGTACTAAATGCCACTGAATTATTCACTTTTAAATGACTAATTTTATATTATGTAAATTTTACCTCAATAAAAAAAAGAGAGACTTAAAAAATGGTAGGGATGTTTGTCTATTTGATCACTGCTGTATCTCTAGCTACTTTAAGAGTACCTGACATGCAGAAAGCCCTCAATAAATATCACTGAATGAATGCAATACAGCACCTGTTTTTTAAGCTTAGGAATTGTATTGCATAGCTGTAGCTTAAAAAAAGATTAATTTACCTCTATAAAAAATTTCTAAACCCAGACGTGAGTTGTAGCGAAAATTCAGCAGCCACAATTTCCCAGAAACATAGAAGATAGACCCAGATGCTGGAAAACAACATTCGCATCCGCTGTCGTTCCTATTTCCTTTTGCTTTTCTTTTTTTAAAAAAAATTGATTTTATTTCCCCTGCTTACTTTTTCTAGAGAGCTGAAATTGCAGACCATGGCTAACTAAGACTACTGACATTCCACTATCTTCCTACCAAGTATATCCCAACAAGTATAAACTTTATTTGCTGTATTTACTATAAACGAAACATTATGTGCTTGTCTTAGCTCAGGCTGTCGTAAAAAAAATACCATAGACTGAGTGGGTTAAACAACAGGAATTTATTTATTACAGTTCTGGAAGCTGGAAAGTTCAAGATCAAGGTGTTGGCTGACCTGGTTTCCCAGGGAAGGTGCTCTTCCTGACATGCAGATGGCAGCCTTCTCATTGTATCCTCATATAATGGGAAGGGGTGGGAAATGGGGAAGCTCTTTAGGGTATCTTTTTATAAGGGCACTAATCTCATCATGAAGTACCCATCCTTATGATGTCATCTAAATCTAATTATCTCCCAAAGGCACTATCTCCAAATACCATCACACTGAGGGCTAGGGCTTCAACATATGAATTTGGGGGCAACAAGTTTCAGTCCATTGTGGTACAGCAAAGCTGAGCTATTATATAAGCTATTATGAGTACTGTGGATTAGCCTTGCCAAGAACTACATAAATAAAACAAGGCAGAACACAGAGCAAGGCAGTTATTCAAAATATGTAGAGATAAATACAGCAGGAGTCTTATTTAGCCTCTACTTTTATTTTTAGCATTTATGATGTGTCAGGCACTCAAAGTGGTACTTTTTTTTTTTTAATTCTTTAAGTTCTGGGATAAATGTACAGAGTGTGTAGGTTTGTTGCACAGGTATACATGTGCCATGGTGGTTTGCTGCACCCATCAACCCTGCATCTACATTAGGTGTTTCTCCTAATGCTATCTTTCCCCTTGTCCCCCACACCCCAATAGGCCCCAGTGTGCGATGTTCCCTTCCCTGTGCCCATGTGTTCTCATTGTTCAGCTCCCACTTATGAGTCAGAACGTGCAGTGTTTGGTTTTCTGTTCCTGCATTAGTTTGCTGATAATGATAGTTTCCATCTTCATCCACGTCCCTGCAAAGGACATGAACTCATCCGTTTTTATGGCTGCATAGTACTCCATGGTGTATATGTGCCACATTTTCTTTATCTGGTCTAACACTGATTTGGGTTGGTTCCAAGTCTTTGCTATTGTGAATAGTGCCACAATAAACATAGGTGTGCATGTGTCTTTATAGTAGAATGATTTATAATCCTTAGGGTATATACCCAGTAATGGGATTGCTGGGTCAAATGGTATTTCTAGTTCTAGATCCTTGAGGAATTGCCACACTGTCTTCCACACTGGTTGAACTAATTTACATTCCCACCAACAGTGTAAAAGCATTCCTGTTTCTCCACATCCTCTCCAGTATCTGTTCTTTCCTGACTTTTTAATGATAGCCATTCTAACTGGTGAGAGATGGTTTCTCATTGTGGTTTTGATTTGCATTTCTCTAATGACCAGTGATCACGAGCTTTTTTTCATGTTTGTTGGCTGCATAAATGTCTTCTTTTGAAAAGTGTCTGTTCATATCCTTCACTCACTTTTTGATGGGGTTGTTTGTTATTTTCTTGTAAATTTGTTTATGTTCCTTGTAGATTCTGGATAGTAGCCCTTTGTCAGATGGATAGATTGCAAAAACTTTCTCCCATTCTGTAGGTTGCCTGTTCACTCTGATGATAGTTTATTTTGCTGTGCAGAAGCTCTTTAGTTCAATTAGATCCCATTTATCAATTTTGGCTTTCGTTGCCATTGCTTATGGTGTTTTAGTCATGAAGTCTTTGCCCACGCCTATGTCCTGAATGGTATTGCCTAGGTTTTATTCAAGGGTTTTTATAATTATTTAAATCTTTAATCTATTTTTTTTTTCTTTTTTGAGACAGAGTCTGGCTCTCTTACCCAGGCTGGAGTGCAGTGGCGCAGTCTTGGCTCACTGCCAGCTCCGCCTCCTGGGTTCATGCCATTCTCCTGCCTCAGCCTCCCGTGTAGCTGGGACTACAGGCACCCACCACCACGCCTGGCTAATTTTTTGTATTTTTTAGTAGAGACAGGGTTTCACCGTGTTAGCCAGGATGGTCTCGATCTCCTGACCTCGTGATCCGCCCGCCTCGGCCTCCCAAAGTGCTGGGATTACAGGCGTGAGCCACCATGCCCGGCCCTTTACTCTCTCTTAGTTGACTTTTATATAAGGTGTAAGGAAGGGGTCCAGTTTCAGTTTTCTGCGTACAGCTAGGGAGTTTTTCCAACACCATTTACTAAATAGGGAATCCTTTCCCCATTGCTTGTTTTTGTCAGATTTGTCAAAGATCAGATGGTTGTAGATGTGTTGCATTACTTCTGAGGCCTCTATATATATTTTTTGGTACCAGTACCATGCTGTTTTGGTTACTGCAGCGTTGTAGTATAGTTTGAAGTCAGGTAGCATGATGCCTCCAGCTTTGTTCTTTTTGCTTAGGATTGTCTTGGCTATATGGGCTCTTTTTTGGTTCCACATGAAATTTAAAGTAGTTTTTTTCAAATTCTGTGAAGAAAGTCAGTGGTAGCTTGATGGGAATAGCATAAATCTATAAATTACTTTGGGCAGTATGGCCATTTTCACAATATTAATTCTTCCTATCCATGAGCATTGAATGTTTTTCAATTTGTTTGTGTCCTCTCTTATTTCCTTGAGTGGTGGTTTGTGTTTCTCCTTGAAGAGGTCCTTCACATCCCTTGTAAGTGTATTCCTAGGTATTTTATTCTCTTTGTAACAATTGTGAATGGGAGTTCACTCATGATTTGGCTATCTATTGTTGGTGTATAGGAATGCTTGTGACTTTTGCACATTGATTTTGTATTCTGAGACTTTGCTGAAGTTGCTTATCAGCTTAAGGAGTCTGAGGGCTTTTTTTAGATGCGGTTTTCTAAATATACAGTCATGTCATATGCAAACAGAGATAATTGGACTTCCTCTCTTCCTATTTGAATACCCTTTATTTCTTTCTCTAACCTGATTGCCGGGGCCAAAACTTCGAATATTATGTTGAATAGGAGTGGTGAGAGAGAGCATCCTTCTTGTGCCGGTTTTCAAAAGGAATGCTTCCAGCTTTTGCCTATTTAGTATGATATTGGCGGTGAGTTTGTCTTAAATAGCTCTTATTATTTTGAGATAAGTTCCATCAATACCTAGTTTATTGAGTGGTTTTAGCATGATGGGATGTTGAATTTTATCAAAGGCCTTTCTGCATCTATTGAGATATCATGTGGTTTTTGTTATTGGTTCTGTTTATGTGATGGATTATGTTTATTGATTTGTGTGTGTGAACTAGCCTTGCATCCCAAGGATGAAGCCGACTTGATCGTGGTGGATAAGTTTTTTGATGTGCTGCTGGATTCGGTTTGCCAGTGTTTTACTGATGATTTTTGCATCGATGTTCATCAGGGATATTGGCCTCAAATTTTCTTTTTCTGTTGTGTCTCTCCAGGTTTTGGTATCAGAATGATGCTGCCCTCATAAAATGAGTTAGGGAGGAGTCCTTCTTTTTCTATTTTTCAGAATAGTTTCAGAAGGAATGGTACCAGCTCCTCTTTGCACCTTTGGTAGAATTCGACTGTGAATCTGTCTGGTCCTGGGCTTTTTTTGGTTCATTGGCTATTAATTACTGTCTCAATTTTGGAACTTGTTATTGGTCTATTCAGGGATTCAACTTCTTCCTGGTTTAGTCTTGGGAGGGTGTATGTGTCCAGGAATTTATCCATTTCTTCTAGATTTTGTAGATTATTTTCATAGAGGTGTTTATAATATTCTCTGATGGTAGTTTGTACTTCTGTGGCATTAGTGGTGATATCCCCCTTATCATTTTTTATTGTGTCTATTTGATCCTTCTCTCTTTTCTTCTTTATTAGTCTGGCTAGTGGTCTGTCTACTTTGTTAATCTTTTCAAAAAACCAGCTCCTGGATTCATTGATTTTTTTGAAGGGTTTTTCGTGTCTCTGTCTCCTTCAGTTCTGCTCTCATCTTAGTTATTTCTTGTCTTCTGCTAGCTTTTCAGTTTGTTTGCTCTTGCTTCTCTATTTCTTTTAATTGTGATGTTAGCATGTTGATTTTAGATCTTTCCCACTTTCTCCTGTGGGCATTTAGTGCTATAAATTTCCCTCTAAACACTACTTTAAGCTGTGTCTCAGAGATTCTAGTACATTGTGTCCATGTCCTCATTGGTTTCAAAGAACTTATTTATTTCTGCCTTAATTTCATTATTTACTCAGTAGTCATTCAGGAGCAGGTTGTTCAGTTTCCATGTAGTTGTGCGGTTTTGAGTGAGTTTCTTAATGCTGAGTTCTAATTTGATTGCACTTTGAAACCAACGAGAACAAAGACACAATGTACCAGAGTCTCTGGGACACAGCTAAAGAGACTCTTTATTATGATTTCCATTCTTTTGTATTTGCTGAAGAATGTTTTACTTCCAATTATGTGGTCAATTTCAGAATAAGTGTGAAGTGGTGTTGAGAAGAACGTATATTCTGTTGATTTGGGGTGGAGAGTTCTGTAGATGTCTATTAGGTCTGCTTGGTCCAAAGCTGAGTTCAAGTCCTGAATATCCTTGTTAATTTTCTGTCTCATTGATCTGTCTAATATTGACAGTGGGGTATTAAAGTCTCCCACTACCATTGTGTGGGAGTCTAAGTCTCTTTGTAGGTCTCTAAGAACTTGCTTTATGAATCTGGGTGCTCCTGTATTGGGTGCATATATATTTAGAATAGTTAGCTCTTCTTGTTGCATTGATCCCTTTACCATTATGTGATGCCCTTCTTTGTCTCTTTTGATCTTTGTTGGTTTAAAGCCTGTTTTATCCAAGACTAGGATTGCAACCCCTGGTTTTTGTTTTTTGTTTTTGTTTTTGTTTTTTTTTGCTTTATATTTGCTTGGTAAATCTTCCCTTATCCCTTTATCTTGAATCTATGTTTGTCTTTGCATGTGAGATGGATCTCCTGAATACAGCACACCGATGGGTCTTGACTCTTTATCCAATTTGCCAGTCTGTGCCTTTTAATTGGGGCATTTAGCCCATTTACATTTAAGGTTAATATTGTTATGTGTGAACTTGATCTTGTCATTATGATGCTAGCTGGTTATTTTGCCCATTAGTTGATGCAATTTCTTCGTAGTGTCAATGATCTTTACATTTTGATTTGTTTTTGCAGTGGCTGGTACCAGTTTTTCCTTTCCATATTTAGTGTTTCCTTCAGGAGCTCTTGTAAAGCAGGCCTGGTGATGACAAAATCTCTCAGCATTTGCTTGCCTGTAAAGGATTTTACTTCTCCTTCACTTATGGAGCTTAGTTTGGCTGGGTATGAAATTCTGAGTTGAAAATTCTTTTCTTTAAGAATGTTGAATATTGGCCCCCACTCTCTTCTGGCTTGTAGGGTTTCTGTTGAGAGATCTGCTGTTAGTCTGATGGGCTTCCCTTTGTGGGTAACACGACCTTCTCTCTGGCTGCCCTTAACATTTTTTCCTTCATTTCAACCTTCGTGAATCTGATGATTATATGTGTTAGGATTGCTCTTCTTGAGGAGTATCTTTGTGGTGTTCTCCGTATTTCCTGAATTTGAACGTTGGCTTGTCTTGCTAGGTTGAAGTTCTCCTGGACAATATTCTGAAATGTGTTTTCCAGCTTGGTTCCATTCTCTCTGTCACTTTCATGTATACCAATCAAATGTAGGTTTGGTCTTTTCACATAGTCCCATATTTCTTGGAGGCTCTGTTCATTCCTTTTCATTCTTTTTTCTCTAATCTTGTCTTCATGCTTTATTTCATTAAGTCGATCTTCAATCTCCGATATCCTTTTTTCCACTTGATTGATCCAGCTATTGATACTTGTGTATGCTCCATGAAGTTCTCGTGCTGTGTTTTTCAGCTCCATCAGGTCATTTATATTCTTCTCTAAACAGTTTATTCTAGTTAGCAATTCCTCTAACCTTTTATCAAGGTTCTTAGCTTCCTTGCATTGGGTTAGAACATGCTCCTTTAGCTCAGAGGAGTTTGTTATTACCCACTTTCTGAAGCCTACTTCTGTCAATTTGTCAAACTCATTCTCCATCCAGTTTTGTTCCCTTGGTGGTGAGGAGTTGTGATACTTTGGAGGAGAAGAGGCATTTTAGTTTTTGGAATTTTCATCCTTTTTGCACTGGTTTTTTCTCATCTTTGTGGATTTATCAACATTTTGTTGTTGCTATTGGTGACCTTCAGATGGAGTTTTTGTGTGGTTGTCCTTTTTGTTGATGTTGATGCTATTGCTTTCTGTTTGTTAGTTTTCTTCTAACAGTCAGGCCCCTCTTCTACAGGGCTGCTGGAGTTTGCTGGGGGTCCACTCCAGACCCTGTTTGCCTAGGTATCACCAGCAGAGGCTGCAGAAGAGCAAAGATTGCTGCCTGCTCCTTCCTCTGGAAGCTTCCTCCCAGAGGGGCACCCACCAGAATGCCAGCCAGAGCTCTCCTGTATGAGGTACCTGTTGGCCCTTGCTGGAAGGTGTCTCCCCATCAGGAGGCATGGTGGTTGGGGACCCACTTGAGGAGGCAGTCTGTCACTTAGCAGAGCTTGAGCACTGTGCTGGGAGATCCACTGCTGTCTTCAGAGCTGGCAGGCAGGAATGTTTAAGTCTGCTGAAGCTGTGCTTACAGCCGCCCCTTCCCCCAGGTGCTCTGTCCCAGGGAGATGGGAGTTTTATCTATAAGCCCCTGACTGGGGCTGCTGTCTTTCTTTCAGAGATGCCATACCCAGAGAGGAGGAATCTAGAGTGGCAGTCTGACTACAGTGGCTTTGTGAGGCTGCAGTGGGCTCCACCCAGTCCAAATTTCCTGGCAGCTTTGTTTATACTTTGAGGGGAAAACCGTCTACTGAAGTGTCAGCAATGGTGGACACCCCTCCCCCAACCAAGCTCAAGTGTCCCAGGTTGACTTCAGACTGCTGTGCTGACAGTGAGAATTTCAAGCTAGTGGATCTTAGCTTGCTGGGCTCCATGGGGGTGGGATCCCCTGAGCAAGACCTCTTGGCTCCTGGCTTCAGCCCTCTTTCCAGCGGGGTGAACGGTTCTGTCTTGCTGGCATTCTAGGCACCACTGCAGTGTGAAAAAAAAACTTCTGTGGCTAGCTCAGTGTCGTACAAATGGCCGCCCAGTTTTGTGCTTGAAACCCAGGGCCCTGGTGGCGTAGGCACGCAAGGGAATCTCCTGGTCTGTGGGTTGCAAAGACCGTGAGAAAAGCGTAGTGTCTGGGCCAGAATGCACCATTCCTCATGGCATGGTCCCTCATGGCTTCCCTTGTCTAGGGGAGGGAGTTCCCCAACCCCTTGCACTTCCTGGGTGAGTAGATGCCCTGCCCTGCTTCTGCTCACCCTCCGTGGGCTGCACCCACTGTCTAACCAGTCCCAGTGAGATGAACTGGGTATCTCAGTTGGAGATGCAGAAATCACCCGTCTTCTGCATTGGTCTCACTGGGAGCCACCATCCGGAGCTGTTCCTATTCGGCCATCTTGCCCAGGAATCTAGAAGTGGTACTTTTAATACATAATATAACTTAACTTTCATCTTGGTATTCCTATTTTTAGATGAAGAAACTAAAATTCATAGAAGTTATGTAACTACCCTAGGGTCACACAGGAAGAGGCAGTACAAACATTTGAACTTAGGACACTCAAACGCTGAATGTTGGCTTCATTCTATTTTTTGTCACAGTGCTTCTTCACAAAGTGGAGTTTGTAGTAACCAGCAGCCCCAATTCTTATATCAAGGTCCCTTGATCAGAATAAAAAGATGTCAAGTTTCAACAAATTTTAGGAGAGGTCTCTGACTGAACTTGTGGGTGTCACACACCAACCTCCAGGCCAAAGGTCAGAGTACTCTGATTTTATACTCTCTTAAAAGAAAGTGAAGACTATTTGAGAGATCTAAAACAAACATTCTTGCATCTCATATTTGTGTCAGGCCATAGTTTAAAAACATCTGCCAAGTAACACTGTTCATTAAAAACACAATACAATAAGCATTCAGTTTGTTGGTCAATGCTAGTGTGATGAGGAGGGCTCCAGTCTATTGGAAAACAACGTGATAGAATACACTGGAGGTCAGGCTGCTCAGTCTCTCTCTCTCTTTCTCTCTCTCTCTATCTCTCTCTCCTCTCTCTCCCGCTCCGTCCCCCTGCATCCTCAGGTAAGCTGTTTTCAGCCCAAATACCCCTTTTCTAATCTTTCTTTGGCCTTGCAGTGCTGGTTTTGCTTGTAGGACCATGAATCTTCTAGTTTTAAGGCCTGATTTTCACATCCATAGCAGGGAATGTATATATCCCATGCAATGCCCAGCTTAATCCAGCCAGAACTTCACAGAGGGAAATGAAAAACTAAGTCATTGCTGAGTGAATTGAATTCATATAATGGAAAATGGAATAAAAATACAACTTCTAGCTTTTGCTGGGTCAACATAACTTTAAAGTAATAGAAACTGGGTTATAATTGAGTTCATTTGATCAGTGTAGCTGGAACTTTCTTAGCCTTTTGCAACCCATGCTTTTTTTGGGATAAGCCTAAATATCTCACACCAACCTTCAGCGTTTCTGAAATATACCCCTTGCAGGGAGGGGCTCACCTCTTCCCTCTTCCTCCATTAAATCACTGTAACTCTGAATATAGACTCCTCTTCTATATATCACTACATTGCAAGATTTGACAACCTTTACTTTCCCTCAATTATATTATAAAAATTGTAAGTTGTTTTAAAATTTCCAACTATTGGCCGGGCGCAGTGGCTCACACCTGTAATCCCAGCACTTTGGGAGGCTGAGGTGGGCGGATCACGAGGTCAGGAGATTGAGACCACGGTGAAACCCCGTCTCTACTAAAAATACAAAAAATTAGCTGGGCATCGTGGCGGGTGTCTGTAGTCCCAGCTACTTGGGAGGCTGAGGCAGGAGAATGGCGTGAACCCAGGAGGCGGAGCTTGCAGTGAGCCGAGATTGCGCCACTGCACTCCAGCCTGGGCGACAGAGCAAGACTCCGTCTCCAAAAAAAAAAAAAAGAAAAGAAAAAAAAATTCTAACTATTAAACTACAATATTGATGATGCTCTTACAACCTCCCTGTTCACTACATATCCCACCCATCGAGAGGAGGGTCTGATACGCCCCCCTAGGAAGAAGTATCCCTTCATTAAGGGTCACAGGTAGGACATGCTTGTTAATAATACTTGCTGATTGTAGACTCTACTTTTCCCCTGATA
The DNA here is from genome assembly GCF_000001405.40 of Homo sapiens. Lineage (NCBI taxonomy): Eukaryota > Metazoa > Chordata > Mammalia > Primates > Hominidae > Homo > Homo sapiens. Next base: position 64,774,761 of record NC_000003.12, on the reverse strand, counting down.
AACTTCCTCAAGGTAGTTTCTGGACCTCAGTTCCTTCCATGTAAAAGACACACAGCAAAACTTGAAAAGGTTGTTATGAAAATTCCTGGGATTATCTGTGGAAAGTGCTTGGCACAGTGTCTGCAATATAGTACATGTTCAATGAACGACAGATAATAGTGATCAGGGCTGCTGTGTACAGTTGTATGAGCTGTACTATACAGCTCCAGGGGTTGCAAATTTAACTGCGATGTGAAGGATGGCCCCTGGAATTGGGATAGGTAGGAAATAACAGTTAGACGGATAGACAGATAAATAAAAATATCTATGTACATTCATCCCTTGGTGTTGGCAGGGGATTGGTTCCAGGATCCTTGCAGATATACCAGAATCTTCACATACTCCAGTCCTGAAGTCAACCCTGCAGAATCCACATACATGAGGTCAGCCCCCTGTATCTGCAGGTCTCACATTCTGCAATTACTGTATTTTTGAGCCGCATTTGATTGCAGATATGAAACCCAAGGATACAGAGAGCTGACTGTATTTATTGAAAAAAAAATCCATGTATAAGTGAACCAGGACAGTACAAACCCATGTTGTTCAAAAGTCAATTGTACATGGATTACATAATACTATAGTCCCTGCTTATCTACAGGGACTGCAGTGTGGTTTCAGTTACCTGCTATCAACCACAGTGAAAATAGGAGAGTACAATACAGTAAGATATTCTGAGAGAGAAAGAGCACATTGACATAAGTATCTTGTTATAATTGTTCTATTGTTGTTAATCTCTTATTGTACCTAATTTATAAATTAAACTTTGTCATAGGTATTGTATGTATAGGAAAATCATAGTATATATAGTCTTTCAAACTATCTGTGGTTTCAGGTATCCGCTACTGGTCTGGGAACATGTTCACTAAATAATAGGTAACTACTGCATATTAAAAATATATTATATATAATTAATATATAATATTAATATATAATTATATAATTGTATATAATTAATATATCATATATTTTGTACAATGAACCTTATAAATTGCCAAAGAACAGGGTGACTGATTTATTAAGACTCATTATTCCTGCTGTATAGTATCATCATCAGAGCCAGAAAGTCCCAACCAGCCAAGTATGTAGTATCAGGCCAGCAGGATCAAATCCAAATGATCTCCCAAGCCAGTGCTTGAAAAGGAACAGCATTTGTGACCCAAAACGAAAGGGGGTATAGAACTGAGGCATTCAAAAGGGGCCATGTGAGGTCTTCTGCAAACTTTCAGACTCCCAAAGAAAGAGTTTAAGTCATTTAAATATTGGTTGTTTAGATTGGGATGATACTGAGAACAACATGCTGCTATTATTGCAAAGACCGCTGCCCAGAGGAGAGCAGCTCTATCTGCCTGGGCTAGAAGCAAGTGCCTGCCCTTCAGCCTGTGGGCTGTGAGTGTTTCGTAACTTGGGGATGCTTCCGTTCATGCTGGAGACGTGTGACATGAAAACACTTTGAAAAGATGGGACAAGTCGAGGAAGGAGAGTCTGGAGAACATTCAATTTGCCACAGGCTTCCTAGCCATGTGTTTTATGGCATGAGACACTCCAAGCAGAATGTGACATATAAGGAAGTAAAGGGAGTCTGTGACCAAATAATATTAGTGTGGAAGATTCTAATTGGGCTTCCTATGTAGCCGAAGATCAAATACTTCCAACTAGTGGGAAGTGAATTTCCCAGATTAACCACACATGAAATGATACTGCTGCTCACTTCTCCTGCCTGCTCACCTAATTTGCTGTTACTCAAATATTGCCAAGGTTGGCCTTTCTCAGCAGGAAATACCTAAGCCATTCAATTCCATTTCAAAGAACGTTTATTACTTACCTATTATGTGCTAGGTAAAGGGGTGGAAATAGGGCAAAAATAAAAAGAAGTAGATCCTCCTTCAAGGAGCACACTATCCATTCAATCAACAGAAAAAGAAATGCTTGCAAAATGGCAAGTATGGACTTTAATAGTGATGCCAACATAGTTCTTCCAGAGTGATGGGCAGCAAAAGAAAATAAAATAAAACATGGATTCCCAATTTATTGTTATATTAAAGTTAGAAAGAAACTGATGCACAAAGAAATTGTGGACCAAAGCAGAACCCTATTTGTTCAGGGAAAAGATATTTGAGGCATTTCCATGAAAGATGTTCATCAATTGTTTTGAAAGAATTGTGTTTTTGCTTGCAAAACCGCATTTTATATCTACGTGGTAAAATCACTTTGCCTTAGCCATTGCATCCGTGATTAATTAGTTGATGAATAAGAAAATCATGCTTTAGTGGTATCTAATTTCTTGAGTAAGCTCAATTTATTTGGGAGGAAATGTGTCCAGATAGAGAGCGTTTTAAAAAATCTTTCTCCGCAATCTTATTTTCCAATCATCCAGTCCTTTCATCCTTCAAAAGTAATCACTGCTTTCAAATAAGAATGGCAAAAATGGCTGAGTTCAGACCTGGGTAAATGAAAGGTTATCCTCTCAGTTTAATATGCCTGACATTTTAAAGAATGATCCAGTGGAAAAGACAGGATTGGACATTTTAAAATAAATCTACCAATTCCAAGGTTAGACAAGGAACTCAAAACATAGCTCTGTCATGTCTATCCCAGGACTTTCATTGATTTGGCCTGTTTTGTGGACAACCTGTTGCCCTCAGTTATGGCCCCCAGATTAGTATATCTGCACACTCTCAGACCTTGCCTCCTGTTGTCTGGACATAATAGCAGAACCCAGTTCCTTCCCTATGAACAAAATGTTATTCTTTGTGATCTGAAGACATCATAGCAAAACTCAGGAAATCAAACCATCAGCTGGGCACGTCCAATAAAAATGATTACCATTTATCAAGTACCTACTGTAAGCCAGGCGTGGTGTTTAGATTCTCCATGTAAATAATTTAGGCCAGGTGCCGGGGCTCATGCCTGTAATCCCAGCACTTTGGGAGGCTAAGGCGGGCGGATCACTTGAGGTCAGGAGTTTGAGACCAGCCTGGCCAACACAGTGAAATTTCGTCTCTACCAAAAATACAAAAATTATCCAGGCTTGTTGATGCATGCCTGTAATCCCAGCTACTCCGGAGGCTGAGGTATGATAATTGCTTGAATCTGAGAGGCAGAGGTTGCAGTGAGCTGAGATCACGTCCCTGCACTCTAACCTAGGTGACAGAGTGAGACTTTGTTTCAAAAATAAAAAATAAATAAACATAATTTTTATGTTTAGAGTGCTCAGAGTATAAAGCCCGTTTTACAGTTTAAGACACAATTTTATGTTGTGTCTTGTCCAAAGTCAGATGGCCAATAAATGGCAGAGTAGAATTACAAACTATGTCTGCTAACTTCATGGAAATACAGTCAACTAGATGAAAGCAGAGCAGGTGCAGAGGCTCACATCTGTAATCTCAGCACTTTGGGAGGCCAAGGCAAGAAGATCGCTTGAGCCTGGAGTTCGAGACCAGCCTGGGCAACATAGTGAGACCCCATCTTTACAAAAAATTTAAACATTAGCCAGGTAAAATTACCTGGCTCATGCCTGTATTCTCAGCTAGTTGGGAAGGTGAGGCGGGAGGATCACTGCAAGCCCAGGAGTTTGAGGGTGCAATGAGTTATGATCATGCCACTGCACTCCAGCCTAGGTGAGAGAGTGTGACCCTTACCCTGTCTCAAAAGTAAATAAAATAAAGCAAAAGTAGGTAAAAGCAACAGGATATATATCTAGGTATATATCTAGGCTCCTGACATTAATAAATATGATCTATTTCTACCCCACAGTTTGTCCCTGAAGTAAATAAACATCTCAGCTACACTGACCCCCCACTGAGATGCTACTTAATATAAAACATGTGCCTAGAATAAGACTCTTCTGTTATAGGGTAGCAAGACTCTATACTAACATCTATAGAGCATCCATTATATACAAGATAATGGATGGGAAGCTATGCTGGGAAATATAGGACACAGAGATGGGGGCTCTATGGCTTATCATGTAATTAAAGAATAAATTATCATAGACCAGTGACAGGATATCTACACACACACACACACACACACACACACACACCAGGGGTGGGGTATATTCATTCTTTCATTTATTCAACAAGTATTCCTTGGGTGCTACTTTTTGAGCATTTGAGCCTCTGTTTACTCACCTGAAAAATAAGGACAATAGTTTCCTTGCCTGCTTTCATAGGCAAGGTAAGGATCTAATGAAGTAATATGTGCAAAATCATTTGGATGACTCTAAACTGTCCCACTGCCATACACTTATTATTACTGTAAGGACATCTGCACAGGGTAAGAACCTGCAGTTTTGGAACAACCACACTAGAGTTTGAATTCCACTGCTAGGTGACTTAGGGAAATGTGTGTCCTTGCTGTAAACTCCCATCTCATAAGGTAATCTGTGAAATGTTTGTTCCTTAACAACAAAAGTACCTGATAAACACTACCATTATGAGGGCTCTGGACACAAATGTGACACCAAAAGTATCACTCCAAAGGTGAGAGCTGCCCAATGTATCAGGAAAAGAGCATGTATTTGGGATTCACAAGGACTAAATCTTGGCTCTGCCACTCACTGGCGTGAGACCTTGGACATGTCATTTAAACTATTTAAACCTTCATTTCTTCACCTATAAAATGGATGAATTAATATCAGTCTCATAAAGTTTCAGAACACTTACATGAGAATATGGATACAGAGCACTGGTGTAATTGGAACTGCTGGATAAATGGCGTAAGCCGTATGTTGGGTGAACATGGCTACTGACATTAACAAATATGATCTATTTCTGGTTTCCCCCATCTCTTTCAAGTTGAATCAGTGAAAGTAGTCTTGGGAAAGCTGGAGAGAATGGACAGAGCACGGCTTCCTCTCAGTATCTCTTACCTTCCCTATTACCTTCTGTGTGTTAACTCCTATCTGGATACAAAGGTTTGTACATGGCGGGGCAACTTCTGGGCTAGCAGGAAAGCAAAGCATCCACTATTCCAGGTAATCCCTGTGACCCCTTTCTCAACCTCTAGGTCTTTAGTGGGAATCTCTTCCTGATGAGGACCCCTCCAGGCAATCAAGAAGAGACCATACCAACTTTCTCTCACCTGTCTTATATCTGATCCTTGGGAAATGCTCACGCATCCCTTTCCCAGCATATTCTGGAAATGCAGCCTGTGACAACATTCTCCCCATGATAGCATCAGAGGAGCTGGTTAACACTTCTTTCACCTTTAATTCCCTGAAAGGAGGAGGTCCCTGGGCCACAGTTCTTTTAGTCAGAGTTTTCAGGCCTGAGTTGGACACCAGTCATGTAAATCTTCCAAGCACAGAGGGTACAATTCAAAGCTCTCCAGGGGGCCCTTAAAGGTAGATGATAAGTTCATAAATGAGTGTGGCTGTGTGGAATCACATTGTATTTATGGATGCTGAAATTTGAATTAAAGTTAATTTTCACAGCATAAAATATTTTTTGATTCCCCACACCCCACTCCAGCCATTTGAAAATGTAAAAATCATTCTGAGCTCACAATACAAAACCAGGCCATGGGCTGGAGTTGACTTGCCTACCGTAGTTTCCTGACCCTGCGTCATATGATAGTAGTTGTACCCCTCTCCCAAAAAGCAAAACGAAGGATAACACAGCACATATTTGCTTGCACACAAAAACTGCTTTGTCAATCTGTTTACACAATCCCACTCTCCATAATTTGGCTTCTTTTGATATCCTCAAAGGTGGGGCTTGAGTGCTATTTTTCAAAGGTGGTGCTATTTTTCAGATTAGAATCAGTATTCTTAGATTCAAAGAGACCTTAAGAGGGTAGGGAGTGGAGGTGAAGGGTGGTCTGTCAAGAATATTGGATCAGTTTATTGTACATTTTATTTAAAAATCTATCTGGATTTGTCTTACTCATCCTGTTATTTTGAATCTGTCATACTGACACACCTCAGCTGAAACTCAGGCAGCACTCCATTCCAAAATTGCACAGCAGTAGCCATGGCTGCCACTCTCGTCACTGCTGTCTAGAATCTATGGGTAAGAGGACAAGAAAGATCAAGTGGGGCAAGTGATGGCACTTTCCATTTTCTTCCATTTCCTTGCTTTAGGTAGATGTAGCTGAAGATGTTGATTCAAAGTGACCAGGAAGAAGCAAAATTATTCTATTTACCTATCCTGGTGTATCTTCTCTTCTATCCCAGAAGTCTGTCCAGGGTGAGATTTGAGGGCACTTTGTCCCACTGTTGTTGATACAGTCATCCTTGGGAATGTTGGCTTTGGGGAATAATGTGACATCTTGCAAGTTTTGACATCATTCCTCAGAACAGACTCTGGCACTAGGATCAATTGTCATTACTCTTTACAGGACCAAGATATTTTTGTTCTATGTGGGCTCATTTTTGTGTATTTTCAATAGCAGGTTGGTTTTAAACATATTTAAGTAACAAACATATATCTACCCCTGTGGAGGCCATTTTTGCCGAGTCGACTACTCCAACACCAAGCTTCTTTCTGCTCTATGTTTTTAACCTTGGTGGAGACCATGTGATTTACACTAAGGAAAGACAAGGCTCAACTTAAAAGGAAAATGATGGAGTCTGGATTTTTTTTACCCATCTCTTTCTCCTTCTGGAAGCATTACTGTGTTACAATAAAGCTGTAGTACATCTAATGGATATTAATGTGCTTCATATCACAATGATATGAAGCAATTTCTGGGCCACATTTTCATCTGAATATTCATACTTTAGCATCACATAAGATCTGTCTTCTGACAAGTTCAAAGCGCTGTAGAAACGTTACTTCATTAATTTGCTCCACATCTCAGAGAGTTAGGAGGGGACAGAAATAATTTTTCTTCCTTTTGCAGGTGATGAAGCTGAGGCCCAGAGAGGTTTTGACTGAAATAGGGGCGCACAGCCAGTGAGCAAGAAGCTTTCAATATAACTTCATTTACCAGCCTATGCACCCTTTTGTTTTATGTTATGATGGACGCTACTCAAAACCAAACCATAGAATAACTTCACATAAACAAATGGACTTAATGAAAAATTTTTTAAAAAAAAGTATCAACATTCCAAATCTGTGAAACAGTGGTGCTGTTTTTCAGATTAAAATCAGAATTTTCAGGTTCAAAGAGACCTTAGAAATCAAAAACTTATTGCTCTTTTATTTTATACTGGGGAAAATGAGACCCAGAGGGAGTAAAAGATGTTCCCATGTTGTCCAGCTAATTGGAGGCAAAGAGACCAGTTCTCCTGACATTTTGTGACCTTTCTACTAGATTCAGAACGACAAATACACTTTCCCATTCTGTGCCTTAGCAGACATCAATAATTGATCACCCTATAATTTTCTGTAAAGCCCCGTCAGGCAGTCATAATGAATTACTCAGAGTTGACACTAGAAATAAAACCTGTTTGCCATTCATGATATTAAAATGCTGAATACAATTTTTAAAGCTGCTGATTTTTGATGGGCACATTGTATATGCCAGGCATGGTACATGTAGTATTTCACTGCAATCTCACAACATCTCAATGAGGTTGGCATTATTACAGATTTGAAAACTAAAGTTAAGAGAGATTCTATAACTTACTCAAGATCACACAGCTAGTAGGTAGTAGATTAAAGATCTGAATCTAGGTCTTAAAAATTCACATATATATGCACATACACATACACATGTATATGTACACACACATATACACACATATACACGTGAATTTCACTTAAACCTTCTCTATTTATTTTGAATACTCTCTTTTGAATACAATTTTTAGATCATCTTCATCCTATTTTTTCCCCTTCTCTTATCTTAACTTTGGATACGTGAGTTTTTCCTTGCTGAATTTAACAATGAGATGAGATGCTCCAAGTTCACTGAATTTGAAATTCAAAGCAATTCTCTATTTTGCAGTCTCCACTCAGTTGTGATTTGCTGTAGGTCAGAAACGGCCTCTTCCTGAAAGGCGAATTTGGTAGCACAAATAAACTATCTTTTGTTGGAGATTCGTTGTGTGGCCTTCTCTATACACTACTCCCTCACCCCATCCATTTCCAAACCCCTTACACAACTTCCTCTGCTTCCCTATCCTCAAAGGAACATGAACAAACTCGGCCCTGCTGTGTATGGCATTTTAAATGGAGCTGGGGCCAGGCCAAAATAAAGTATTCCAGCATTTTCTAACAATTCACCAACAAAAAGACTGAGAAGGATTTATAGCAATTTTCAGTTATATGTAAATATCACCAGGGTAGCTTAAGAGATGAGGCATGAATTCTCACCCTTTTGTTTTTATCTTGCTCTATCAAAAGGGAAAAATAAAAATAAAAACAAAGACCTAGGAGAAGTGAAAGTTACACTACCTAAAAGGATTTTTAGCTGTCTCTAAATTAGTTAACAGTCCACCCAAGTCTGCAGGAAAATTTCAAGGAAGATCCCAACAAAATGCCCTTTCCTGGACCCAGAAATAAATCCACAGCGATGATCTTTCTTCAGTAAATGTGACCAGTTTCTGGTGACCCAGCTTGGCTCCTGGACTAGAACTTGGGAATTCCCATTAATGCCTCACAACATTAGCACATGGCATTAGGCCTGCTTACTAACAAAAGGACCCAGCTTTTAAACACTGTGGGTCCCTCTCTGTTGCTTGTATCTGAAGTTAAAGGAAATAAATGGCCCCAAATGATCCTCTTCTAAGAGTAAACTACGTTTATCTTCCCGGTAAAGAGGTGAAAACAAACATCCTTAGTGTTTGCATATTGAGAGCCGAGATTCTAGTTTCTCTGGTGGAAGCCAAGCACTTGGTTTGTTTCTAGACTGTATTTAAACAGCTTCAGATGCCTGGTTTTACCTGGTTTCTTAGAAAGATAAACTGACTCCAGGCCCCCAAGGGTGTTGACTGTAACAGCCTGCTTTGCCAATGTAAAACATAAGCTGCTGCGAAGAGTTCATCCTATCTGAAGGCTAGGGCGTCATCAGCAGTTTATTCTGCACCTTGTTAATACTGAGAGGTATTTAATGTAAACTCTGAATTATTAAAACCCCGTATGGCTTTTAGAAACACAGCTGCACCTCCCGGTGTCTAGTTGAAGTTCCCTTGTTTGGTCTCTAACAAAATCATGTAGCAGTAATGTGTTGGGAAGAAAAGGTAAATAGTTCTTGATTTCCTAATTTTTTTACAGCTGTGTTTGTAAACACGTGGTTGTTTGGTTTGGTAGGCAAATGCCATTTGAGATGCTTTGGTTCAATCATATGGCTGCCATCACTCAGGAAGCACTGAGTCCACGCAGACAAACTGCAAGGAAAATCTAATCAATATAGACAGCCAATCTAAGTAATTGAACAGAAATACATATATACAGATATACATATAACCTATACAGATAACATATTAAGACTTAGGGAAGAGAAACAGAGAGACAGAGAAAGAGCGAAAGATTGAGATTCCTCCTGTGACCCTTTGACAATGTGGAAAGACTCCTCAGGGGATGTAGCACTGGGGGTAGATATTGTGTGGCATTTCAACAGGCATAGATGAGAGAGAGGACATACATGCCCCTGCAACATGATTTTTAAAGAAAAGCTTTGGATGTCTGTGTGTAATTTATACACCTGTTTCTCTATCTGCGCCCTTCCTAGTTTTGTTCTGGCTTTTCTTTTGATACCCTAATATCCTTTCTACACTTTCATATTTTTCCCAAACTGTAATTATAGGAGTTCTGTCCTTGTGGGCATATTTGTGTCCTCTATAACTCTGTACACAAGATCATTGTGCCCTGGAGTATGATATGAGTTTAGTAAACATTTATTTAGTTAAAATTGTCTACCGTCTACTTCTCGTCCCTTCCTTTCTATCCGCACTCTAACTGCTGTCACTCACCCATGGTTTGGACATAAGATGTGATCCACAAACACTTGATGAAAACATGGATGGAGCAACTTGGTGACAGTGATATTAGGAAACAGTGCCCGTAGCTCTGTAAACATGACCACCTTGTTATATCAAGTAGTGTGTGAGATGTTTGGTTCTTGGAACAGAATTCTAACACCCAGGCGCAGGCTGAACCTTTGCTGTTTGTAATCTCATTGAGTAATCTCAACAACCCTATGAAGTCAGAACCATCCTCTTGGCATTGTAGGTGACACAAATAAGTCTATAAAAGGGGAAATTGCTTGCTCAAGTTCTCTAAGATCATACACAAGGGAGTCAGGAGTTGTACTTCTGCATATCTCACTTCAGGTCCAGAGTTCTTGTCTGTTCAACAATGAAGGCATTATTTCAAGATTCTATTTTATTCCATAGCAAACGAAGTACTAACTAGACCTCTCCTTAAAGAACCCCTGATCCCTATGTAGTATATAAGAAGAAGAGCAGAAGCAGAAGAAGGAAAATTGTCTTAGTCCATTTGGGCTGCTATAACAAAAATGCTATAAACTTGGTTATTTACAAGCAATAGAAACTTATTGCTCACAGTTCTGGAGGCTGTGCAAAGTTCAAGATCAAAGTGCCAACAGATTTGGTGTCAGGTGAGGGCCTGTTCCTCATAAGCAGCACCTTCTATGTGTGTCTTCTCATGATGGAAGGGTAAAGGGCTCCCTCAAGTGCCTTTATAAGGGCACTAATCCCTTTCATGAGGGAGCAACCCTCACCACCTAATCAGCCTCCAAAGGCCCCAACTCTTCATATCATCATTTGGGAGTTATGTTTCAACATGTGAGTTTTAGGGAGGGAGACACAGGCATTCAGACCATAGCAAAGGTAGAAGGAAAGAGGGGGGATAGAGTATCCGCCTCAGTCAAGTGCCTGAGCTGGCTCACATAGGCATACATTTTCTCCAGACAGTTTTGTTCCCACATGAGTTGCTTCCATACACTTCCAGCTGCTTAGTGAATAAAATAGTGCAGAGAATTAAAGTTTATCAAGTGAAATCTAAGTGGGAAGGCAAAAGGTGCTGGAGAATGTATTGCAGAGTCATCTCCATGCAACAACCACAAGCAACACATCCCCATTTGTGGATGTATTGCGTGTGGTTTTTCCTGCCACTGTTGTGATTTCTGAGTGCATAATTGAGAGCTGTCTGTAAAATAGTTTGGATATCTGTCCCTGCCCAAATCTCATGTTGAATTGTAATCTCCACTGTTGGAGGTGGGGCCTGGTGGGAGGGGTTTGGGTCTTGAGGGTGGTTCCCTCATGGCTTGATGTTGTCCTAGAGATAGTGAGTTCTCAGAAGATCTGGTTGTAAAGTGTGGCTCCCTCCCACTTCCCCTACACTGTCTCTTTCTCCCTCTTGCTCTTGCTTTTGCCATGTGAAGTGCAAGCTCCTGCTTTGCCTTCTACCATGAGTAAAATTTCCCTGAGGCTTCCCCAGAAGCAGAGCAGATGCTGGTGCCAAGCTTCCTGTACAACCTGTAGAACCGTGAGCCAATTAAATCTCTTTTCTTTATAAACTGTCCAGCCTCAGGTATTTCTTTAAGGCAGTGCAAGAATGGCCTAATATACCTCCCTTCTCTCAGCTTCTGATAGGGCAGTGGTACTCCCAACAGCACTGTGAAAAACAAGGTTTGGCCTCAAGTGTCAGCCTGGTATACAGCTGTCTATGAAACTTTATTGTAGAGAAATCTTTGCTTCCTCCATCCACTCTGAATGCCCATTTCTTGCAAGTTGGACCAACTTCTATCTTCCAGACAAGGTTCAAATCCAATTGGCTAATACCTTAGTTATCCTTGAACGCTTGACAGGGATTATCAGAACCCTGTCTATTATTCAGCTGAATAGAAGGCCTGGCTTATGACCAAGAAGGGCAAAGGAGGCATGGGAAAGTGCTCCATACCTGCCTGCACCAGGCTTTGCTGCAACAGCCTGCCTGTTATTAAAAGCTCCAACTTTTGAGGTTCCTGTCTGGGGAGATGAGAATGTTAAAAGTGAAGTAACTTTCATGAATTTAAGTTGGAAACATTTTAGCAAGTTTTACATTTAGTAACTTTATAAGTGAAGGAACCAAAAATATGCCTTTAGCAAGAAAGTTTTGTTCCTTTAAATAAAGAAGCAAAAATAAAGCCCCAAAGATATTGAACATAGGGGATAGCTATTAATTATTTTGTAAAGGTATACAGTAGTTCACATTCAGAGATACAAAATATATTTTTTCCCTTTTGTCTCATCCTTAACTTCACCTACTGCAGGTGTGATCTGTCTCTATCCTTTTCCATGTCCCTTTCATAGCATGACTATTAAACTCGCTTCTTACAATCTGACCCCTTGCCAGGCAAAATCAATCCCTTGTATTTCTCTGCATCCCCAATGGCCCTGCTACATCATGCATTGAAAGGAAAGTCACTTTGAAAAAGGGCAATGAGATTCCTTGCACTGGGCCCAGTTCTTCTGTTACTATTAAATTAAACTGTTTATCCCATTACTGCCACTCAAATTTCTGTCTGGAGGCTGAAGGGGCTGCAAGTGTCAAGTGGAGAAATTGGATCCTAAGCCCCCACTCCCCCTGCTCCTACATTATGCGTAGGACCAGGTGGCCCTGAGTGGGGAAGGACAAGACCATGGCAGACTGGAGGGCCACAAGGTCATGTGGGTATCCCCAGGCCACCAGGGCAAGGTCAGGCAGTTTTGGACACTTACACCGGCCTGATTCCAAGAGGCTAAATATTTTGAGAGGTGGAGGAGGGGAAAATGGGAGGGAAAGGAAGCAGTCCACTTTCAACCCATCCTTTGCTCACTGTACTCCACTGCAGAGTGAACTTTCAAGAAAGCAAACTCGATCAGCCCTGCCTCTGCTTAAAACTTTCAAGGATCCTCTTGACTTTTGAAGAATCATAATGTGGCCACAGCCCACATCTCCGGTCTGGCCATTCCTGCAATTCCGAGGACCTACTGCACTCTCTTTTATCTCCCTGTTTTGGCACAGGCAGTCCCCTCTGTCTTGGCCTCCCCTGACTTCTCAGCCTTGTTTGGTTAATTCCCATGCATCCCTCGTGTCTCAGCTTTGGTATTGCCTCCTCTGGGATACCTCCTCAGATCCCACCACCATCTTCCTATTCTGGGATATGCACTATGGTCTGTATCATGAATTGGAAAACTTTCTCTAAAGATCCAGATAGTAAATATTTTAGGTTTTGCCTTGCAACTACTCAGTTCTGCCATTAATGTACAAGAGCCTATGCGAATGAGTATATTCGTGTTTTATTAGAACTTTATCGACAAAAACAGATGGTAAGCTGAATTTGGTCCATGGGCTGTAGTGCGTCAATCCCTACTTTATATTTTTGTAGTTTCTTAAGATTTAATGTATTAAGACCTTAACCAGAGAGCATGAGCATCTTGGGGACAAGGACTAAGTAAGTCATCTCTTCACTCCCAGATGACCCAAGGCACGCATGATGTCCTATGGCAGTTGAGTGCACACGTGTGTGGATGAAGAAACTGGGAAGGTTTAGTCAATCAGTCAATCGATCTTCTATGACTACTTCCCTCTTTCACAAGCAGTCCTCTCTCTTAGTATTTTCTAAAATATTAAAATTGTCTTTGGATTTGGGGTAGAGAGGAGGGAAATGGAGTAGTTAGCAAGAAGCTTGTCCTTTTCTGTTCTCTGAAGGGGAAACAAGGACACAGGAAATTTCTTCCTGTCAAATCTCCAGGCCCTGAATAATTGGCTCTTCAAAAGATTCCAGATTATACTTGGTAGGCCTTCCAGCTCCCAGATTGCTGGCAGGATCTGGTCAGCATCATTCCTTGGGCCTACACATCAGGGCTGTCAACGAACGATCTGACCCCTCCAATATCTTGTTGAGGCACATTTTTGTCCATTGATCCTGTTGAATTTCCAGCAAACCTGGGTAGCTCCTGGGCAAGCATTTCTGGCTGTTTCTTTATGCTGTGATAACTAGCTATGGTATTTGAACAGGCCTGGGTATCTCCAGGGACCTTATGGGGAGTAAAGGATTCCCATCTGTCCCCCAGTAGCTCACAACCAAATGAATTTTAAAATGCTCTCATTCTATAGCAACCACCACTACCACTGTCATAACAGAAACCACCTCCTAAAGCTCTTTGGAGGGGTAGAAGGAAAGAGAAGAAAGAATGGCAAAAGCACGGTGAATTTTTGCTCTTTTTCCCTGCCCAGTTCACGTCCCCTTTTTTCTGGTGTAAGTACCTTTGTTTTCATATGGGAAATCACTCCTTTACTCCTTTCTCTCTCTCAGTTCATATGGTCTGTAGAAGATAAGACCTAGCACTATGATCGAGAGGTGTGTGCATGATTCAGGCCTCGCCAGTCTGTGTGTTCTATCTCCCTGGCTAGAGAGGCTATTTCAGAGGGATTGGCCTGTGGCCCACGTCAGGCTCATCAGAACAATTTTTGGTACTTTTGGTGGAACTACTGGGAAAAATTAGGTGAACTAAGGGGATACTATATAAGTTAAGAGTAACCAGCAGCCACTTAGTCAAAATAGGTGGATGCAGGGTTGAGAGATAAAGAAAGTCAGAGTTCTAATGGAATCTGAGCCCCTGATCCAGCCTTACCTGAACCTTGACATCCCCCCTGAACTTTTCAGGATTGTGAGCCAATAAACTACCATCTTTGCTTCAGTTAGTTAGAGTCAGGTTTCCGGCACTTGTGACTAAAAGAATCTTCACTACTAGAAGGAGTGTTTATATACTCAAAGTACTTAAGACAGAATGTTCTAACTTACAAAAGCTTGGGATTCCCCATTCTAAGAATAGAATATTCTGCCATCAGGTTGGCTAGTATTTCATTTTGACGCCTCCTCCTGTGATAAGCAAACATGTAAGTGGTGACCCACTTTCTTGCATGGGACCTTTGTTAGAGCCAAAGATAGACTGGAGATAATTTGGGTCCATGAAGTTAAATGCATTAGGAGCCAGATGCAGTGATGTGCACCTGTGATCCTAGCTACTTAGGAGGATGAGGTAGGAGGATCACTTGAGCCCAGGAGTTTGAGACCAGCCTGGGCAACATAGTAAGACCACATCTCAAAATGAAAAATAAAAAATAAATGTGGCAGAAATGGCCTCCACTGATCAGTCATGGATATTTCCCTTTAGAGTCATTGGGTAGTAAAGCTGGAAGAGACCTTAGACTATCTGGTCTGGCCTCCTCATTTGACAGAGGAGGAAACTTATACCCCTGGAGAGAATGTTTACTGAAGCTGCGTATATACTTTAGTGGCCAAGCCAGCATTAGAATTTAGGTATCCAGACTCATCCCTTGATAAAAAGCCTGCAACTGTGTGCAGGCTTAGAGAGGTGCCATGGGAGATGAAAAGGAAGCTGCATTTGGAGTCAGAAAAGGTATGCATGACCTTGGACAAGTCACCTGATCCTTTGAAGACCCAGCTCCTTATTGGGAGATTAGGGATGGAATTAGCTCTTTGCATCTCACAGGGTTGTTGTGATGAACAAGTGGTAAGTTATGGATAAAAGTGCTCTATAAACTCGAAAGTATGATTTTTGCATTCAGCCAACAAATGATTGGAGGTCTACTCTGTGCTTGATACACATATAAGGGTCAAACAATGCATGAAGTCATGCTCATATGAAGCTTATATTTTAGCACAAGGAGACAGAATAGACAAAACAGAAAAACGTTAAGTCAGGATGTGTTACGAAGAAAAATAAAGCAAAGAAAGAGGTACAAGGGATACAGATGTAACTAGGCTGGGCAGGGAAGCCTCACTGGGAAGATGACAGTGGAGCATCACCTACCTAAGGAGGGAGAGAGAACCAACCCTGCAAATGGAAGAAGCTGCTTTGTAAAACACACCTTCCTTCTGTGAAGTCATAGTTTCTTAATGAATTCCAAACTCTTGTATCTACTTGGTCAAATAGCAGTAAGCTTTGCTCAAATATATGTGTGATTGTACTTACCAAAGTGGCAATAATAATAAGTAGAGGAGATAAAATAATAGGTAGAGGTTTGGAGCATGGGAGAGTATAAATTGGCATATTCTTTCTTGAGGGGAAATTTAGCAATAGATCTTTTCTATTCTTCCACCCAGAATTTCTCCTTCTAGGCACTTGGACTAAGAAAATAACATAATTACATGTTACATGATTTTTTGTAAAAGTAATTACTTTAAAATGGCCCTGGAGAGTCCACAGTTCTTTCAAAAATGTGTGCAATGACTTGGCTACAAAAATATTCATTATCTCAGCATTATTTATAACAGTACAACATTTGAAACATCTTAAACATCCATCTCTTTGGAACTGGCAATCAAATATGGTATTTTCACCAGAAATTCCAGGAATGGCTCAGTTTGGGCTGACTTGGCTTATGGACCCATCCCTAAACTAGTCTTTATGACCAGGAAAACAGAAATTACTGCTTGGTAAGAAGCAGTTCTATGCAGCCATTAGAAATGATATTGTAGACATTTGTCTGTATTTGTCTAAACATTATTCACTTAAAATGGGTGCATTTTGCTGTCTGTGCATTTTATGCTCAATAAAGTTTATCAAAACAAAAAAAGTGAAACTATAGGATTATTTATGGATGTTATTATTTGTTCACTTATTTTAATAAATTATTCATTTAATTAATTCATTTAACCAATCTTTCTCTGAATGAACACTTAGCTTTAACTCTTTTGCAAGTCTCAAATATTGCCATTATCTTTCCTTAATGTGACTCTTTTGACACATATGTAAATATTTCTCAATGACAAGATGCTCAAAAATGAAATTGCTAGGTCATAGGATATACGCATTATTAGCTTTGTTTCACATTCCTATATTTCATACATGCTACAGTTACATGTTGTATGACACATTTTTCAAAAAGTGACCATTTGGTCAACAAAGTTTGTCCAAAACAAAAAGGTGAAATGATAGAAGTACTTGTTTACATGAGAGATTTTTATTTGGGAAAAGCATAAATCACAAAATGGATGCACTATATTACCTAATATATGTCACATATAGGTTAAAGCAAAGTCTACAAAGATAGACTTCAAAATATTAAAAAATGTTCTGAGTAGCGGGCTTACAGATTATTTTTATTGTCTTTTTTATTAAGCAATTTTTTACTGGAAAAATTAAATCATGCTCCTGGTTTCAAAAACATCATAGTACAGATGAATACAAAACAACTCTAGCTCTTTCAAATAACCATTTTTTTAATAGTTTCTCAGGTATTCCAATTTTTTCTATGCATATACAAGCACATATCTGGGCATCTGAGGCTTTCTTGATATAAATAAGCCTCTTGTGTACACAAATAGAAGCAAACTGAATACACTATTCTGTAACTTGATTCTTTTTCTTAATTCATCTTAACTCTCAATCAATATCAGCACTTATAAATAAATCTGGGTCATCTTCAAATGTTTGCAAATTATTTCATTGTAGGGATGTCCTATAATTCATTTAACCAATCTTTTTATGAATGAACACTTAGACAGTTTTAACTCTTTTGCAAATCTCAAATGTTGTCATTATATTTCTTTAATATGCCTCTTGTGGCACACGTATAAATATTTCTCAGTGATGGATACCCAAAAATTGAAATTGCTAGGTCACAGGATATATGGATTATTAGCTTTGTTCCACATTCCTATATTTCATATGTGCTACAGTTACAGGTTATATGACACTTTTAAAAAAAAGTTACTTTAAAATGACATTGAAGAGACTAACACAGTTCTTTCAAGAACCCTCACTTAGCTAAATGATTTTTCCTTTGACCCTGGGAGAGAAGGGCCCATGTGCTGGACCTGTAGAACCATGCCCAAAGGACACATTCTTATTAGTTTGCCAATTATTATTATTGGTTTGAGAGGATGACGGGCTGGAATCTGAAACAACAGCCTCAATATATAGTCCATCTTATCATGCCAGAAAATCTCAGGACTCATTACCAAGGATGTACACCCATTTAATAAAGCAGCCAGGAAAGACAAGCTGCTGACTGTAGGAAATGGGAAGGTACTGCTATATCTTTGGCATCAAATTGCCCTGAGAGAGGCAAAATTGTCAGAAACCCATAACACTTTCACAGCCTATTAAGAGTGGCATGACAGGCTTGGCGGAGGCTAAGAAAAGAGGAGATAAACTTGCCTGAAAATGAAAAAAGTGGTTGGACTGAAATGCCATAGACCTTCATTTGTTCAGGCAGAACAGCTTAAAGTTATTGAATCTGATTGCCAAGCAATGTAAATGAGCCAGGGTTGAGGCAACACACAAGTGACAGACAGACAATTCTCATTGCAGCTGGGATCTTAGCAGAAATCTGTTAATTGTGTGTTCAGGGATAACATCAGAAAAGGGCATTAAAACAACTGACTAAACAGGATGAAATGAAAGCATATTTGGCATGTTCCCTCAAAAGACAGGAGGGTAAATGTTGGCAACTTTCTTCAAATGGCGAGAGGAGTTTGCTCAGAACAGCCAGACACGGGATTAAAATAACGTGATCCAACTAATTATTTTCCACTCCTCGGTATGCCTCTTAGGCCGATAATCTTTTTCAGCCTGTTTAAAAATATATTGTTTGCTTTGTGATTCCACCTCTAAAAATTGTTTGGTTTGCAGTATGTTTACACTGATACCAGAAACTAATCTGAGAAGATTAAGTTACATGAGGAAATAACTCAGATATTAGATTAAATACACTGAGAGCAGTAGAGCGTTTTCAAAATAACTGATAGAATGAAAAGCTTCAGATATGTGTGGACATTTTCTGTGCTGCCCAATATAGGAGCCACTAGTTATATGTGGCTGTTTATCAAGTAATTAAAATTAAATTAGAAATTCAGTTCCTCAGTCACACAACTCACATTACAAGTGCTTAACAGCTATATGTGGCTACCGGCTATTGAACAGTGCAGATCTAGAACATTCTTCTCTTCATAGCAAGTCCTATTGGACAGCATTGGATCAGACTTTGGAAATAATTCTCGAAAACTCTTGTTTGGCCTGCTCAATTTCCACAGATTCCACCCATATTTTCTGAATACCACCACTAGTTGCCCCCATCTTATTTTCTTGCCTCACACATCACCTGGTGAAAGAATATGAACAGCAATCACTTGACTAACTGGAAGCTCTTGGAGGGCAGACGTGATGTCCCATCTACCATGCCTAACACAATGTGTAGAACAAAATCAGCTTTCACTGAACGTTTATTGAATGATTTACCGATCCAATGAGGAAGGAATAAAAAAGAGAGAAAGTATCTCATGTCAGGATTCAATTTATTGTTCTAGACAAAGTATCATCTTATTAAAGGATAGATATCAAATGATAAGTCAGAGTTTAAGCAAGGGTAATTGGACATTAGAGACAGCATTGCTTTCAGACCCTAGTACAGCCTTTTTCATTATACTTCTATAGTCCAAAATATTTTCTACCTAAAAATTGGATTATTCTTTCCCCAAGGGAAATATCAACACAGAATGCCACTCTGAGCCACCTTTAAAAAAAAAATTCATTCTCCTATTTGATTTTGCACTTCATCAGCAGCCTTCCGCATTTCAGTTCACTTTCAGAAGATAATGTAATTTCCCCAAATTCCAGAACCTAGAGGGCCTACTTCATAGTACCATCTAGGTAACACTGAATTTTATCAGAAAATGCTGTCTGAATCATCTCATTGAACAGGTTGCATTTACAATGGTGTTCCGTCAACAGATAATCCCATGCCTGATCTGCGGGCTGTCCTGCCAGTGAAGAAGCTGGTGGCTCTGGAAAGAACACAGGCCTTGCACTCTCCAGATATGGGTTTGAATTTTGGCTGTCACTACCATCTGTGCAAGTTATTTAACTTCTACATGTCTCGGTTTCTTCTTTCATGCCACTTAATTTGGAGTATTTTTGTTAAAATTCAAAATAATGCCAGCAGTGCACTGCCACCTTCAAAAGTGACTGACCCATAGTAGGCCCTTAATAAATGATAGCTGCTCTTACAATTATGATTGGTAAATAACTTGGATCAAAGAGCATGGTTTTCCTCAGATGAACATCTTTTTTTGAAACTTGTCCGTGGATTTAAAATTCTAACTCCCTTTTGAATTCTTCCATCACCTACAAATGAATAACCTACCAACTTCAGTTTATCTCTTACTTGCTGTTTCACCCTAGGTTGCATAACAGGGTGTGATGGGCAAAATTCTAAGATGACCTCATGATGCTCACCCCTTGGTGTTACTCCTGTGGTTACATGGTAAAATAATTTTGCAGATGTCATTGAGGTTCCTAATCAGTTGACTTTGAAATAGGGAGATTGTCTGGCTGGGCCTAATTCAATCACATAAATTCTTTCAAAGCAGAGAGTTTTCTCCAGCCGGTGGCAGAAGTTAGAGAGATTCACAATGTGAGAAGAATTTGATGCAAGAGACATACCCCATTGCCTGCTTTGAAGTTGCAGGAGGTCTTGTGGGGAGGATCTGAGAGCAGCCCCCAGGATCTGAGAGGAAATCACAAGCAGGCAACCAGCAAGAAGAAGGTGACCTCCATCCCACAGCTGCAAGGAACCGGATTCTGCAAAATTAGAATGAGCTTGGAAGTGGATTCTTCCCAGAGCCTCCAGGTAAAACTCCAGTCAGGCTGGGGCCTTCATTCCAGCCCTGTGAGACCCTGGGTAGAGAACCTCTACAGGTAGCCACCAAGACTTCTGACTTACAAGACTGTGAGCTAACAAATGAGTGTTATTTTAAGATGCTAAATTTGTAACATTTTCTTTCAAAACAATAGCACGCTAATACACAGGAGGTGGAGGTGGGATGTAGAGAGAAAGAATTTGGAGTGAAAGAAGACTGGGGCAGCTCAGAAGAGAGCAAAGAGAGAATGCCAGAGATTGAGACAAGGCAAAAGTAAATGAAAATGGAACTGGGCTGGGCGCGGTGGCTCATGCCTGTAATCCCAGCACTTTGGGAGGCTGAGACAGGAGGATCACTTGAGGCCAGGGGTTTGAGACAAGCCTGGGCAACATAGTGAGACCCCTGTCTTTACAACAGTAAAAAATAAAAACCAGGTGTGGTGGTATGTGCCTGTAGTCCCAACTACTTAGGAGGCTAAAGTTGGAGGATCCCTTGGGCACAGGAATTCGAGGCTGCAGTGAGCTCTATGATCATATCACTGCACTCCAGTCCTGGCAACAGAGTGAGACCATGTCTTTTAAAAAGTAAAAAATAATAAATACATAAAAATAAATCAATGAAGCTGTAGAAACATCACCTTTCACAGTAAGTGTAAGATTGTGCAATGTGCAAAAATCACAAGCATTCCTGTACACCAAGAGTTAAGCTGAGAGCCAAATTAGGAACAAATTCCCATTCACAATTGCTGCAAAAAGAATAAAATACCTAGGAATACAGCTAACAGGGAGAAGAAAGATCTCTACAAGGGAGAACTACAAACCACTGCTCAAAGAAATCCTATTAAACTACCATTGATATTCTTCACAGAACTAGAAAAAACTATTTTAAAATTCATACGGAACCAAAAAAGAGCCCAAATAGCCAAGGCAATCCTAACCAAAAAGAACAAAGCTGGAAGCATCACGCTACCTGACTTCAAACTGTACTACAGGGCTACAGTAACCAAAACAGTATTGTACTGACACAAAAACAAACATGTAGACTAATGGAACAGAATAGAGAACATAGAGAACCCAGAAATAAGACCATACACCTATAACTACCTAATCTTTGACAAACCTGACAAAAACAAGCAATGGGGAAATGATTCCCTGTTCAATAAATAGTGCTAACTGGCTAGCCACATGCAGAAGATTGAAACTGGAACACTTCCTTCCACCAGATAAAAAAATTAACTCCAGGCTGGGCGTGGATTACACCTGTAATCCCAGCACTTTGGGAGGCTGAGGCGGGCAGATCACGAGGTCAGGAGATCAAGACCATCCTGGCTAACACGGTAAAACCCCGTCTCTACAAAAAATACAAAAAGTTAGCCGGGCATGGTGATGGGTGCCTATAGTCCCAGGTACTCGGGAGGCTGAGGCAGGAGAATGGCATGAACCTGGGAGGCGGAGCTTGCAGTGTGCCAAGATCATGCCACTGCACTCCAGCATGGGCGACAGAGTGAGATGCTGTATCAAAAAAAAAAAAAAAAAATATTTACTCCAGATAGATTAAAGACTTAAATGTAAAACCCAAAACTATAAAAACCCTGGAAGACAACCTAGGCAATACCATTCAGGGCATAGGCACAGGCAAAGATTTCATGAAGAAGATGCCAAAAGCAATTGTAACAAAAGTGAAAACTGACAAATGGGATCTAATTAAACTAAAGAGCTTCTGCACAGCAAAAACTATGAGCAGAGTAAACAGACAACCTACAGAATGGGAGAAAACTTTTGCAAACTATTTATCCGACAAAGCTCTAATATCTAGCATCTATAAGGAACTTAAACAAATTTACAAGAAAAAAACAACCTCATAAAAAAGTGGGCAAAGGACATGAAAATACACTTCTCAAAATAAGATATATATGTGGCCAAAAATCATATGAAAAAAAGCTCAACATTAGTGATCATTAGAGAAATGCAAATCAAAACCACGATGAGATACTATCTCACACCAGTCAGGATGGCTATTATTAAAAAGTCAGAAAATAACAGATGCTGGTGAGGTTGTGGAGAAAAAGGAATGCTTATACACTTTTGGTGGGAGTGTAAATTTGTTCAGCCATTGTGGAAGACAGTGTAGTGATTCCTCAAAGACCTAAAGACAGAAATACCATTCGACCCAGCAATCCTGTTACTGGGTATATACCCAAAGGAATATAAATCATTCTATGATGAAGACATATGTATGTGTTATGTTCATGGTAGCACTATTCACAATAGCAAAGACATAGAGTCAACTTAAATGTCCATCAATGATAGACTGGATAAATAAAAGGTGGTACATACACACCATGGAATACTATGCAGCCATAAAGAAGAATGAGATCATGTCCTTCGCAAGAACATGGGTGGAGCTAGAGGCCATTATCCTTAGCAAACTAACACAGGAAGAGAAAACCAAACATCGCATGTTCGCACTTATAAGTGGGAGCTAAATGATGAGAACACATGGACACAGAGGTGAACAACAGACACTGAGGCCCTTTGGAGGGTGGAGGGTGGGAGGAGGGAGAGGATTAGGAAAAATAACTAAGGGGTACTAGGCTTAACACCTGGGTGATGAAATGATCTGTACAACAAACCCCCATGGCACAAGTTTACCTATGTAATAAACTTGCACTTGTACCCCTGAACTTAAAATGAAACTTAAAAAAAAGTTACTTGGGAAAAGTTAGTCCTCAAATAGTCAAGTTACAGTTATAAAAATAAAAATGAATTACACATTCCCAAAAAATAAAAATAAAAAAAATGAGGGATTGTGAAAGTGCAGAGAGGCAAACCTTGGATTTGCCTAGAGACAGAAAAGTATTTCATAACAGAGGGAAGATGATGTGAAGACAGCAGGGAGAACACCACATGAACTTGAAGACAGCCCTCTACAAGTCAAGGAAAGAGGCCTGGAACAGAACCTTCTCTTACAGCCCTCAGAGGGAAACAACCCCGCTGATATGTTGATCTCAGACTTTGAGTCTCCTCATGGAACTATGAGACCATGAATGCTGTTGTTTAAGCCACCCAGTCTGTGAAGGTTTTCTTTTATGGTATCCCTAGGAAATTAACATGAAAATTTGTTTCAGTTTGCTAGGGCTGCCATAGTGAAGTACCACAGGTGCCTTAAACATTAGAAACTTCTTTCTCTGTTCTGGATGCTGGAAGTCTGGGATCAAGGTGCCAGCAGGGCTGGTTCCGTCTAAGGGCTGTGAGGAAAGGGTCTATTCTAGGCCTTTCTCTTGGCTCATAGTTGGCTGTTTTCTCCCTGTGACTCTTCACACTATCTTCCTCTGTGCTGGTCTCTTTGCCCAAATTTCCTATTTTTACAAGGACACCAGTCATACATACCAGATTAGGGTCTACCCCAACGACCTCATTTGAACATGATTACCTTTGTAAAGATGTATCTCCAAATAAGGTCATATTCTGAGATACTAGGGTTTAGGACTTCAACATATGAGGTAATGTGAATTTTAAGGGTAATATGTTTAAAATATATTAAAATACTTGCGGCTATAAGGGAAGTTTGTGGTAAGCAGAACCTCATGTTGAGATGGCATGTCCTGAAGCCCATCTCAATACTGCTGACTCTGTGACCTTGGGCAAGTCATGTCACCTCTCTGTACCTATTTCCTCATCATTAAAATGTTATCCTTTCTAACACTCAACTATGTTATTGTATTTTATCATATTCTATCATGCTGTGCTTATTAAGGTACTTAGCATTATGCAGAACCACAGAATGAAATAAGACCATTTAATTCAGCAATCACTTAATGCATACCTTCTATAAGCCAAGCACCATGCTAGGTGATGAGGACACAGAAATGGGCCTAGAACAGCACTTGACATAAACAAGCTCTCAATCTGGGATGAGTACAGTGGGTCATGCCTATAATCCCAGCACTTTGGGAGTCCAGGGCAGGAGGATCACTTGAGTCCAGGAGTTCAAGACCAGCCTGGGTGATATCAGGAGACCCTGTCTCTACAAAAAATTTAAAAATGAGCCTAGAGAGAGACCTTGTCTCAAAACAATAACAGCAATGAAAACAAAAACAAAAGAAGGTGGACTCTAGGTGTCAGATTTTTAAATTGGCAAATGAAAGAAAGTCAGCACATTAATTGTGAGAACTGGGTATATAATAACTCTCCTTTTCACTCTAAAGTCAGTGCACAAATTTGGAAGGATTCTAAACCTTCTAAGATCAGAAGAATGAACACTGTGAAAGTGGTGTTACTGAGCAAATTGTGTTCACTGCCCAATGTGCACAGAAGCCAAAACCGTGGCACCAGCTTTTGAGAAAAGAAAGGGTGTACTGCAAAGCCAACTGCCAAGGAGACAGGAAGCACAGCTCAAATCTATTCCCTACAATGTTTTAAGGAGTTGGAGGACAAGAGAAAGGAAATAGAAATGTTGGCTTGGCAGGGTCTTCAAATTTGGAGGGCTTCAAATTTGATCATCTGCGGTAAGGTATGTTGAGGCAGATTTTAGCCCTGGGTGTTCTGAGCCAATGGACCCCTCACTTTTGTAAAAGTTCCAGAGTTCAGGTGCCAGTTATGTTGTTTCTGAGGTCTTCTTGGTTCCATGAGGAGAATGGGAAAAGGTCTTCTTGGTTCCAGGAGGAGAGTCCTCAGTTCTGGGTATTGTTAGAGGCCAAAGCTTTTCCTATTGCACATGTCCTGGCTACATGACTTACAGGCTTGGCTCTTATACCTGCAAGGTACCTTAAGATTCTGTTATCAACAGAGTAGGGCCAGTTTGGGCTGGTCCTGCAGTTACAGGGTCACAGTTGGAAGGGAACTAAAATGTATTCATGATGGATTATATATCAGATAGTTTATGTCCATCCTTTTCTAATACTCATAATTATTCCAGGCAGAATTTGTCTAAGAAAAGCCAAATCCAAGAGCTAAAGTCAAGGGAGAAAAATCAATTTCTACAGCAGTGGTATTTTGGGAAATTTCTGTTATTTTTACCTTATATCTAAGCATAGTAGAACCACTGAAAAAAAATTATATTTTTAAAGGCACCATCCATGAGCATAAAAGCTACGTGCAACCTAAATGCATATAAACACCAATTGCAGCTTTACCGTCTATGAGTCAAAGTTTAATGGCCAATCTTAAACAGACAAATAGGAGCAGAGTAACCGTTGGAAAAGATGAAGATTGGATTTAGAGCTGGAAGGGCTGAAGTCTGCCCTAGACATTTCTAATGACTGCTGCACAGAAGATAAGTGATCTGTGTCTTAGTTACAGACTTGAAGGTAAATTGGACCCATTAAAGGATAATTTGGGAAGCAACAGTGATGATGATAATGCTAATGCGGCAATAATAGCATTCCACTCTGACCTTGGCTGGGTTATGGTTCCAGCCAGCTTCCTGCAAGCCCAACCAGTTAGCTTGCACTAGCTTTCAACTGCTAATCCTCATAGCATCTACGTTCATCCCCAGAGTTGCTGAGAGGCAACCTCCTACCTCTGAAATGAGTAAATAAACATGACAATGAGACCTTCAATGAATGCCCACCCATGGTTATTGTGAAGGTTTTGGGCCCGTCTGTTCAGGACAGATTTAAGGGGCCTTTGCCATTTACTGAAAATCCATGTTGAACAGGAAGACTTATTGGAGCCAGTGATTCTAAAACAATAAATACAAAGGACACGGAGTCAAGTCCAAACCCACACAAAACCGCCTGGCAGGTTGCAGAGCAAATCTAAACACACAACCTTCTCCAGGAGCAAACGTAGAAAAAAACCACCATGCTTTTGTCTTTCCATCCCAACTATTTATAAACATTCTTTTAGCCAAGCTTCAGTTTTAGCTAACTTTCATGCAGGATTTCTACATTTATCTGGAATTAAAAACAAAAGATTACCTTTATCAATGCATTCAGACAAATCTAGGGTTGTTTGTTCACTTTTTTTTTTTTCACCCAGTAACAAACCTGGGGTCAGAATTTTGGAAATAAATTGAGGGGCAATCATTTTGTGGACTAGAAATATGGTGCAATAATGGATTTCTCTGATAAGGAGAAAAATACAACACTCACTCCTTATCATCTTCTTTCTCCATTCCTGATCTTCTTCATTTTTCCCCTTGTAAGGCTTTTTATTTTTGGTTGCATTTTCAAACAGATAACTACTTACTGTCATAGGCTATTTATCCTCAGTGAAAGGTTGAAAAAGGTACAAAACACACCCCGCAACTGTACTTGCCAATAATTTCTGGATCTGTTTGGGGCTGATCTCATCCTTATCCTCCCTCCAGCACCCATCAAAATAATGGATGGTATAACTTCTCACTAGCGATGCCGGTATGAATAGTAACTTGCTGTGGTAGGGATTTTTTGCTTTTCTCTGATTAATAGGTGTTCAGGAATCATAGTCCTTTCACTGTTTTCTTCAGATTAGGGGGAAAGCTGGGCGCATAGGGTTGGAGTCTGAGGGAGAAAGGGGAGCTTTTTGGATCATGATGGAAGGAGTTGCTGTAGTTTACTTTCCTCTTGCAATTTCACCTGATAGACAGTACAGCTCGGCTGTGGAGAACATGGACCTGAGATCAGACTGACCTGTGTTAAGTTCTTGCTCAGCAAAGAGCCACATAACCTCTTCTCAGTCTCAGTTTCCTCTCTGGGAGGTAGGCAATTAGTCCCTACCTCACAGGAATGGTGAGAGGTCTAAATGCCATAATGCCAGAAAGCCATTAGCAAAGTGCCTGCTGCCTATACACCTCTGTGCCGTTCAGGATCCCTGGGAGCCTGGGCTCCTAAAGTGAGCTCTTCAGTCCAGCTGTGGTTAACTAGATGCTGAAAGGGGGGGCAAAGAAGAGCTGCCAATTGCTGAAGGAAGGAGAGGGCATTTTTAGGTTTTAATAGAGGGAACAATTAAGAGAAAACTTGGGTGCTGGTATGGTTTGGCTGTGTCCCCACCCAAATCTCACCTTGAATTGTAATAATCCCCACTGTGTCAAGGGTGGGGCCAGGTGGAGATAATTGAATCATGGGCGTGGTTTTCCCCATACTGTTCCCATGGGACTGAATAAGTCTCATGAGATCTGATGGTTTTACAAATGGGGGTTCCGCGGCACACGCTCCCTTACCTGCTGCCATGTAATACATCACTTTGCTCCTCATTTGACTTGCACCATGATTGTGAGGCCTCCCCAGCCATGTGGAACTGTGAGTCAATTAAACCTCTTTCCTTATAAATTACCCAGTCTTGGGTATGTCTTTATTAGCAGCGTGAGAACAGACTAATACAGGTGCATAGGCACTAAAAGTGATAATGGAATTACTTTCCTGGATTGAACTGAAAATGATGTCACCCTTAAATAATGAGATTCAGAAAATATAATTAGTATAGAGTTTATTGCAGCCCCTAATGGAAGATGGCCATCCCAGAGCATAGACTCAAGTTGCCTTGAATATACTTTGATTAGCAACAGTTATAAATGGCTTTTTAAGGAAAAAATGAAGAGGCAGTTCCTAAGATGTTTACCAAGAATTTACATTAAAATAACATAAGCTATTGATTGGCTATATACATTGTTCTCTGCATCACAAATTCCAGAAACAAGAAGATAATGGGTAAGGCCACTATTAAATAGGAACAAAATGCCTATAAACAATTGCTCCCGGACATGTGTGTGGAAGGGCGTCATGCATGAAGTCCCATGTTCATGTTTCTCTGAGACTGATAAATTTTACATAGCTCAGATAACTCAGACTCCTCTGAGCTATTTTTCTTTTCTCAATGTTTACAAATTTGTGGTCAGATTTTCAAAAACAAGCATGATAAACTATGGACAAATTCTATTCTCATCCTCAAATTGTCAAACAGAATCATTACAGCTCAGTAGTTCTCAAAGTTCAGTCCTTGCAGCAGCAGCACCAAGGGGCTTGTCAGAAATATGAATTCCTAAGCCTGACCCCTGACCTAATGAATCAGAAGTTATGCATGTGGAACCCCAAAATCTGTGTGTTAACAAACCCTCCAGGTAACTGTGATGAATCTTAGAGAAACAACTACCTTTTCTTTTCCTCTTTCACTAAATTCCTAACTTAAGAAAAAATCCTCACTTTTCTAATCTGACAGCTGGTAGAGTAAGGCTGAGCCATCCTTGAAAGAAAGTTTTTAGAATAGGTGTAAGCAAGCAGAGTTTTATGTCTGTGTGCCAGAAGTGATTGGTTTTTCTGAGGAGCAATTAAATCTAAATAATCAGACCTCTTCTGAAAGGCTTTCTACATATGGATGCTAAATGCAGTTCAACCAACGTAATAGTATGTTTGTTCGTTCTATGCTTTGCTTTGTTTATTAGAGATTAGCACTAGGAATTAGTAGAGAGTAGGCTTTTAATCCATGAAAACACTGTCACCAAGAGTAAAAGATGCAGAAGTGCAAAGTGTTGATCTCCCAATGGGTACCGGCCGTAGAGTCAGATTTGCGCCATGCCTAGCTCTAGGGATGGGCCCCAATGAACTAAATGTAGGGTAATCCTCTCTCCCTTACCATAGTGATCGGCCAGGAAACCCAGCCTGGCCAATTAAGACAGGTATTCCTGTAGCACCAGATCACAGTAGTCCAAGGTGGGGGTGGGGGTAGGGGAGTATTGCTAGAATTAAGACACAGAACCTCCATGTTAACAGTGTGTGGAGGTGGGGAGCTGTCTAGCCCCCAGGAAGGATGGCTACCTGCTGACAAAGTTGACATGGCATCCTAAATGTTAGTTGCTAACTATTATCAATATCCTTCCTCTCCTCACCTACCCAATTCTTGTAGAGAATAAGATGTCTATAAGAGCTTATGAGCAGGGCAGCCTATGGGAAAACAAATAAATAACTTGCCACAGAGACTAGAGAGAAAGAAATACTCAAGAATTTCCAAGAAAAAGAATCAGAAGAAAAATGATTGGAAAAAATGTCTACTGACCTGGTTGGTAGTACAAATTCTAACAATAAAAAATCTTGAGATAGTAATTCAAACGTAACTCTCCCACCTTACCCATGGGAGGGATGGGAGGGATGGGAGTGGTTAGGCAAGCTCTCAGGAGGAGGTGAAGCTCTTGAGGTGAAATCTCAATAATAACACAGAATAGAAGGAAAGACCCTCCTAGCAGGCAGAGATCCTGAAGCAAATGAAAACATGCTAAGTTAACGACTGGAACATTACAAAAAAGCCAGAGGGACTAGAACAGAGAGAGTGAGAAGCATGGTACAGGACACATGGCACATAGATATGAAAAATGATTATGGACTTGATCTCCCCTATTGAAGTGATAATTGTTCAAGAGATGGTCAAGGGCTAGATCACACAGGCCTAGGCCATGTTTTGGTCTTTATCCTAAGAGCAACAAGAAGCTACAAATTGAAGGGTAGGTATGGTATTATGATCAGTTTTGGAGGGAGACAAGTCAAATGCCTAGTTATCATCACTCAATGACAGACTGTTGGAAATGGTGTAAAGACTTTACAACATCTCACACTCTTAGCAAGAGTCCAAAGGGTTTCTGCAATGGCTATGATGATTCTTCGGGTTGACTACACATTTGAGGAAAATAGAGACAAGTTAGCTTCCAGGTACAGGAAGCCCCAAACAGACAAACCACCCCAAAATTTGTTACTAGTCCTTCTTGGCACCAGACCCTGCCATAGCAATGAGTTGCTCCCCATCTGATGAAAAAGACATTCCCAACTGAAATTTTCCTGTTGGGGCTCTCGTCCACAGACCTGCAGCTAGCTCACCAAACCAACGTTGTGTCATCTGACAATACCAAAGTAATTTACTACCTCCAATAACTATTTTCCTCCATTTTTGTTTTTCTTTGTTTATTCATGTTTCTGAAACTAACGTGGGACTCAGAATCATTATACACATTTAATGAAAGATTTTCCTTTACCTGATGTTAAGAAAAGGATGTCTCATAATTCATGATATCTTAAGGAAATGCCACAGAGTTAATGATGTTGATTGTTTAACTCTCTCTTCTCATTTTAATAATGTGTTATATTGCACATTTTTCTCACTGATCTGCCTCTTTAGTTCTTTTCTCTTCCACTGAGCAGCGAGCTCCTTTAAGGACAGAAACTGTGTTATTCATTTCGGTGTATTTCCTCTTCCCTCCAACAAATAGTACCGACTACGACCTGACACATAGTAGGTGTCAAATATTTTTTGAGTAAATGGGTGAACCAATAAGTGATCAATAAAATCATAAATGAGATTCAAGAATATCCTTAAAAAATCTCTTGAAAAAATATAGATTTCTTTTTTCTCTGAAATATGGGCTGAATCTGTAATACCCCACCTTTTTTAGTAGTTACAATAAAACAAGCACTGTGCTGTGCTGTGTATGCAATGTCTCATTTAATTTGCAAATGAATCCTCAACTGACAGTATCATTTTTTTTTTCACTTACTAGCATATATACTGAGATCAGTGATTATTTGTTCAAAAATAGCCAGCTGTAAGTAGAAATGCCATTTCTCAACTCGGGCCTAGCTGACTTTGCAGCCTATCCTCTTAGGCACTGTGCTGAAATATTTAAAACGCGCCCATTTCAGACCTAAGCTTTAAAATTAAAAAAAAAAAAAAACAACAACAGATTCCTCTGAAAGTCCAGTCTTTGCACCTTTTTCCATTCTTCTGGTATTACTGTGATGATGGGATCTGGTTGCTGAGTCAGGAACACTCCACGGTAAGGCATGGATTACCTCCAGTTCCTTTGTTGCATAAAGACCCAGCTCAGGAAAAGATACACATGGTAATAGAACTGTTTGCATATTTCCCTCTATCCAGGGGATTTTCTTTTATCCTATTCCAAGTGGGTGAGGTTTATCTTCACATTTCAACTTTGAATGCAGAAATGTATTCTTGCCAAATCAGACACCGCTTTTCCTTTGGAAAGAAAAGTGGAAAGAATTACAAGACACCATAATGAGATGATGGTACAAAATATGCAGCCTAGATTAAATTTAATGGGGAGATACCAATGTGTATTTAGATTATATGCCAAATCACATTCCCTGAAATATGCTGCTAGGAACTGCTGGTTGTTCCCTAATACTTTCTCTGTAGTCAGAGACATCTGATTTTTAGCGGGATTCCTGACCACCCAAAACAAAAACCATACTTCTCAGAGCTGGGGGCCACATGGTTGGGGCCAGGTATCTTAAGTCTAGCCAACAATCCATAAGTGAAAGCATCATGCAGCAGTTCTTTTTTTTTTTTTTTTTTTTTTTTGAGACGGAGTCTCGCTTTGTTGCCCAGGCTGGAGTGCAGTCCTAGCGCAATCTCGGCTCACTGCAAGCTCTGCCCCCCGGGTTCACGCCATTCTCCCGCCTCAGCCTCCCGAGTAGCTGGGACTACAGGTGCCGGCCACTACGCCCGGCTAATTTTTTTTTTTTTTATTTTTTTTTATTTTTAGTAGAGACGGGGTTTCACTGTGTTAGCCAGGATGGTCTCGATCTCCTGACCTCGTGATCTGCCCGCCTCGGCCTCCCAAAGTGCTGGGACTACAGGCGCCCGCCACCACGCCCAGCTAATTTTTTTTTTTTTTTGTATTTTTAGTAGAGACGAGGTTTCACTGTGTTAGCCAGGAGGGTCTCGATATCTTGACCTCGTGATCCACCAGCCTTGGCCTCCCAAAGTGCTGGGATTACAGGTGTGAGCCACCGTGCCGGCCCATGCAGCAGTTCTAACAGCCTTTCTGAAAGGTCTGCTGCAGTGCTTGTTTTGCACCATCTCTTCATCTCTTCTGATGGCTGGAATTTTAATGAGATAGCAGGAAGTAAAGCAGCCATCCTGGACCATGAGGTCAGCTTCAGAATGGAGGCTAGACACAGTGAAAAGAAATAGAAAAAGTCTAGGTACCTGAGATCTTTATGAAATAGAACTTTTAAAGCAATTCCAGTCTACCCTCCAGATTTTGACATGAGAGAGAAATAAACTTCTATTTTGTGTAAACTATTATTAACAGTTTAAAAGCTTAAGCCAAACCTAATCCTAACTGACACACATGCCAACAGCATTCAGAAAGCCCTTCATGGTAAAGTGGTCATAATACCAAGTTAGTAATAACGGCCTGCCTACAAATATGCGTGTCAAACTTATACCATCCTTATAATGAAGTCCTGTTATCTTTCTTTTAAGATATGGATATTTTATGCAATTGCTACTTGGAATTATGATGGAAATAGTGGTCATTTATTGAGGGTCTATGAAGTTACAGAATCAATAGAAAGATAAATAAATGGAACACCAAAAGAAAAATCAGTAGTTCAGCTGCTGAGTAAAAGGCAAGAAGGAGAGTCACCTAGGAATTAGGGAAATAAACAAACAAATAAAAAACTATGTTAGTCCAACCAGAAGTGGAATTTGGGGCTGGGTGCAGTGGCTCACACCTGTAATCCCAGCACTTTCTTTGGAAGGTCAAGGTGGGAGGACTGCTTCAGCCCAGGAGTTGTAGACCAGCTTGGATAGCATAGCAGGACCCTGTCTCTACAAAAAAAAATTAAAACTTAACTGGGCATGGTAGTGCATGCCTGTGGTCCAAGATGCTCAGGAGGCTGAGATGGGGCAATCACTTGAGCCCAGGAGTTCGAGGGTACAGCAAGCCAAGATTGCATCACTGCACTCCAGCTTGAGCAACAGAGTAAGAACCTATCTAAAAAAAATAAAGAAAAAAGAGTGGAATTTGGAAGCAAGCTTGGGTCAGCCCACTGAGATATGTCTAGAAATCTGTCTATAACAATCTGCTTTCTACACCTGAGAAAAGAGTAAGGGTGGGGGCTTGTAAAGCTGTTTTTCCTCATCTGACCCCATCTATTCTCTACAAGAGCTGTTCTCAAACTGGGGATTCTATTAAAAATGCAGATGCTGCTTCAGGAAACCTGAGTGGGTCCCAAAAATGTGCCTTCCTAAAAAGCTCACAGATGATGCTCATGCTGCCAGTCCATCTACAGACCAGGCTTCGAATAGAAAGGCTACACAACTGCCAACAAGATTTCTTTGAAAACTAAATCAGATCGTGTCATGCCCTGCTTAAAAGCCTCTATTGGCTTCCACGGCAATTAGAGTAAAACCCAAGCTCTTTTCTGTGCCCCAGGAGACCCACCAAGACCTGGACCTGGCACTAGCCCCAATCACTGACCACATTTCTACCCACTCCCTGCCTTGTCCACACTCCTCCAGCCACACTGGATTTTCTTCTTGCTCTAAACAGGCCATCCTTATCTCAGGACCTTGTTTCATTTTTTTTTAAAGGGCACTTATCAATATCTGGAATTCCAACTTACTCTAAACCTGTAGAATATAAACTCTTGGAATTTAGTCTATAGTATGTACCATTGTATTCTCAATATGTAGCACAGTGCCAGCTAGAGTAGGAATTCAATACAAATGAATGTCAGAAGCTAAAGGTTGGATCACAAAAATAGTGAAAGTAATTGATCCTAGGGCACAAAAATTTAGTGGACAAAAGGAGCTTGAAGACCGAATGATAATGCCCTTATCTGCAACACACACATGCACGCGCATACACACACACAGCGTACTGTCCTAGAAGAACTGACTCCAATTTAAGTCAATCCCTACAGCAAACAGCATCAGAACCAAACTCCCAAACTCACAGTAGATGATTCATCCCCAGAAATGTCTGACACAACAAAAGTCCATGACAACAAATGCAGCTGAACACTGCCGTGCTGTTTTTGTAAGTGCTGGCCTTTGAGCCCCAGGGAAATGCTTGTGTGATACTGACGATTTCTGTGGCAGAGGAGATTGAGCACAGGGTCACCCCAACTGAGATGAATCTCTGAATGTGGCACCATTTCCCAACAAAGCCCTCCTGAAGAGAGTGCACCCAACTCTTTCTTCCTGCCTCCTTACTTGTAATGCTCTAAAATCCAAACAAACATGCACAGTCCAGAAAGGTTAGCCAGCTCGTGCCATGGAAAATGGCCATCACGTGTTTTCTTTCGACTCACCCCCCATTCCCTTCCCAAGGGTGGAAATAAAACATTTTGAAGGTCTGAGAACATTCAAAACAAGCCATCATTTAGAAGTAACGACTGCTCATGCTATGCACATAAATAAAAATCCATACTAAGCTTAAACACATTTATAAGGTCTTCGTAAAGACTTTGCCGTTTCTCTATAAATGTCCAGAAAGATTAATTAAGAGCAGGATGGCTCATCCATCTAGATTGATTAAACATATATTTAAGGGTCAGACTGGAAACAATGCCTAGATACATTAACATACAATTTTCCCACAGTCATTAGTCTATTTATTTTACTGGCTGACAATATTTCTGGAATTAAGTCTTGCTAATCTATGTCTGGAAGGAGTGATGAGACCACCCAACTCCCCATCCAAGAAACCATCTTCTCTCACTTTCCAATACTAGCATTCTTTCCCCAAATTTTCAGGCTCCCTTAAGCTTGGGAAGGAATCAAGATATCACAGTATACGGAGAATGTGCTGCATTCCACTCTCAGCCCACTGCCTCTCCCATTAGTCCTCTGCACAAGGTCTCTGCCCTCTCAGAATTTATGTCTCCCTTTTTTACACTGTCTCTTTTCATCAGGGCACATTTTCCAAAAATCATTTGGGAAGTAATGTACCCTTTCCAAAAACAAAGCATTGAGTACATGCTGATATTTAGACCTAAAGAATAATGGCTAACCATGTGCAGCATAGCGTGTTACATCCCTCATGCCCTTTATCTCAATTAATATTCACAATATGTCTGCAAGGAGTCTGGAATGTAAGTATTCATATCCCTATCTCATGGGTAAGGGAAATGGAGGTTCAGAGAAATGGAAAATATTTGGCTCTTTTCACCCAGCTAGAAGGGAGGGAATCAGGCCTCACATCTGACTGAGTTGGAGTGTCAAGCCTATGCTCTTGACTCCGGGGCCCTGTTGTCTCACAAATGCCATATTGAGTCTGAGTCAGTTCTGCTTCTCCAAGGTAGGCCTCTGGGGCTCCAGGGTGAGCAGTGGAGGACTGGGAATACTTTCTTCCCATCTGTGCCCCTAGTAGGGGCGCATGCACACTCATCGTGTATCCAGACACATTTGTTGATTCTTAGAACACACATTACTTTGGTAATTTTCCTTTGGCTGGTCTTTGGTTATGGTGGCCAACTCTCAAACTTTATCTAAGCCATGTTTATTAGCATAACTTTTAGGAGGTTTCTTAAAGAGCCGATCATACTTCCAGACTGACCACACAGTTCTAAAACAAGTCTACCAACACAGCTCTAAAGAAAACAAGACACTCTGAGTAGAAAGTAAAAAGAACCAGGATCTAATCTTCCTCATGAAGGTAATGCAAGGCTGGATTTGAGGGGAAGGCTTGGGTTCAGGTCCCCAATGCACCACTGTCCTGGAGCGAGCTAGTTACCTTCTTTAAGCCTCAGTTCCTTTATCTGTAAAAAGAGGTGGCTAATTTATAAGGTAGTTGAGAATATTAAATGAGATAATGAAGGCAAGGCAAGAAGTACCATGACTATCACATAGTACATGCTCAATCAATGAGAACTATTATTATTATTGATCCCTGCATTCAGTTCCAGGTAACATAAATAATAAATGGTGATCATGGCTGGCCATCTATTGAAGGTTAACTATGTGCCAGGTGTTGTTCTAAGCACCTTACTACCTTAACATGTAATGCTCACAACAGCTCTGTGAGGAAGTGCTATTATTCCCGTTTTACAGATGGATATACTAAGGTCCAGAGAAGTTAACTTACTTGCCCAAGGCCACATTGCCAGTCTTTCTCAGTGCCTCCTTTGGAAACAGGCACTTTAGCTTCAGGATGCGCTCTCTTAACCATAATGCTACGCAGAAAATAGTTACACAGCCATAAATCCAATGGATAAATTACTAAAATAGAAGAGGCAAGATGCCTTAAGATAGGCCCATATGTCTCCGTTCCTGCTCTTCCTCCCCTCCCCTACCCCACTATTTGATTTTTTAGCCAACACGTAGGTAAAGAGAAAATGGAGGGGAGGTTTGTTCCAGAGCTTATTCTCAAAAGTGGAGCCTCTTCAACAGTTTTTAGGATAGTATGATGATATCATGGTTGCTAAGACAACAATGAAAAACCATAGAGAAGCATGATGAAAGTAAAAGTGTTACACACAAAGAACAGTGGCATAAGCCCTGCATTTCTCCAGTTTAGCCCATCTCCCAGGCTCACTCTCCCCATGAGAGACCTGCTATACCTCTGCCCCTACCTCCTCCTCACCTCCAACCATCAACTTTCCCCAGGCCTCCAGTTTCACACAGCTGATTCCTATTCACTCACCAGATTTCAGCTTAGACCTTGCTTCCTCCAGAAAGCCTTCCTGGACCCCCCTACGCACACTCCACTCTGTCAAGATTAAGTGGCTTCTCCTGTGCTCCTGTAGCATCCATCATAGTTTTGTCAGTTCCTATTGCCCTTTCTGGGTCTTTTAATGGTCTATAAGCTCCATGACAGCAGGTTCTACATCCAGCAGGCATTCTTCTATATCCCCAGAGTCTAACTTTGTGCCTGACAGACAATTAGACACTTCAGGTAATATACATTGAATGGTACCTTTGCCAACTACAAAGCATGTCCCTTCTTTTAAGGTTCAGAACTGTGTAATAAAATTATTAAAGATCAAGTTTTTTCATGATCTGAAAGAGATATAGACAATTGCAGAAAAGTAGCAGCAGCCAGTCTGTTTTTTAGGTCACTGACTACTATAGTGAAGGTTTAACAGCATTTGTTTCTGAACATTTTTCTCCAAAAAGACCCCCAAAATTCGTTCTTCCATTAGTTAAAATTATTCTACTTCATTTGGCTCCTTGTGAAGATAATGTTCAGGGGCTTAATTGTGACACTTCTCATTAACTTTCTCTCCTCTGGATTTAATAACACCAGCTTCTTAAACTTTCCCTTATAACAAATTATTGATAATTTCCATCGCTTCCCCACTTCTCCATATTATTCATCTCTTAACTCTGACTGTTAAATGTTATTAAAAAAACAAGTTTGAAGTTCATATTCTAAAATTTGTTCTTTGAAGGCTTAAAGACAAAAAAATAAAAACAAAAAATAAAAGTCCACATCTGTTTATCTACAAAGTGAGGAGTAAGATAAGGGTTCAGTTAAGGGTCATTTGTCTCGGTTAGTCTACCCAATTTTTTTTCCTATTTGAGGCTCATATTTTGAAACATGCTGTACTTTCTACAAAGTTCTAGAAGGCAGAGATGACGCTCTACTGAGATATTAGAAATCAATATTAGATATTAAGGTATTAGAAATCATTCTATATTCTTCAGAATGGCTGTATTTCAAATATTCTGCTTTTCCATGAGTGGACTCAAAACCATCAAATCCATTTCCTAATTTGAAGCTCAAAAAATATTGTCAGCCTACACATGGCATACACTCTCTAGGTAATGACATTAATCTCAATAGCAAACAGTGACTGCAGCCTCCGTCTATGGCTGGTGCTATGTTAGCCATTCCATAGGCATTATCTCTTTTAATCATTATCATTTTTAGGAGATAGAGATAGATGCTACTTGTGTCCCCATTTACAGATGAGAAAATCAAGGCTCAGAAAAACTTACACAGAATCACCCATCAGTAAACAGCAGGACAGGGATCCAACAAGCCTGTCTTAGAGCAGGTTCCAAGTTCTAGGCACTCTGCTTAAGGCTCTGGAAGCATTCATTTGGGGATTTTCTTTGTCTGTTTTTTCATGTGACCTCATCTGGCATCACGCTAACAGTAGATTCATCATAATAATTTGATTCTGACATGACGAAGCAGAACTGTATTTTCCTTCTTTCTTTATATATATATATATATATATATATATATAGAGAGAGAGAGAGAGAGAGAGAGAGAGAGAGAGAGAGAGAGAGAGAGAGAGAGAGAGAGAGAGAAGTTCTCACCATGTTGCCCAGGCTAGTCTCAAACTCCTGACCTCAAGTGATTCTCCCACCTTGGCCTCCCAAAGTGCTAGAATTACAGATGTGAGCCACCACGGAACTTTCGGACTTCTTTGGTTACACTATAAAATGGGTCAGCCATATTGGCAATCATGTTGTCAATATCTAGAAGTCCTGGGGACATGAATATCCTTCAGTTCAGCCATTATTCCCTGGGTAGTAAGGCAGATACAACTGGTCAACTGATCCAGCTTCCTTGTACACCATCCTGCCTTCTAGAAAGTTTCCTAGAATTGGCTAAGGGGCGAACCATGTGACACTGTGCTGGCCAGTGTGGGGTGTAAGTGAACATCATTCTGCCTCACTGAGTGGGGTTTCTAAGAAAACTTGTTTGTGAGGACAGTATGACTAATTGCTCTATTGGCCTTTTGCTCCTTTCCCTTATTCCTGACTAGAACATAGACATGATGCCTGGAGGTGCTGGAACTATTTTGTGACCATGAGAAAAACCAAACCTGATGATAAATGTGCACCTGTTAAAGATGGCAGACCAGAGAGAAGGAATAAACCTGGATCCCTCTGGCATCACTGAAGTGCTGTGACAGTCCTGAGATACCTATTGCTATGTTAGGAAGAATATGTGCCACTAATCCACTCATAGTCAGAGTTCTTTTCATGCATGGGCACAAGGTGACATACATAAATGTTTACGATATGAAAACTTGGAAACAAGCTTAAGCTTAATGCTCATCAATAGGGAAATGGATACATAAATTGTGGCATATTCATGCAATGAAACACCACATAACAACTAAAAAGAAGTTGATTTGGCAGGGCACGGTAGCTCACGCCTGTAATTCCAACACTTTGGGAGGCTGGGGAGGACAGATCACCTGAAGTCAGGAGTTTGAGACCAGCCTGGGCAACATGGTGAAGCGCCGTCTCTACTAACAATACAAAAATTAGTTGGGCATGGTGGTGCATGCCTGTAATCCCAGCTACTCCAGTGGCTGAGGCAGGAGAATCGCTTGAACCTGGGAGATGGAGGTTGCAGTGATCCAAAATTGCACCACTGCACTGCAGGCTGGGTGACAGAGCAAGAGCCTGTCTCAAAAAAGAGAAAATTAAAAAAGAGTGAATTAGATCTACACAGATAATTCTTGAAACCATAATGTAAAGTGGAAAAGGGAAATTGTGGAATGATGTGTTCAGTACAATACCACCTAAAAATATTTTTAAAACACATAGAACAACTCTATATATTGTATGGATATGTGCACATAGACTGAAAGTATAAAAGCAATGATATGGAGGAAACACATCAACTTTAGGGAATGAGGAAGGGGATGAAATTGGGAAGTGATATAGAAGTCACTTCAACTGAACATGTAGTATTTTATTTCATAAGAGTAATCTGAATCAAATATGCCAAAAATCTTAACATTTGTTAAATTTGGGTGGTGGCTATGTGAGTATTTGCTAAGTAATTGTCTGCATTTTTCTATTTTAAATGCTTTACAATTTTAAAAATTAAATGAAAAAAGAAACAGACTATTTTGCCAAATGTAAGGTGACCTGTAAAACAGTATATTTTATTATTGGCCATTATTGGTATTTTGGTATATGACATTACCATTGACCAAGAAGGCTGCATTGAGGAGTGAACTTCCCTTGGACCATGAAAAAAAAGGAGAATGAGAAGACGGCTAGGCAACAGTGTCAGGGGATGTTATGAACTAAATTGTGGCTTCTCAAAATGCATATGTTGAACTCCTAACCCCCAATGTTACGGTGTTTGGAGATGGGGCCTTTAAGGAAGTAATTAAGATTAAATAAGGTCCCTAGGATGGACTCTTCATCCAATAGGAAGAGAAAAAGACACCAGGAGCATGTGCACACAGAGAAAAGACCATATGGGGACGGAGCAAGAAGGTGGCCATCTGCAAGCCAAGGGGAGAGGTCACAAAAGAAACCGAACATCCAGCCAGGCGCGGTGGCTCACGCCTGTAATCCCAGCACTTTGGGAGGCCGAGGCGGGCGGATCACGAGGTCAGGAGATCGAGACCATCCTGGCTAACACCGTGAAACCTGTCCCTACTAAAAATACAAAAATTTAGCCGGGCATGGTGGCGGGCGCCTGTAGTCCCAGCTACTCGGGAGGCTGAGAGGGGAGAATGGCGTGAACCTGGGAGGGAGAGCTTGCAGTGAGTCGAGATCCCGCCACTGCACTCCAGCCTGGGAGACAGAGCGACACGCCATCGCAAAAAAAAAAAAAAAGAAAGAAAGAAAGAAAGAAAGAAACCAAACCCCAATACTTGATCTTAGACTTCCAGCCTCCAGAGCTGTGAGAATATAAATTTCTGTTGTTTAAGCCACCCAGTCTGTGGTATTCAGTATGGCAGCCCTAGCAGGCTAATCCCGGGGGGCATGTCTAGTACTGTGCTTCTCAATAGGAGATGTAATTGTGCAATGAGGGAAGCATTAGAAATTAGGGGTGGAGGTATTTTTTGGTGGCACAGAGACTGGAAGCGGAAGAGCCATTTAAAGGGCAGGGACCAAGGAGGCAAAACCTCTGTTAGTGCCCAGTTTAGTCCTCGCAACGAAAAATAGTTCTGTATCCCAAATGCCTTGAAAATATCATATAGGACACTCATATAGGTGGAACACCTTTATAATTACCTAAAGCTACATAAAAATGGGCTAGGTGATATACATTAAATTTTCCAGAAAAGTAACTACTCTATAGATGGAGAGGATTTCACTTTGTTTTCTTCAGAACTTTCCCAAAAGGTACCACCATTTTGAAAAATCATATCACTGACAGTAATACCCTTAATGATGTTTGAATTGTCCACATAACATAACATATCCTTATCAGTCTTCATCTCTAACTATTGTATACAGTAGGAGTCAGCAAACTATGGTGAGCTGGCCAAATACAGCCTACCATCTGTTTTTGTAAATAAAGTTTTATTGGAACGCAACCATGATCACTTATTTACATATTACCTATGGCTGATTTCACACTACAACAGCAGAATTGAGTATCGCCCACAAAGCCTAAAATATTTACTATCTGACCCTTTGGAGAAATGTCTGCCTACCTCTGGTATAAACAATGATTCTACATATAGTACTAACATCCAATTATTCCTGTACCTAATCTAGTTGAATCTTAGAAAATTTACCTATTAAAATATGCATGATTGTACTACAAGTTACTTCTCCTTTAAGTTCTCCTTTTTGTTATAGCTAGTACATTATGAGGTTTTTTTTTTCCTTGCAATTGTGTGGATTTCTATGTATCTGTGAAATTCATCTCAGGACAGTGAAGGCGGGGTGGGGAGAGTGTTTCTAAATATTCTCAGTGAGTTAAGAACAACTCTTCTAGACCCAGTAAACAAAGACCATAAAGGACAAAGTAGAGTCATATGATTAAGGAAGAAAATTGAAAACAGATGTCATGCTGGAAATGAACTGACTATAATCTCCAGGAGGGAAGCTACTAGGTTTATTTGTGCCTCTCTTAAATCAGGGCCTAGTACACAGAAGGTGCTCAATAAATACTTGCTGAATGACTCAATGAATGGAGGGATGGCTGAGACATATGGGTGACTGAAGGGAAAAAGACTGGAGTAGTGAGATTCTGTCCAATGCAGTCATCAAGCAGACTCTCAATGGTCATTTGCTGGGCAATTAGTAGAGCAAACTCCTTCCCACAAGAGGTAACTGACTAGACTAGAAAATTCTCTAGCTCCTTGAAGCTCCATTTCTTTCCTTTTTTTTTTTTTTTATTATACTTTAAGTTATGGGGTGCATGTACAGAATGTGCAGTTTTGTTACATAGGTATACATGTGCCATGGTGGTTTGCTGCACCCATCAACCTGTCACCTACATTAGGTATTTCTCCTAATGCTATCCTCCCCTAGCCCCCCACCCCCCGACAGGCCCTGGTATATGATGTTCCCCTCCCCGTGTCCATGTGTTCTCATTGTTCAACTCCCACTTATGAGTGAGAACATGCAGTGTCTGGTTTTCTGTTCTTGTGATAGTTTGCTGAGAATGATGGTTTCCAGCTTCATCCATGTCCCTGCAAAGGACATGAACTCATCCTTTTTTATAGCTGCATAGTATTCCCTGATGTATATGTGCCATTTTCTTTATTCAGTCTATCATTGGTGGACATTTGGGTTGGTTCCAAGTCTTTGCTACTGTGAATAGTGCCGCAATAAACAAACATGTGCATGTGTCTTTATAGTAGAATGATTTATAATCCTTTGGGTATACACCCAGTAATGGGTATATATATCTCATGCCAATTAGAAGCTCCATTTCTAAGGTTGAGATTTAACACATCACAGATGCAAGGTTCATTACCTGGAGCAGCAAGAACCTCGTTTAAATTTTGGACCTGAATATGATCTAAAGCTGTCAGGATCTGCTGGGTTTCCTGAACTCATCCCTCAACCAGTTACATGAAGCAAAATAAAGAGGGAGGAGGGTGTGGTAGTTAAATATAGAGACTCTGGAATCCAAAACAGACCTGGGTTGGAAGGTAGATTAATGGTAAAGATGGACACAAATATTTCTCATATACTTGAATGCACATCCCTTTGAAATGATGTTGCAGAGCTTTCCATCAGGAGGCAAAGTCTACTGCTCCACCCTTGGATCTGGGCTGGTGGAGTGATTTGCTTTGACCAACAGAATGCTGTCTGACTTCTGTGCCTAGGCTTTAAGAGGTCTTGTAGCTTCTGCCTTGACTCTCTCTGAATGTGCAGCCTTGTGTGATACAGTTTGGGCTAGCCCAGGGATCAGCAGAATATAGCCCATGAGCCCAATCTGGCATGCCTCCTGTCTGTAAATAAAGTTTTGTTGGAACCCAGCCATGCCCATTTGTTTCTGCATTTTCTATGATTTATTGTATGCTACAACAGCAGGGTTGAGCAGTCCCATCAGAGATTGAATGCCCTGCAAGGCTGAAAATACTATCTGGCACAAGAAAAGTTTGCTGACCGCTGGTCTAGGTGCTGGAGGATGAGACCCCATGAACAGAGGAGCTGTCCTAGTTTAAGTCTCCCAAGAATAAGTAGATCCCAGTTAAGCTACCAGATAAGTACAGTCCCATGAGTAACCCCAAGTGAGATCAGCAGAAGAACGGTCTAGATGAACTCAGCCCAAATTGCACACCCATAGACTCATGAATAAATAT
Source organism: Homo sapiens (assembly GCF_000001405.40). Lineage (NCBI taxonomy): Eukaryota > Metazoa > Chordata > Mammalia > Primates > Hominidae > Homo > Homo sapiens. The sequence continues at coordinate 64,730,984 of NC_000003.12, read as the reverse complement.
AATGGTTGTTTTAAGCCACTAAGTTTCGGGTTGGGTTATTCTGTGACAAGAGGTCACCAAGAGTGTTGTGGCCTTGGCTTTTCCATTAAGTGTATGTAGCAGGAAGTGTTGGTTCTTAACAAATTCTTTGATGTTCACTGCTTTGGTGCAGGCTGGCTGGCTTCCAACTGCCAGTATCTGGATCTCTCAGGCTGGGGGCTTTCTAGGAATCCCTGGTAGGAGTTTTGTCCAAACCGAAGAATGAACACACCACTTCCACATCATCCACCCTTAACCAATGGACTGGCAGAAGCTGGTGTAAAAATATACTCCAGATTTCTCATCCTTTGGAAGGGGTGACTCTGGGGTATCTGTTCTTACACTGTTTTCCAGAGTTTCCCTGTGGATTGACACTCTGGTTTCTCACTGGTATATTATGCCCTACATTAGCAACCTTCTCTTCCATGTCTAACTTTCCCATGGCCCTACTGGTACTTCTGAACATCTCAAATAAGCTCTTTTCACTTGAATCCTTGTCATGAGTTCTGCTTCAAGGCAGAATATAAACCAAGATACCGTGTAACCTGGGACAAGTTTCTTTATCTCCCTGAACCTTGGCTTCCTTATCTGTAAAATGGGAGTAATGAGAACAATTATATTATGGGAAGTGGCAGTGAGGATTTATTTGAGATAATACCAGTAAAGCCACAAGCACTGCCTATGGTAGTGATGAAGTACAGATTGAATATCCCTAATCTGAAATTCAAGATCCAAAATGCTCTAAAATCTGAACATTTTTGAGCACCAATATGATGCCACAAGTGGAAAATTCCACACCTGACCTCATGTGACAGACCTCAGTCAAAATATAGTCAAAACTTTATTTTATGCACAAAACAATGAAAAATATTGTATAAAATTACCTTCAGGCAATGAGTATAAGGTGCATGTAAAACATAAAAAAATCATGTTTAGACTTGGCTACCATCCCCAAGAGATCTCATTATGTATACACAAATATTCCAAAATCTGAAAAAATCTGAAATTAGCAACAGTTCTGGTCCCAAGTATTTTGAATAAGGAACACTCAACCTGTACATCATTGCTACCATGAGCAGTGCTGGCTGCTTTACTATCATTATCTCAAACAATTACTCACAACCATTTCCCATGATATAATTATTCCCATTATTCCCATTTTGCAGATAAGGAAACTAAGGTTCTGGGAGATAAAGCTCAGGCTCCTCTCTCTGCATGGACTCATGGTCAAGACCCCTCTAAAGATCCAGAATACTATTTAAAGAAAATCAAATACAGTCATGCATCACATAATGATGTTTCAGCCACGACGGACTACATATATGATGTTGGTCTCATAAGATTATAATACCAAATTTTTACTGTATCTTTTCTATGATTAGATACACAGATAATTATCCTTGTGTTACAATTGCCTACTGTATCCAGGAGAGTACCATGTTGTACAGGTTTGTAGCCTAGGAACATTAGGCTATACTATTAGGATAGTAGGCTATCCCATCTAGGTTTGTTAAGTACACTCTTTGATGTTGGCTGAACCTCAAAATCACCTAATGACACATTTCTCAAAACATATCCCTGTCATTAAGAGCCATGTGACTGTACCATTGTAGGGTGGCAGAGAGGCAAAGGACTCCATGAATTCAGTCACGGTGTGTGTGGGCTTATTCTGTCTCCCCAGTCACGTCCCAGTTCAGAAGTCTGAGCCCCGTGCGACAGATCAGTGTCTGAGGGACATCGTGGCTCCTGACTTCTGAGTTGGCACGCTGGGCTGGAGCCTGCTGCGTGCCTGACCACAGGAACCTGTCTCTGACAGGAAGAAGGAATACAGTCAAGGAAGTGTGGCAGACCTGACTCCAGACAATTGGAAAAACATCACCGTGCCTCACAGTGGAAGGTGAGTATGACTTCAACTGTGGCCTTAAAAAGAAATGGGGGGAAGGCAGGGAAAATGTTTTTCCTCTCCCTTTCAATAGAGAAGTTTATCTACCTAAAACCCTGTACTCCTTCTAACAGCCTATAAATACACACCCAAACCTGGAGAAAAAATTAACAACACACTTCTGCCCCACCCGGCATGTTCCATTTGCTCTGGTTCCTTCTGTTCTTGTTTAAAGGTTGGCTCCTTAACTCTCTTTGCTCATGACTTGCCCCAAGACATTCAGAGGTGTCTAGGGGAGAGCTGGTCTGCAGAACTTGCTCAGAATGTTCAGCTGGTCCCCACATCTGGATGAAAGGGCTCTATCAGACCCAAGATGAAGAAGCAGGAGGTAATGAGAGCAGAGTCGTGGATCACAGCCAGGCCAGGAATAATGGCAAAGCTATAATTACCCTGTAAGACTTCGGATGGAAGTGACTATTTTAGAACCTGACAACATCTCAATGACATCTTGGAGTCACATTCGGGAAAGCCCCTTCTTGCCACTGTTGTCTTCTTGTCATGCAATAGGATGTCAGTGTCGGGGACATTTCCTATCAGAAAACCATCAAGGGCTCTGTATAGAGCTTGGAGAAGCTTAAAAGAGTGCCATGGTGTATAAGCCTTGGCTCTGGCTAAAAATGTTATTATTTCTCCCTTTCAGGAGAAAATATTTTCATTCTGTTGTTCATTGAGTCAACACAATTTGGACAGTTTGTGGCCATGGGCTCTCCGATCACAGAACATAAAGTCTTTACCATGTATCTTGGTTTAGCCACACATCTATTTTACAGCCTTATAACTGTAAGTTAGTTGGGGAATATCTGTGGTGGAAAATAGAATGTGTTTGGGTTATGCAGCCAGAGAGCTCCTTGAAAACTTTAGGTAATCCAGCCTCTCAGAGCCTCCATTCCCTCATCTGTTGACACTGTGAACGCCTTTCCTCCCCTCCTAGGGCTCTTTTAATATAAAAGAGGAATTTTTGTGTCAGTAAATAAAGTTTTGTGGGAACATTAAAAAAAAAAAAGAAGAAGTGTAAAAGGAGAAAGGTGGGGGGGAGTTCCCAGCACATACTATGTGCCCAAGGAATGTGAGTTCCTATCATTACAGCATCCCTTATCATTCTTTAACATGTAGGAAAAAGAATATGGAGGTGGGTAGGGAAATGGCAAAGCAAACATAGACTATTGGCTGAGCACAGACTCTAAAGTTAGACTACTTGGGTTCAAATATTAGATTTGCTATATCCTATTTGTATTTTCATGGGTAGTTTACTTCATCTTTTCTTACCTCAGTTTCCTCAACTATGAGGCAGTACAAGGACTCAACTTACAAGATTGCTATAGAAAATCACACAAATGTGGCACAAAGTCTAGATAGAGTAGCCACCAGTAGAGGATAGCTGCTCCCATTAGTATCATAATGATTATTTAAAAATTATTATTATTGAAGACCAGTCTTTTTTCATGCCTAGGAACTTGAGCTGTCAATCACAGAGCAGGTACTTGGCAGCCATACAGAAGGACACAGGGCAGTTGGTAGCAATCGGGTGACTGTCCCAGACCAGTACACCTGTGTGAACATGGTGTCATTACAACCCTGGTGGCTCCCAATCAGCTGTGTAAAGATCAGCAAAAGAAATGCATTACAAATTTTACTTACGGCATCAATGTATATAAAGGCTTCTATTGGAAAAAATAAACTGGGCCAGAAACAAGGTTATTCAGACCAAGCACACTTTCACTTCTTTGCATTGTGAATCATTGCTTTCTGAGTAGGAGACAATGGAGTGGATTGCAGCTAGTGACGCCTGAAATTGCCCAAGACCTTGTGCTAATGATAATGATAAGCAATAATGATGATATGATTGCAGATAATGTTAACTGACTACTTATGCCATATGCGTTACTGCATTTAAGTACCTAGTTTTTTAAATCTGATACTCATCAGCTTTCCCTGTATTATCTCACCTGATAGAAGGAGGGAGAATATTCTTATTGTCCTTATTTTATGGATAGGATGACTAAAGCTCAATGAGGTGAAGTAACATGCTCATGGTCACACACTGGTATGTGACATCTGGGAATCTGAACTCAGCCCTGCAAGAAATAGGAGTCTCAAGTTTTATCTGTGCCAAAGCCCATATTTTGGGTATGCCCTGACTGGCAGGGCATGGAGTGAGAAGACAGATTTCCAGAGTGGACCTCGTTCATGGTTTCCTTCCTTTCCCAGAAAACTTCTAAAGAAGCTGGGAAGTGCTGAGAAGTCAGTAGACTAGTAAGTCAATTTCTTGACCCATCACAACCAAGAAGCAGTTTACTGGGCAGAAGGATACTGTATACCTAGTGATGAAATAGCGATTTAAAACCCTCACATTTGCATAGGGATTTGCACTTTGCAAAGAGCCTTATCTATGTCCTCTCACTGATCCCTTAAAAAATGAACATAAAACCACTGGAGACACAAGAAGAACTGGCAAGGAAGAAAACAGCTTAGAAACTCTAATATGCAGAAGTTACATATGAATGACTATTCAACCCAGGGCTTTGCAAATGTGATAAACACATGTTGATTTACCGAATAGCACAGCTACACTTACTGTAGTCTATTTTTTAAGAAGAAATGATTTTAAAGGACCTGGATTGCCCATTAGTTGTATGTCTGCAACACATTGTGGAAAGTTAGCCAGAAGAAACACTTCATCTCAAAGAAGTCACTGGGTTTCTTGCACATTGCTGAGCAGCTCTTTCTGCCACTCTCTTGGTGTGTACCAAGGACATCCAAACAACATCACTAATAACCTAAGAAAAGTCAAGTTGAGAAACCTGCTGGGCCTGAGGAATTATGATGTAAAATACATTCCAAAATCATCTAGCAGCAATGTTTTTAAAATGCCCACTTTAAAAAATAACATTGTTACCCAAATAGACATCTGTTCAACACCAATTACTCTGCCTACTAGCACAGATGGTTTTGGAATTTGTAGGATCAATAGGAGGAGGAGGTAAAGTGGAGGCAGAAACAGGGAGCCAGGAAGGAGATCTTGTGTGTTAGGCCAATCCTTTTCAAGATACTGACCAAGGGGGCAAAAGCCATACAGCAAAGGAACTGAGCTGTGTAAAGCCTGCTGCATTTAGTCACTAGCCAGGGGTGGGTATGCATGGAGAGGAGGTAAGACACAGCCAAGAGCCCTTTCGGCCATACTAAGGAGAGCTTAGGTATTGTCCTGTAAGCTCTAAAGAGTCAATGAAGAGATTTCAAAACAGAAGTGGCAGGATCAAGATTTGCTTTCAAAAGATTGCTCTGGCAGTGATGTAGCAGTCAAAGAGAGAAGGCTGTCGTCTGCTGTGTTTGAAGACCATGGTCCCAGCACTTTTAGCAGCCACAAAGAGCTTTTTAGAGCTGGGGACTTCTTCCATCGAATGCAGATCAGGAATAACTATGCCTGGCATTTGCATAGCCCTTTTACTTCTAAAACTCTCTCTTTCAGTTCACCAACCAACAATTTGGGGAGGTGGGCCAAGTGGAATTGTCCGCCATTCACAGATTGGGAAGCATCTGTAAGTAGCTACAGAACCACAGAACAATTTCCAGTCAGAGTAATTGTGTGCTACCTCTGCCACAATTAAGATTGGAATTTGACTTGTGTGGCTAGAAAACAAGGCATGTTTAAAACTCTGGGGAAAAAAAAGAACCCTCAATGTCCATAAGTAGAAATCAATACTAAATAATAACCTTAAAAACATTGGTTTCAAAAAACAAAAGACACACACAGCATACCTGAAAACCAAAAGGCTGCTAGCTAGGGATCTGTTTTGCAAATTTAAAGACATTTGATGGAAAGTACTATAATTTTGTGCATCTAATATGCATCACTTTTTAAAATATGTTCAAATATAGAACTTAAGCTTGCCTAGTTGTGCACATTATAACTCTTATCAAATTCTGCTTAGACTTAGCTTAAAAACCATTCCAAAATGAATTACAAGTGAAAGCCAGTGGTGTAATTCAGTTTGTTTGAAAACCTGAGCCCCAGGGGAGCTGATGGAATTCCCAGTCCAGAGGTGTGAGAACCAAGAATGCCAGCATGCAAAGACAGGAGAAGATGGGTGTCCCAGCTCAAACAGAGATCAAATTTGCCCTTCCTGCACCTTTTTGTTCTATTTGGGCCTTCAATGGATTGGATGATGCCCACCTGTATTAATGCTTTCCTGTACTCAGTCTACTGATTCAAATGCTAACCTCTTACCAGCAACACCCTCACAGACACATCCAGACATAGCATTTTACCAATACTCTGGGCATCCCTTAGCCCAGTCAAGTTGACACATTAAAATTAATCATCACAACAAAAGAACGTCCTTCAGCTTCAGCTCACCACCTCTTTCTGCACTTCCTCCAAAACATATCTATCTATACAGTCACAGCTTAGAAAAAGAGAGAATGAAACATCTTTAACATACAGTATAATCAACATGTTGAACTTTTGGTTTCAGCAAGATGAACCAGAAAAGGATTGGGCCAGGTTTGTAACATGGATCTATATAGTCAACAGAAATTCCAGGTGGAAGTAAACCAGAAAGGCTGTTAATGCTCTTAAGCAGCTTCCAGAGTGGAAGAGCAGTGTGTTTAGATTAGGCTTGGTCACGTATTTTCTCTAGGCCTCAGTTCCTCCATTGTAACATGGCCCTCAGGGCCCTAACGAATCTGGCTCCTAGCTGTATCTCCAACCTTTGCTGTTACCATCCTTTCCCTCACTCACTCATCCTCTGCCACGAGGGAGATCTAAATGTCTCCTGGACATGCCAAGCACACTCCAAACTCAGGGCCTTTGCACTTGCTGTCTTCACTGCTTAGAAACAGCTGTTCCCTCAAGTATTTGTAGGCTTACTCCCTCACTTCTTTCAAGTTTCTGCTCAAATGGCCTTTCTGCAAGAAGCCTTCCCTTGGTCCCTAAGAAGCATCTGCTACCCCTTAACTGTCTATCTGACCTTTCATGTCTGTTTTTCTTCACAGCATTTATCTCTACCTGACCTTATTTATTTTCCTGTTTATTGTCCACTCCCACTAGAATGTAAAATCTGTGAGTGCCAGAACTTTGTTCTTGAACCAATTCCCCAGATCTTCAAAGAGTGCCAGTAAACAAGTGGAAGCTCAATAAATAATTGTAGAAGGGAAGAAGGGAGGGAGGAAGGGAAGGAAATCTCATTGCTCCATTTTTTTCATCTAAATTTCCAAACTGGAACCATATTTCTAAATTATTTCCATTGACTGGCCTATACTGGGCAATTAATTGATTAAAATAAGTAATAATAATTACCTCCTTTTAAAATTTTTTAAATTTTTGTTTGTGGTAAAATATATATACCATAGAATTTACCATCTTAACAGTTTTAAAGAGTACAGTTTAGTAACATTAAGTATGTTCACATTGTTGTGCAACCATCAGCATCATCCTTCTCCAGAACTTTTTCATCTTGCAAAACTGAAACTTTAAACCCCATTAAAGGATAACTCCCCCATTCCTCGCTTCTCAGCCCCTGGCAACCACCATCCTACTTTATGTCTCTATAAATTTGACTTCTCTAGATATCTCATGTAAGTGGAATCATACAATTTTTATCTGTTTGTGACTGGCTAATTTCACTTAGCATAATGTCCTCCAGCCTCATCCATGTTGTAGCTAGCACGTGTCAGAATTTTCTTCCTTTTCAAGCCCAAATAATATTCCATTTTATGTATCTTCCACAGATTGTTTATCTATTCATCTGCCGATGGACACTTGGGTTGCTAATTATTATCTCTTTCATTTATAATGTGCTTTTTAAGTTACAGAGTTTCCAAAAAGAACCTCATTCTGGTCACATTCAATCACCATAGGAATTTCACAGAGCACCTCAGAAGTCAAAAAGGGCCCAGGTCCTTTTCTTTTTTTGAGGTCTCTAGTATTTTTTAATGAAGAAATGCCCAATATGGATGAGACACATACCAGCAGCCAGGGTGGAAGTCAATAGCTTTAACTCTTATGACCTCTACCAGTGTGCCCAAAGCCCTTCCAAGTAAATTATGATACAAGTAAAAACAGCAAGCTTCTACGTAAATGCTGCCTGAAGGGGAGACCCCATCCCAGGCTTCCCATTGCACTTCTTCCAAATCAGCTAAAGACATTCTAGAGCTGCCCCAGTCCAAAAAAAATAAGCTACATACTTAAATATTACATTAAGCAGATTAATACTTTCAACAGAAGGAAAATGCAATGCACCATACTTGTGCTAAAGCAAGACAATTGCAGAATTTACAAAACATATATATTAATTTTTAATATACCTAAAAGTAATAGTGTGATCTAGCAATGGAACAAAAATCTAAAGCAATATAATTAACTTCTTTCCATCTTAATTTTTCTAAGGAACATTAAATGAAACTTCATTTGCTGATTATGTGAAACATCTATATTTGAGACTCTTTACAAACATGAGACTTGTTCAGTGACCTTTCTGACACCACTGTGCTGGGTCAAGAGATCTATCCCTGATTTACAGATGGGGAAACCGAGCCTCCGGAAGGTTATCACTCGTTCAAGGTCAACACAGGGAGGATCCAAACTGCCGCTTACACTTAGGTCTTCCAATAGCAAGTTCTTAGACTCTCCACTATACAAGCCTGCAAAACAACATTCCTGAATGTAACAGGCTAATTTTTCCACCTCCTTTTACTGGCTGCTTTGCTATTAAAGTCATTCTATACTGAAATTTCTTTTCATTTAAGGCTCATTTAAAAGGGTAATTTTTTGTCTTTGTTTTTGTTTTAGCCCAAGCCATGAATATTTTGAGGCTAGCTTCTGAGAAATAAACAATACCTTTCCCCACAAAGTGGCCCTACATGCTACCTGGAAGCTCAGACCTCATTTTAGGAAATACAACTTAATTTAATGGGGTGCAAGGAGGCGGGTTTGGGGTGCATCCAGCATTTTCATATAAAGTTTCTGACCAGATGGTATTCACTTGCTCCTGAACTTATCCTTCTATTATTGTAAGACTGTTTTTTTTTTTCCATTACTATAGCAATAACTAAAGAAGTGAAGGTGATGGTTTTGATCCATGTAGGGGGCAGTTCCCTTTACTCAAGATCTAAGATGTTATTGCTATGATTGGCCCCACTCCATGGGCAGCCCCATTTCAAATAACAGAGTGGAACTGGGTGGATGGGTCAGTGCAAATCCATTACCAGGGAGCGAAACAGCAAATAGTCAAATCAGGTCAAATCTTTACTCTTTCAGCCAAAGACCACTCTAGAAATTTCCAATGGAAATTTATTTTATTTCCATTGGAATATATGAAATATATTTGAGTATACGGTAGGCGTCTAACATAGTTCAGGATACAGCGAATGGTTACAAAGCAAGTTTTAGTCCAAACTCAATGTTAATTAACTATTAATAATGAGTCCCTACTACATTCTTGGCACTGTGCTGGGTACTATGCATATAGCAAGAATCAAAGAAGACATTACCTGTGGAGAGCGTAAACTAGAAACTATAGTAAGTCTGCTGCTATAGTAATAAGTCAGTATCATCTGATAAGTAGTTATTATGTACAAAGGACTATAGGAGCTATGAGGATCAAATATCATTGCTGCCCTTAGAATCCCCACATAAATAAAAAACAATAGGTAAACTAAAAATTATCTCCTATACATGTGTTCATAAAACATTTAAATCATTGACTGATATTCTCCTAAGAGCATGGATAAATGCTCAATAATGTTAGCTACTGTTATTATTAAGCACACCTTCACAGTGTCCCTGAAATAGAGCCACTGAATCTTCACCTCCCTTCCTTACATGCAAAAATAAGGGACATACTCTTAGAAAAATAATTCTGGCTGGGCGCGGTAGCTCACACTTGTAATCCCAGCACTTTAGGAGGCCAAGGTAGGTAGATCACTTGAGCTCAGAAGTTCAAGACCAGCCTGGGCAACATGGGGAAACCCCATCTCTACTAAAAATACAAAAAGTAGCTGGGCATGGTGGTGCATGGCTATAGTCCCAGCTACTCGAGAGGCTGAGGTGGAAGGATTGCTTGAGCCTGGGAGGCAAAGATTGCAGTGAATGGAGATCATGCCACTGCACTCCAGCCTGGGCAACAGAGTGAGACCCTGTCTCAAAGGAAAAAAAAAAAAAAGAAAAGGAAAGAAAAGAAAAGACAAGAAAGACAAAAGAAAAGAGAAAAGAAAAAAAATCCCCAAAGACTTACATTTTTTGGTTTTTCTTGTAGAAAGGCAGAATTTATCTCTACGGCATTGCTGAGTGTCAGATGTCTAAGAGGCAGCTTTCATTTCATTTGTACCTAGGCATAGACTGAGCACTGTGCACTCTTTAGGGGAACTGAGAAATATGTTTCATAATGTATTTTTAAGGGTATCAGTTATAAGCTAACTGGGAGAATCTAGGTCATGAGAAATTGGGTCACTGTAAGTTTCCCCTCAAAAGAGTTTTATACTTTCCCGCAATAAAGTGTTTTTAGAAAGAAGATAACTCAATCTTTGGACACACAGATCGCATAGAACAGAAGCTGGCAGGCCCATCACTCTGAGGTTGGCATACGCATGTAGGTGTTCAGATCATGAACTTGGACATCAGAGAGACCTGGCTTTGAATCCTCACTCTGACATTTACTAACTGGGTGTTCTTGCATGAGTTGGACAGTCTCTCAGATCCATGGTTTTGTTAACTATAAGATGAGGATAATTAAGCCTACCCAAATAAATAATTAGGAAGATTACATTAAATAATGTCATCTAGTGCCTGGCTCATAATAAGAACATTAGAGCAGTGATGATGTTGATGATGATGTCGATGATGATAGTGATGATAATTATGATGGAGAAGACAACCAAGATGACATGTTGATGAGCATATTAATAAGTTGATTCTCCTTCTCTCCCACCCAACCCCTACCTCAAACTATTAGGTTGGTGCAAAAGTAATTGCAGTTTTACACTTAATGGAAAGAACCACAATTACTTTTGCACCAACCTAATGTGTGATGCTATCCTGAAGTCTGGTTTAATATATATGCATAGAGAGACAAAGATATACAGACATATATTGCCTTGAAAAATAATAGAACCCTATCATTACAGGACAAAACTCTTGAATAGTATGTTTTGACTGCTACAGACAACTTGAAATTATTTCTCTAGAGTCCCTAGGCCAGGCAGCCCTTTGAACAAGAGCTTTTGCTTGTAAGATGGTTATTTGCTTCCACAAAGCTAACAGGCCCAAAGAGGGCTACAACTTGGATAATATGGTGCCTTCCTTGTATCATCTCATACCCAACTGAGCTAACTAGTCTGACGTGAAGGATGAATGAAATCCCAAACTAGTTCCTGGGTTATTTTCTTTGGTTCCACCATAGAAGTGACTGCCAAAAATATTTTTATTATTTGAGTCCTTTTTTTGTCCTCAGTAAACTTTCTTTTGGAATATTTTTCTTCCAATTATAATGGCTCCTTGGGCAAAGGCTTGGGAAGGTGGTAACATACCTTCTTGGGACTTAAGAATAAACACTGCATTTCATTGTGATGATCTAATGGGCACAAAAATATAAATGTCGCAGAAAAATAAAGAAGTCGGGGCAATTTGAATATCTAAAGGGAGAGCAGCAAATGGTAAACAACTACTCCATTCTGTAACTGTAACTTCTTTGCAGTGTGAAAAATAATCCCTTACTCCGTATGTAAGAAATGGTTTTCTTCAAGACACCCTTTATTTTTTCATATACGACTTCATCTAGGAGGTTTTAATTCCTTAGATGGTAGAATTTCAGCATACTGGATGAAGTGAAGGCTGTAAATAGCTTGTAGCTTGAAATATGCTGAAAAGAATCAAAGCAACATGTTAGCTTTTGACACCACTGCTCGAGACTTGGCTTCTATCTTGGCAAAAGGATACACTGAACCTGTAGCTATTCCAAATTAGTGAAATGTGTCATAATATCTTCACAGTAATAGGGCTTTTGAGAAACCCTAATAAATTTAAATGGAGTCGGGACAATTTTCAGATAAGTATCTCATTATATGACATTTTTATTTAGGAATTAGAACATCAAGGATTAACTTAAAGTCAATCTAATATTTTCATTAAACACTTTATTCTTCAAATCTTAGTTATTTTATTTTGTACATGATCACATTTTGATAAGGGTCAGAAGTTATATGTTTCAATGAAAATAATGAAAACCCTGGGCAATGCAAATGGAGTCATACAGGGAAATGTAAGTTAGTAGCACTTCTCAGCTTTAAACTACTTCCTCTAACCATTTGGATGAGAAGGCTGCTGTAAACTGAATTTTTCAATCATAATTTAATAGATTAAAATAAGAATTAGCATTTAGTATTGCTAACTGCCTGACGCTGTTGTACTAAGCACTTTGCAGGCATATATCATTTAATTAGCACAACTATTTGAACTTGATAACTACTATGGAATGAGAAGAACTGTTTGCTGAGCTACCAAGTTTAAATGGTATCATGGGAAAGGAACATCCAAGCCTCCCAAATACTGTTAAAAAAATAAAAATAAAAATAAAAAAAGTATTATTTATTTCATTTGGCACCCCCTAGTGCAAGAAATGGGGAAAGCAATTACCAACCAAAACTACTTTTATGTTTCATTCATTCATCACTCATTCATTCTACAAATATGCATTGATTCTCTGTTATGTGCAAGACACTTGATGCGTGCTGATATTGAATAAGGGATAAAAGAGATTTGCTCCTGCCTTTAAGGAACTTATAGTCTCATGTGAAACAAACAACAAAACAAAGGTTTAAAATGTGCAACTGAAAATTGTGATGAGGGCATTTTTGGAAACAACCAGAGTCTTTTGATAAAAAGTAATAGGAGGTTCCTAGGTGGATGAGTGCTGAGTCAGACTGCAGAGAACTCTGGGCAGTGAGCAGCACGTGGGAAGGTGCTGAAATGCACAGATGTTTGGTATAGGTTGGAAGAATTCCACCATGGCTGGAGCACAGCGAGGCAGGTGCACAAAACCAGGCTGGAGAAAGGACCGGGACTCCATGAAGATGAACGCAGTGGAAAGTATTTTTCCTATCTACAAAGGGAGGCAGGTAAAGTGTTTAGACTGAGAGATGAACTGATGAAATTTACATGTTATAAAGACCTCACTGCTACTCTTACTCTGTGGAGAAAGGCTTTAAGGAGTATAACGATGGGTCTTATTCTTACTGGGGAGAGACCAGTAAGAAAGCTCTGTAGGAGTTGAAGGAGAATATGATAGTAATTTGTACTGGATCAGAGGTTTCCACCTGGGAGAGATTTTGCCCTCATAGGACACTTGGCAAATATTTTTGGCGGGGAGGAATTCTATTGGCATCCAGTGGGGAGAGAACGGAATTCTGGTAACAATCCTACAATGTCCAGGACAGCCTCTCACAGCAAAGAACTGTCTGGCTTCAAAATCTCAGTAGTACAGAGGTTGACAGCCCTGGGCTAGAGGTTTGGCAATAGGGATAGAGATCAGTAAATAAATTCTGTATTTTTTGAACTATGAAATGAAGAGGGCTCAACGGAGTGGCTCAAGCCTGTAATCCCAGCACTTTGAGAGGCCAAGTTTGGAGGATCATTTGAGGCCAGGAGTTCGAGACCAGCCTGGGCAACATAGCAAGATCTCATCTCTATTATACTTTTTTAAAAAGAAAAGAAATGAAGAGGACTTAGTGATAGATGAATATAGTCTTGAGAGAGAGAAACGTGTTAGGTATGGCGCTCCAGGTTTCTGGCTTGAATAATGTGGGATATCATTTACTAAAGAGGGCTTTGGGAGGAGCCAGATTTGGAACAGAGACTAAATACCTCAACTTTGAATGTGAAAAGTTTGAAATACCTGTGAGACAGCCAAGTTGAGACATCAAATAAGAAACTGACTTTCTGAGTCCAGAGCTCACTAATAATAGCAATTAAATTTGTTGAACAGTTACAATGAGCCAGGCATCATTCTAAGAATTTTTGTACATTCTAATATTAATTTTAGGGATGTTAAATATCAGCATTCATTCTTTGAATCCTCTCATTGCACACTTAAGTTTCCAAGTTATGGAGCAAAGGCTATCATTTCAGTTTTCAAAAATTTTCCTTCCACATAGGAATACATTGCTGAAAGCTAGTAGTAAATATTATGCCTTCCCTAATAAAACAGAATATGTCAGTAAGAAAAAACATCCTAACCACCATGCCATCAAAATATTTAAAATCAAATTTACCATTGTGTGAAAAGCTTTCATTGTTTTTATTTTAAAAACTATCCTGAAATTGTGCATGTTCTTTATCGTTTTTGGTTTGGATAAAAATAGCAAAATTTTGCCCCAAAGAGGACACTAAGAAATATAAGCATGAACTCCAGAAACAATGAAGCATTCCAAGACAGGCTTCTGCCATTTAATATTCTTTCAAAGCCATCTGGCCCTCCATTTTCTTGGCCAAATGATACAATATCTTCAAAACACATTTCTAGCATTAGCAGATGCCGCTAACTAAATTCAGGAAGCCTGAAGGAATCGAACGACCCAGTTCGAAGTTATATGATATGCAAGTCGGTCTGTGATACTCATGATGGATGTCTGGGAGCAGTTTTGCTTATTTAGTCTGAGAGAAAGAATCTTAAATAGCAGGGCTATGAAAGCTCATATTGTTACAGTGAGTCCTTCTGCGGTTGTAAGGTTCAGCTAGACCTTAGTCAAATGCGACTCCAGTTAGGAATTTGTGAACAAGGCCAAGTCCTAGTAGGGTATATTTGTAACTTGGCTGGGGCCAAAAGTTTCAGGTCAACTCACACTAAAGTAGAAAATAAAGTACTTTGTTCAGTTAAGAATCCAGCTTAGAATTTAGGAATACAAAGATTTGTGATCCTCCCATGTGTCAGGGCAAAACTATCAGAGATTTTTCTTATTACTCACTTTTCCACTCCACAGAGAACCTGATAGAATTATGTCAGGTAACAATGCTGACAGGCTGGGCGTTTAATTTAATAGATTAAATTAATAAGCACGGTGGCTCATGCCTATAATCCCAGCACTTTGGGAAGTCGAGGTGGGAGGATCACTTGAGGCCAGGAGTTCGAGACGAGCCTGGCCAACATACGGATACCATGTCTCTACAAAATTTAAAAATTAGCTGGGTGTGGTGGCATGTGCCTATTGTTCCAGCTACTTGGGAACCGAACTGGGAGGATGGCTTGAGTTCAGAAAGCTGAGGCTGCAGTGAGCCGTGATCACACCTTTGCACTATAGCCTGGGTGACAAAGTGAGACCCTGTCCAAAAACAACAAACAAACAAAAAAAGAGAAACAACCCTGACAAGCATGAGTCCTTCCTCATCATCACTGAAGCTACTCATCCATCTGCAGGAATGACAAACAAGACTTCAAATTGCATAGTGCCATATATTTTATGTTTTGCTGGGCTCTAGGCCTGCCAGTATTTCAGAAAAAAAAAATCTAGAATTTCTAAATTCTACAGTTGGTTAGATTATATTGAAAACGCCTTCCTTAGAGTTAATAGCCTTTCCTGCCCATCATTACACAACTTCCTTAGCTGTTCTAAAAGTGACTTAAGGATTTTTCCCCACTAGGGAAGGAGGAGGATAAGGAAACAGGGTTGCAAGATAAAAAACATTGAAACTGGCCCTAGTTTCAATCTCACTACCAAAATTAGCCACATGTCCTGAACAATTCCATAGCACCTAGATACTCTTCCAGTGTCTTGTGTCAACTTACAAGGGCAGCCCGATTCAACAAACAACTCTCTTACTTATCTCAGTGGTTCCAAATGTATTTTACACCAAGACTCTACAATGCCTTTATAATTTTTTTTATTTTTGTTTATTTGTTTTTTTGAGACAGGATTTGGCTGTGTCACCCAGGCTGGAGTGCAGTGGCATGATCTTGGCTCACTGCAACCTCCGCCTCCTGAGTTCAAACAATTCTCCTGCCTCAGCCTCCACAGTAGCTGGGATTACAGGTACCTGCTACCACATCTGGCTAATTTTTGTATTTTTAGTAAAAACGGGGTTGGGTTTCACCACGTTGGCCATGCTGTTCTTGAACTCCTGACCTCAAGTGATCCACCTGCCTCGGCCTCCCAAAGTGCTGGGATACATGCGTGAGCCACTGCGCCCAGCCTAGAATATTTTTTGATTGAAACTTCAAGGTTGTATACTATTCTAACTTGCAATATATTATTTACCTGTCTACCCATCTTTCCAGAGGAGAGTATCTTTTTGGGGGAAGGGGTGCATTCATGGCATTTGCAATTCCACGAAAATATATAATTGATAAATTCCTAATAAATATGCCAGTCTACCATTGAGGAATACAAAATATAAATTTACTAAAAAGATTGAATTCTACTAATTTTAAAACCTACATAACCTCTCCTCTACCTCCTAACCCAAATTTTAAAATTGTGTTGACTCCCGGTTTTGAGTCTCTGGTAGTACAATCATTAGCTAACCCTGGGACCCCTATATCCTGCTGTATGGTTGGAAACCAGTCTGAACTATGCATAAAGAAAGAATTCGCCTTGACTGAGTTCATACTCTGGACTCAGCTTTAGGCCAGGTGTTTATACCTGGTGGTCAGCTCATTTATTTAGTAATGTATAAAGAACTCACAGATATTTTCATACTGGCGGTGGATAATTTTCTTTAATTATAAAAGTAATACATGCTTATTAAAGAAATGAAAGCAAAGATGAAAACGAGCTGATGGGAAGAGGACAGTTATAATCCCATTCCCCAAAAGTAATCACTGCTCAGTATATTTTCTTACATTAATTTTTCTAGGATTAGGCTTTTTTTAAACCTAGCTGTACAATTATAATATATATACTCTACATACAGTTATGCATAATTGCAATAATACGCATATAATGATTTTAAATTACTTCTTCAGTTAACACTAAAATGTTTTAAAACATTCATCGTTGATTAGAAGGCATAAAAATGCTTTTGATATGACATTGTTACTTAAAAAAAAAACTGAATTTTATTCCATCTGTGGCTGTATTAGTCTTAATCACTCTGGGGTTGAGCCTGGAAATTTTAGGCAACTTACATAGTTCAGGGAAAAATCAAAAAACAAACAAACAAAACCCTGTCTTTTTAAGTTAAAAACAAACAAACAAAAAAACAATTAGGACATAGAACAAAGAAGTCAAAACCTTTTAAAAATATATTAATATTCATTTTTAAATTATCCTGTAGTCTATGCATGATTGAGAATTTTATTGAGCATATTAAAATGCATTCAAATTAATAAATATGACCAACAAACATTCTTGCTTCCCTTCCCACCAAAAAATAACTCTACTGAAACCTGAATTCCCTGAGTTCTCTATGCACTTTTAGATGATAGCTAAGAAAGTACAACAAAGAGCTATGGAAGGCAAGCTGCTGTTCTCTCCTCAAAGAGTGACCATGGCCCATTGGCAACATCCTTTGGTGAAAATAGTGATCTGACTTAGTATATTAGATCGCAAGAGCTTCCATAATAAAGTATTAAAGACTGGGTGGCTTAAACAACAGGAATGTATTTTCTCACAGATCTGGAGGCTAGAAGTCCAAGATTAAGGTGTCGGCAGGTTTGGTTTCTTCTGGGTCCTCTCTCTTTGGCTTACAGATGGCTACCTTCTTGTTGTGTCCTCATATGGTCTTTCCTCTGTGTGTGCACATGTCTGTGTCTAAATTTCCTCTTCTTATAAGAACACTGGTCATATTGGATGAAGGCCCACCCATTTGACCTCAGTTTAGCTTAATAAGTTCTTCAATGGTCCTACGTCCAAATACAATTACATTCTGAGGTTCTAGGGGTTAGGACAAATTTTAAAGGAACACAATTCAGCCCATACTACTTCTGCAATATTACAATGACACGATATCTCCTTTTTTCTTTCCTGCTAGGATGTTTAACGAGGAATCTTCCTAAAAAAAAAAAAAAAAGAAAGAAAGAAAGAAAGAAAGAAAGAAAGAAAGAAAAGAGAGGAGAAAAACAGATGTGGCTTTTCTCTACCACTCCCCCCAGCCTACACCACCATGAAAAAATGTTTTTTTGAAGTTACTTTCTTCATTTGAAGTATCAGATCACATCTGCATTGGGCACATTTTCAAATCTTGGGCAAGATCTCAGAGTAGCAAGGGGCACAACTTTTGCACTAAATTATTTTAAGAAATAGCCACAGACTTGTTGCAATCTCAAAAAAAGAAAGAAAAACGAAGAAATTGAAAGAAAATTCTAATAAAAATGGTGCTGGTGACATACTCGAGGCCATTCTTTTAAACAGGCCCCTGGTACTTGCTGCCACCTTGACAATCTCCTAATTGCCTGACCCAGTGGGGCCCCAGACCAAAAGTAACCACTGTTTTCTTCCTGGGACCTAATCACAGCATTTCCTACCAAATCTAAACACCCAAAAATCCTCCATGAAATGCATCCTAAATAGAAAACAAAGTAAAATAAAATACCTAACTTCATAAAGATTTTCTTAAACAAGCAGCCACCTAAACTTCTTATGTAAGAAAGCAGTCGCTTTTGAATAGAAACAGTGCAGCAAAGGCTCTTCTATTTTTGCAGGAGGCACGGTGAGCGATTTGTATCCCTTTCCATATCTTTTTGTGAAATCTAATCCTGTTTTGCTAGAGGCTGCCTTCTCCGTTCAGTTTAGTTTGCGATGCCAGTGGGGGTGAAAAGTTGCATTTAACCCAGTATAGAGCTCTCTCAAACTTATTATAATAACATGGTGCTGCTGAAGAAAGTCAGTCTCCTTGAGACTGCCTTGGTTCCCGGGTGAAATATCCTCTTTCCCTATATGTTATCATAAATATAATACTGAAAGATTATTATATTTTGGACGAGGTGGCTGATTCTGAATTTCCTGGCATTGCTGAAATGAAAATAATAGATGACTCGATCCTGTAATGGAAACACATTTGGAAAGCCCATTTTTCCTTTCTTGCGGTTGGTGATAGAAAGGGTTAGAATGTAAGACTTTTGGGTCTTTCCACATTTTGTTACTCTGGGCAGGGAACGGCAGACCTGGTTCACCTGCATGGATCATGAATGGCCTCTCCTTGGGTCAAGAGCCTACTATGAATCAGTTGTGAGACAGGGAATAGGACAGACCCTGTATTGCTTCGGTCTTCTGCTCATCGTGTTAAAACATAAAAAAAGGAACCCCGATCACCAGACCAAATGTGGTCATTTCAGGCCAATTGGCTTTCTCTGCTCCCTTGGCTAACAGCTGTACTATAAAGCCCAAGGTGTCCACTTTGTAAGAAAACATGATCACAAGTGGAAACATTTGAGAATGAACAGATTTAGGGAAATCCCTAAAAAATTGACTCATGACTGATTGCCTGCCACTACCATCAAATCTATTTAGTATAATGGCAAACTGAATCATTTGTAAGATAACTATTTACTTAATGTGTTCTCTTCTAAATTGTAAGTTCTATGAGGGAAGAGATGAGTGAACGAGCAAAGAATTGGATGAAAGAATGAATAAGAACACATGGAAAAAGTACAGGATTTGGATATTGAAGGCTTACATGTGATTCTTAAAGGCTTAATTCTGCAGCCAGCACAGTGATGTGTGCCGGTTAATCCCAGCTACTTGGGAGGCTAAAGCAGGAGGATGGCCTGAGGCCAGGAATTTGAGACCAGCCTCGGCAACATAGCAAGACCCCATTTCAAAAAACAGGTTTAATTCTTTCACCATAAAAGATGGTTTTTAAAATGTGTTCCTCACATCTGATGCTAAGTATTTAATCTTCACTTTTCTCCTGTGAAATAAAAATAGCTAATCCTTTCTGAGAGAGTTGTCTAAGTTTGTGACTCTTGGCTGACCAACCATCCTAGTTTGCCTGGGATTGAGAGTTCCTAAAATGTGGGATTCAGGGTACTAAAACTGGGAAAGCTCCAGGAAAACTAGGATGAGTTGGTCATGCTGCAACGCTGAACTAAATGCTTTTTCATCCTTTTTATTTCATCTAATCCTCACCAAAGCCCGTATTCGATACTTTTATTGTCCCATTTTACAGATGAGGCTATGGAGGCTCAGGCATGTTAAGTAACAAAAACTCAGGATCATCTTGTTGGAGAAGCCAAGGCCAGTCATCATGGCGTCTTATCAGTAAAAATGGCAACCATTGCAATGCACTTCATGGATCTCACCTGGCTATTGAGATAATGATAGTAAAGTCACAGGTAGCATTTTACTATCTGCAAAACCTTTCCTCATTTAAGCCAACAGTGAAGGGAGGCCACTAAAGCCAAGTTATAGTCAACCTCAGTTGACCTCCATTGGGAATTTCGTGGCCCATTACTCTGGACTCTGCTCAACCATTTTCTTGCTTTTGTTTTTAGAGAAGACACACATAAAATAGGAGAGGAAAGGAGGAGAAAATCAATCTTAATCAGCAAGTTATTTCCTCCAAAGGGACTTTTTAATCATTATTATAACGAAACACATTTCTTTTTCCAAAGTCTGCGCTAAGGTTGAGAGAACAACTTTAACTGAAGAATAAATGAGTGCCTTGAAGTGGTGAGGTTGTAAATTGCCCATCGGGTCTAAGGATTCATGGTTGGCTGCATTCTTTTTATTTATCTCTGAGAGTTCCCTGGTCCTCCACCTGGGATTGCCTATACTAATATGTATTTTTCAGTTTAGCCAAACCCTGAAGTTACAGGCAAGAGGAAATTCAATAAACTAGTGGAGATAGATGCATTCAACAAATGCAAAAAAACTTCCCAGTAGTAGGTTATACAAGCTTATATACTTTAATTGAAAATAAATGCCTTCTAAATGAAGAATAACTACATACTAGACCCTGAATAAAATAAAGAAAATGAATTGATTTTAAGTTATACTTGATGATGTATTATACTTTTAATATGTGATGATATTTTTGGACACCTCTTTAACTCCCTATTGTTTTTAAAATTGGGCACAGACACCTTACTATGACTCTCAAGACTTTCTACGGCACATTTCCAGCTTGATTTTTCTCTTTTCCCCAGTCTTCCTGCCCATCTGAACTTCCTGTACTTGCGTATCTCCATGCCTTCATTCAGGCTGTTGCTTTCACTTGGAACTCCTTTCCCATTCTTCAGCACCACCTGTAAAACTTGTAATGGACATCTGTTGTTCAATTTCTCCCCTTTTTCTGTTTTATAGCACCCTTTTGTTCTTTTGGAAAACCACTCCTGCCCAAGCTCAGTCCATGGGTTTGATGTAGCTGGGCTGATCTTTGACAAAGTGGGCATGAGATCCAGACCTGGCCGGATGGGAGCACTGTTTGCATATTTTGCTGGATTTATCAGGAGAAAGGCACTGGTTGTTTGTTTGTTTGTTTTTTGCTGGAGTAATGAAGCTGCTAACAAGGTGAGCCTGGGAGAACTGGTATCCATTCTTTCCTCCACCAGGAACAAGCCTGTCTAACACCAAAACCAACCCAGGGTAAAAAAGCCAAGAGATGGGGAGGGACCTCTCTTTAATGGAGTCATTAGCTATCCTGGATCCAACTGTGCCTGAAGCAGGTACCCCTTTTTCAATTAGCTAAGCCAACACATTTTTCTATTTTTGCTTAAACTAGTTTGAGTTATGATTCTGTCACTAAAGACTAGAAACTAAAAATCTTGATTATGTAAAACCCTATCCATAATTATGGATTTATCTTAAAGGTCACTGAATTTCTAAAGCTTTCCTGGCCTCAAAAGAAGGGTGGCTTTGATCACCCAAGAATAGCTTTCATATTGTTTAGAAGTCAGAAAGAAATTAAGTAAGGAAATTTGGGAAAAGGTATAATTTTAGATATTTATTTGTATATCTTCAACAATGTGAATATTGTGATTTATAATGTGTATAAAAATATTACCATATAGTCAGCAAGGTAGAGGTTTGAAAATTAGGTTCCTACAAAGGTGAGACATAAGAAAAAATATATTTGGACTTTGTGATTCCTGGTACACAGCTCCCAAAACCCTTGGAATTTCCTGAGCAACAGGAGTGTCTTTTATTATTCCTAAGGAGCCCCAGGTAATCACACCTGATTTTATGCTAATGAGTTTCAGGATGAGACTGATCACCACAAAAACCAAGTGATTAGAGGATTAGAACTATCACCTCCACCCACAGACCTCTGGGAAGGAAAGGGAGGGTTGAGATAAAGCTTTATAAAAACTCTTGAACCATCAGACCAGAATGAAGAGTTAAAACAAAAACAAACAAACAAAAATAAAAAGACTCTTGAACAAGAAAATCTGAAAAGCTTCCAGGTCGGTGATGACATCAACCGGGTGCTAGGAGAGTGGTGCATCTGAAGAGGTAGAGAAAGTCTGTGCCCCTCCCCCGATACCTTGTCCTATGCATCTCTTCCACTTGGCTGTTATAATAAACCTGTAAGGGTAAGTAGACTATTTTCTTGAGTTCTGTGAGCCATTCTAGCAAATTGCCAAATCCAAGGGGGGAGTTGAGGGAACTCCCAATGCATAGCTGTCCTCCCAATGCATAGTCTGTCCTCAGTAAGGGAGGTTTGGCACTTGCAATTGTCATCTGAAGTGGGGATAGTCTTACAGAACTGACCCTTTAACTTAGCAGATCTAACACTAACTTCAAGTACAGTGTCAGAATTCAACTGAATTGTAGCACACCCAGTTGGTGACCATTGAATCAGATAATTGCTTGTTGGCATTAGAAAACATTCCAGAAAAGGACTATAAATTCTTCAGGAAAAGAACAGTGAGAAAACATGGACTTTGCAATCAGACCCCTGGATTTGATCTGGACTTCCCTGTTATGTGAAGCCCTGAGGTGAATTCCTTAATATATGCAACCCTCCAATTTCTTAATTTCTAAAATAATTAACACTAAAGGATGGAGTGAGAAGACAAATATTGTGTATGAGTTAGGGTACAGGTCCAGCTGCTGTCACAGAGATCCATAATACTGGTGGTTTAAATAAGAAAGATTTTCTTTTTCTCTCCCATATAATGAATAAGGCATGATAGTCTGGGGCTGGTGTGGTGGTTCCATACTGTCATGGACCCAGGCTCCTTCTATCTTCTGGTTCTGCCATCTGACCTCGGTTGTTCCCATCTTTAATTGTACAAGATGTTTTCCCACCATGCTGTCATTCCAACTAACAGAAAGAAGAAAGGCAAAGTGGAAAGCATGCTCCTTTCTTTTAAAGGCATGAAGCATTTTCCATATTGATTGTTCCCATTTTACTGGATAGAATGTAATCATGTGTCTAATATGTAACCATATCTAGCTATGGGAGAAGTTAAGAAATATAGTTTTCCTTCTCAGCAGCAATGACTCAAATCATACTATACATTTTTAAAGTATCATTATTACTAGAGATGAAGGAGAAAGTAGATATTAGTGGACAACATAGGATTTATTTAAATTACCAGGCAGATTTCCCAGCACAATGACATTATCTCTTTCTGTCTCCTTTTTAGTTATAGGTATACTGAAAATTCTGAGTGGCGTTTGCTCATTGCTGGTAACTTTGTTAATTGGCAAAGTCCTCTAGTAAGCAACATAAAAATGCTTAGGAGTTGTGATAATCTAACTCTTAGGGATTTATCCAAATGAAATAACACAAAAGGAGAAGCTGTTCATTGCAGGGTTACCTGGGAGAGCACAATTGTAAAGTCTCGATATTTTACAGTAGACCATAAGCCATCCCTTCCATCTCTAAGAACAGCTTGCTGGACCATGGGAGAATGAGCACCTCAGTCCTGAAGTGGGGATCTGGGCTGTGCAGTACTGTGGCCCTACAGGGGTACACACAAATCCATGCTGAGCCAGTAAGATACTGTTGTATAAGAGCTTGAAATGAGAGACGAAGAAACCAGAAGTGAGGAGGCAAGTTTACTGCAGTGTTTCAGGCAGTCTACAAACTCATGCAATCCTTAAAGCCACCTGGTTCCTATTCTTCCTAATGCCTGGTAGTTAAATTATTCCTTAAATTTAATTGATTTCTGTTACCAAAATAATCTTAAATAATTTGCCAACAATCCAGGAATGACTAGGAATACGACAGAATAGTGTGCAGCCATTAAAATAATAATAATGTGTAGACACACAAAAATGTGTCCAAGATACAATTTTAGCTGAAATTAGAACAGAAAATAAGAATATTTCTCTCTATAAATATGAGTAACAAGTACATCAAAGGACGTTTCCAAGAAACTGAAAAGACAACCTATAGAACTTTTTCTCCCTGGAGATGAGAGAAAGTATTTGCAAATCATCTATCTGATAAGGGTCTAATATCCAGAATATATAAATAATTCCTACAACTCAAAAACAAAAAGACAACCCATTTAAAAAATGAGGAAAAAACTTGAATATCACTTTCTCTGAAGATATACAAATGGCCAATAAGCCATTATGCCCAATGTCATTCATCATTTAGAAAAATGCATATCAAAACCAAAGTGAGGTACCATTTCATACTCACTAGGATTGCTATTTTTTGAAAATGGAAAATAAAAAGTGTTGGAGAGAATGTAGAGATATTGGGACCCTCGAACATTTCTGGTGGGAATTTAAAATATATCAGCCATGTGGAAAACAGTTTGGTGGTTCCTTAAACAGTTAAACTTACAATTACCATATCACCCAGTAATTCCACTCCTCGACACACACACAAAAGGATTGAAATCAGGGAGTCCAAACAGATATGTGTACACAAATGTTCATCACAGCACTATTCACAGTAGCCAAAATAATAGCCCAAATGTCCATCTTGAATGAATGGATGAACAAATTGTGGTATGTTCATACAATGGAATATTATTCAGCCATCAAAAGGAATAAAGTACATGCTACAATATAGATCAACCTTGAAAACATGGTATATGAAAAAAGCTAGACACAAAAGGCCACGTATTGTATGATTCCATTTCTATGGAATGTCCAGAATAGGTAAGCCCATAGAGGCAGAATGCAGATTGGTGTTTGCCAGGGGCTGGGGAAAGAGAGAAATGGGAAGCAACTGCTTAGTGTGTGCAGGGTTTCTTTTTGGGATAATTAAGAAGTTTTGGAACGAGGTAGAGGTGGTGGTTATACAACATTGTGAATGTGCTAAATGCTAATGATTCACTTAAAAATGGTTAATTTTATGCTATGGGAATCTCATCTTGATAAAAAAGTAATAAAAAAGAAAAACAATATTGTAGGGGTAATTTGATTAGAAGTAGTTTTTAAAAGCATTATATCACCATTCATATATAATATGTGTGTGTTTGTGTGTGTGTGTGTGTTATCTATGTATTATGTGTATTGTTTTTGATTTGGGGTAAATATTTACATACCTCCTAAAAAGAATAAAAATAGTTCAGTCTGAAAGTAACAATTCTCAGAAAGTGTTAACATGTTCCATATGGAGACAGTGCCCATGATCACGCATCCCTTGACAATACCACCTTGGATATAAAGTGATTGGCAACTGGCTGTTGTCCGTCTCAGAAGTCTCAATTCTGTCGTTTCATCAACCTCAATTTAATGCAGCGCTGCTTTTTATGCAGCTGAATTTTCAGGACCACATTTATTATATTTTAGCAGGATTTACTTGTAGTACCTTTAGAAAATATCCTCATTAATTCTTTTTTTTTTTTTTTTTTTTTTTTGAGACGGAGTCTCGCTCTGTTGCCCGGGCTGGAGTGTAATGGTACAATCTCGGCTCACTGCGACCTCTACTACCTGGGTTCAAGCAGTTCTCCCTCAGCCTCCCAAGTAGCTGGGACTACAGGTACGCACCACCACGCCCAGCTAAGTTTTGTATTGTTAATACAGACTGGGTTTCACCATGTTGGCCAGGCTGGTCTCAAACTCCTGACCTCAGGTGACCCGCCTACCTTGGCCTTCCAAAGTGCTGGGATTACAGGCATGAGCCACCATGCCTGGCCTAATTCTTTTATTATAAATTTTCTAGCATAAAACATAAGCCTAGTATAATTCCTTTTGGAAATCCATATAAGAATGAAAATTAAAAAACAAAATCCATTATTCTATTACCTAGAATAAAAGTGTTAAATTTTGGTTTTATACACATGTGAGCATACTTACACAAACAGTTAAATAGATGCATTTTTGGCAACAAATAGTATTAGGATGTACATGCTGTATACTTTTCACTGAATATTATGAACAATTTCCTCTGTCATTAAATATTCCAAAATTGCTTTTTTAATATATAGCTGTACCATAATTTATGAAGAACCTCTATTTTAGTTTTTTAATTTTTAATTTTTTAATTTAATTTAATTTTCATTTTAAGTTCCAGGATACATGTGCAGGATGTGCAGGTTTGTTAGATAGGTAAACATGTGCCATGGTGGTTTGCTGCATCTATCAACCCATCACCTAGGCATTAAGCCCCACACACATTAGCTATTTTTCCTGACACTCTCCCTTCTACCACTATCCCCCACAACAGGCTCCAGTGTGTGTTGTTCCCCTCCCTGTGTCAATGTGCTCTCATTGTGGAACCTCTATTTTATACGTCTAGTTTTTGTTTTGTTTTGTTTTGTTTTTTTGAGACGGAGTCTTGTTCTGTCGCTAGGCTGGAGTTCAGTGGCGCAATCTCGGCTCACTGCAACCTCCGCCTCCCAGGTTCAGATGATTCTGCTGCCTCAGCCTCCTGAGTAGCTGGGACTACAGTCACGTGCCACCACGACCAGCTAATTTTTGTATTTTCAGTAGGGACAGGGTTTCACCGTGCTGGCCAGGATGGTCTCGATCTCTTGACCTCGTGATCCACCCGCCTCGGCCTTATGTGTCTAGTTTTTTCCCAATATTTCTGCAGTCCAGGCCTTCAGTGTGCTCCATTATAGCCATACATTCACTGCAAGGTTACATTCTTAAAAATAAATTCTTAGGACCAGAAATATGTATTCAAAAAGAAAATTTGGAAGCTTTTGACATGTTTTGACCAACTACCTTCTTGTTATGTTGTCTGAATTTACCCTTCCAATAGTACTTTGTGAGTTTATACCATCATTCCACAACCTTGGCAAAATCGGGGGTTTCTTGCCCAAAGTATTATTTTATATATATTTAAAATTTTATTTTTGATGTGACAATACATAATATGGTTCAAATATCAAAGGAACCACTGGGTATACAGGAGAAAGTTTCTCCTGCCCATGTATACCATCCCCCTCTGGGACAAACAAATATTCAGTTCCTTGTACAACCTAGAATAATTTCTGCACTCATAAGTACAGTAGTCTAAACACACTGCTCTGAACCTGATATTTTCCACTTATCTAAGATATAGTCCACTTATCTACAGATCTTGAACACAGAGAGCTTCTTCATTCTTTTTTATAGAAGCACACTTTTCTATTGTTAAATGTCATATACTTAACCAGTCCCCTTTTCATTGGTTAAGGCATTTAGGTTGCCTTTAACCTATTGCCATTCATACACTGTAGCTGTGAATTACCTTGTAAATATATCACTTTGTCCATGGACAAGTGTGTGTGTGTGTGTGTGTGTGTGCGCCTGAGTACATGCGCATGTGTCTATGTTGAATTTCTGAGTTACTAGGTTCAAGGATTTTTAAAATGTTTTTGTTCATTTTATCAAAAGGGGAATGAGGGAGAGAAAGAAAGAAGGAGACAGAAGAGAAAACATTAGAAAATTTAGTGGGTCTGGTGGTATTAAATGGTGGGAAATGTCAGATATTTTTCCTAAATTGCACAGTTCTGAAGTTTCTGGTTTTCTTTCACTATTCTCTCTTGTCTGTTTAACTGTTTGGAAATTTCAAAAGATTAGGGGCAAGAAAAGGCATGGGTGCTAACAAACAAATAGCAGAGCTGCCTCCAATCCTACAAGAGCTGTTTTACCATCAGCTGAATTCTGATAAGAAAGAGCAAAGGCCTCAGAACAGAGAGAGCTAAGCCTTTAAGCCCTGGACGTGAGGTTACACACTTCATATCTTCAGAAATGTGAAATGAAAATATGTTTAGAGATGGAAAATAATTTTCCAAAGATAAGATCAACCACAACATAAAGGATCAAAATTTCAAAACCTCAGTTACTTGCTTCTATTTGACAGTGATTTTTCTTTTTCTGGAAAAAGTTGATTTGATTTATGTTAAATAAATCCTAAAAACAACATGCAAAGTGCACAAATCATAATTGTATAGCTTAATGACTTTTCACAAAGTGAACACATACATGCAACCACCACTCCAATCAAGTAACAGAACATGACCAGCATCCCATTAGCTTCCATTATTCCCTCCCAAACAACTACCCCTGCAAAGTAACCACTTTCTATCACTATCATTTAATTCTGTCTGTTTTATAACATTACATAAAGGGAAAATGTAGGATGTATTTTTCTGTTTGATTTCTTTTGCTCAACATTATACAGAATTCATTCATGATTTTATTTTTCTCTTTCTTTTGTGTGGCTGCGTTCATTCCACAAATACTTACTGAGCAGGTACTATATGCCAGGTGCTATGCTAGCCACTGGAGATACAATGCCAATGATACAGATAAGGTCCTTGCTCATCTAGAACTTACACATGCAGAGATTGTCTTCCCACTCTGAAAATGAATACTTGAGAATTTAAAAGTCATTGCTTTCCAGGGAGACAACTGAGGTTTCTCAATACAGGTAGCTCCAAGCTATTCATCTTTCTAAAAAGTCAAAAGTATATTCAGACTAAAGTCAGCTTCAGTGAATTTCTTTACCTTTACTTACAGAATCTTCCAGCATCATTTACCTGCTGTATAAAGGCAGAGGAATGCAACACATAAATCTCGGTTACATTTTCAGAGCTGCATTCAGTGCAGCCCCCTGACTAAATAACTGTAATATGTCTGCCAGTCAAGACTCTGGGGAAAGGATGATGTCTGTATCTTTGAAATGCTATGTTAAAGACACTTTTTTTTTTGCAGACAGATTCACAGAAGAGTAATGGCTAAGCAATGTTTTCATTTTTTCTTCTTTCTTTAAATTATAGTTTTTGCCCTATTTCGGTTTAGGAAAAGGATTGGGAGATACATTCCTTCTGGTCAGTGAAGACTTTGAATTAACCCAGAAATCAGAAGGGGATATAAGTTGCATTATTTCAGAACCCCAAACAAAGTCAAAAATTCTAGTGTATACATACATTAACTTTAGAGTTGATAGGTGTTATTGACATTTGTAAGCAATGTTTAAAAGTTTAAATTAGTACAACATTGAGGTAGTTCAATATACGCATTAATCCTAAAGGCTTAACAATTTTAAGAGCATTACCAAAAAATCTAAAATGCTTTTACCTATCCTCCACAAACTTGTCCCCTCTTCCATTCACCAGATAAGAATTGGGAGTACATCCTTCTAGACCTTTTTTATATCTTTATACACAAACACATACATGTTTAAGTTGTTTTTCCTATAAACGATATACCTATCATAGTGCAACTTGGTTTTTTTCCCATTGACAATATTTTTTGAGATCTTGAAAGTTGATGTCTACCTGGTTCACTCTCTTTTGAACTGCTGTATAGTGTTCCACTATATGAACATGCCATTTTATATAATGTAGCCATTCTTTGAGGACAGGTAGGCTCCAGATTTTCACTCTTACAAGCAATGCTATGAATATCCTTGACATGAGTCCTTGAGCATATGAGAAAGTATCCCTCTAGGACACACATCAAGAAGTGGACTGATTATGCCATCACTTCTTTAGAGAATGTCTTGGCCCTTAACACTAAGGAAGCTCTTGAAGGCTGCATAGGTCTTATTTGTATCTGTGTCACCAGAACCCAGTGTAGATGGGTGGGAGTTAATGACTGCCTTCCATGACACCAGAGTATAGGTCCCAGGTTTCCCAATATCTCTCCACTTCTCAATCTCTTGGTTGGTCCCTTTTTTGCCTACTAGTCATTTAGAAGGCAGACATCCTAAAGCCTTTGTTCTTGGCCTTCTCTCATTTCTCTGGCATCTTTCCCTAGGTCCGAAGCTCTCAGTTCAAGCTGCATATCAGACTTAATGAGAGAGCTTCTGAATATTACTAGTGCCCAGGCCCGGTCTCCAGAGGTTCTTACTTAGCTGGTCTGCAGTGGAGTGGGTACCACATAATCACATTGTTTTTCCTCAAGACTCTCCGTGTTATATTAATGTGAGGCTAGAATGGAGAATCACTGCCCTAGGCTGATGGTTCCCCTAGTGGGGCCCCCAATCAGCAGTATCCATATCCCCTCAGAATTGTTAGAATTGCAGACTCTTGGACCCTACTCCAGACCAACTGAATCAGATATCTGGAGGATAGGGCTGTACAACCTATGTTATAACAAGCCCATCAGATATTTCTGATGCATGCCAAATAAAGTTTGAGAACCACTGCCTAGGGTGATCTGATGCATTCCCCCTGACTTTGTAACCATGCAGAAAACTCCTTTTTTCTCACCTCCAACCTAGACTCCTCTCCTGGACACCAACTGCCTCACTGACATTCTACTGCAATGTCTCTCCAGTATCTCCACCCTATTCCCACCTTATCAAACTTTTTTTTCCCTCAGTCTTCTCCAACCCAGTGAATGTCACCATCCTCCAAGCTGCTGGAAGCAGAAACTTGGAGTTCATTTTTAAGATATTTAAAAATAGATAATGCATTTAGGAAGCTTAAAACCAAGAAGGTACAAAAAGGTGAACAACGGCAGTCTCCCTCCTACTCTTATCCCCTGCTATGGACTGAATTGTGTTTCCCACAGAATTCATATGTTGGAATAAATTCTAACCACCTAACTCCCAACGTGACTCCATGTGGAGATAGGGCCTTTAAGGAGGTAATGAGATTAAACTAGATCATAAGAGTGGGGCCAGAATCCAATATTAGTGTCCTTATAAGAAGATGAAGAGCTAGAGAGGAAAGGCCATATGAGGGCACACAAAAAGGTGTCTGTCTGCAAGCCAAAGAGAGAGGCCTCAGAAGAAATCAACTCTGCCAGCCCTTTGATAGTAGACTTGGCCCCAGAACTGCGAGAAAATAAATTTCTGTTGCTTAAGCCACTTAGTCAGTGATATTTATTTTGTTATGGTAGCCTGTGATGGTTAATTTTAATGTGTCAACTTGACTGGGCCACAGGGTGCCCAGATATTTGCTCAAACATTGTCATGGGTGTTTCTGTGAGAATATTTTTGGATGAAATTAACATTTAAATAAGTAGATTGAATAAATCAGATTGCACTCCTTAATGTGGATGAGCCTCACCTAATGAGGACTGAATAGAACAAAAAGGCTGAGCCTTCTGCAAGTAAGAGAATTATTCCCACCTGACAGCTTTCAAACTGAAACATTGGCTTTTTTATACCTTGGGACTCAAATGAAACATCATTTCTTCCTGGGTCTCCAGCCTGCCAGCCTTCAGATGGGAACTACATCTTTAGCTCTCCTGGATCTCAGGCCTTTGGATCCAAAATGGTGCTATACAATCAGCTCTGCTGAGTCTCTAGCTTGCCAATTCACCCAGCAGGTTTAGGGACTTTCCATCCTTCCTAATCATGTGAGTCAATTGCTTATAATAAGTCATATATACACACATACACATACATACACATATAAGTGTGTATATATATATGTGTGTGTGTATGTGTGTACACACATACATTCTGTTGGCTCTGTTTCTTTGGAGAACCCTGACTAATCCATAATGTACAACCTTAGCAAATTAATGCATACCCCGTCTTCCCAATTCCCCATCATCCGCACACAGTAACCACTATCCTTAGTTTCTTACACATTCTTTCAGAGTTTCTTTAGAATATAAACACAAATAAAATTATGTAATACTATTTTCTCCAGTTTTTACATATATATACATGCTTTTTGCAGATGCATTATATTTCATTGTCTGCAAATATCTTTATTTGTTAAATCAGTCTGCTATAGCTTAGGTTTTCATTGTTTTTGACATTAGAAATGATACTGCAGTGAGGAAGCTTGGGCATGCCATTTTCCACACATGCAAATATATCTGATATATAAAATGTAGGCTGCTGGGTCAAAGGGTATATGATTTTGCAGTTTTGATAAATGTCAAATTGCCTCCTTAGAAGTTATATCAACTTACTCACTCAACAATGCGTAAGAGTTCCCCCAAAGCCTCAGTAATTGACTGTGTTTATCAAACTTTATAGTTTGCCTATCTGATTACTGAAAAGCTCACATTGGTATAGTTTT
Organism: Homo sapiens; assembly: GCF_000001405.40. Taxonomy (NCBI): domain Eukaryota; kingdom Metazoa; phylum Chordata; class Mammalia; order Primates; family Hominidae; genus Homo; species Homo sapiens. The sequence goes on along the minus strand of NC_000003.12, from coordinate 64,698,767 downwards.
ATGAGCACCTTTTCACAAATTTCTACTGTTTGTATTTCCTTTCTTGTGAGCTATCAATTGGTATCCCTTGTAGGTTCTTATTGTATATCGAAGGAAAAATCTCTCTTTGTGCTATGAGATCAAAATATTTTTTCCTCAGCTTGTCATTTAACTTTCAATTTTGATTATGATGTGCTATGGTTTGAATGCGTCCATCAAAAAGCATATGTTGGAAACTTAATTCGTAATGCAAAAGCACCGGGAGATGGGGCCTAATGAAAGGGGATTAGGTCATGAGGACAGGGAGAATCAATTAATGCTGTTATCAAGGGAGTGGGTTCATTATAAAAGGGAGCAGTTTAATCTCCCTTCTCTTTCTCTGTCTCTCTTTCCCTCTCTTGCCCTTCTGCCATGTGATGACACAGCAAGAAGGCCCTCTCAAGACGCCAGCACCTTAATATTGGACTTACCAGTCTCCAGAACTATAAGCCAATAAATTCCCGTTCACTATACATTACCCACTCTGTGGTATTCTATTACAGCAACACAAAATGGGCCAAGACATAATGTTTCTTATCATGCAGAATTTGTTTGTTTTATAATACAGTTAAATATTTCATTTTTTTTCTTTTACGGCTTGTGGATTTTGAGTCATAGTTAGAAGGCCTTCTTTATGCCACAGATATAATTATTCCTTCCTATTTCCTTCTAGATCAGTTTTGGTTTAATTTTTTACATTTATTTATTGATCCATTTGATATGGATCAAGTGTGTACTTAAAGTATTAAGTATAGCTTCAACTTTATGATTATTTGTGTGAGTGTGTGTTTTATCAGATGGCTACCAAGTCATTTCTGGCAGTGTATATTGGGTAGCCTAGACTTTCCCAATCAGTTTGAGAAGCCATCTCTATCAGAAACTAAATTCTCACAGTTACATCTCTTTCTGGATTTTCTACTTTCTCCCATTGGGTTTTCTGTCCATTTACAATCCAGTATCACCCTATTTATTTATTGTAGCTTTAAATTATTAATATCTGGCATTAATACTAGATTTTCCATACTGCTCTTCATTTTCAAAGTTTTTTGAGATGTTTTTGTTTATCTTCCCAAATAAAATTTTGGATTAATTAGTCTCATTCAAACAAAACGAAATAACAGAAATAAATTATTGGCATTTTTATTTCTAGTCATTTTATAAACTATCTCAGAAAGAACAGGCATCTTTGTGATATCCAGTCATCCTAAGACTATGGTGTCTTTCAATTTACTCACAGCTCCTCTGAGGTCTTCATTAGCGTTGTAAAACATAATTCATATAGGCCATGCAGGTTTCTTGTCATTTCTATTCCCAGTGATTTTGTTGCTGTTGTTTATGGAAATTTTATTATTTTATATTCTTTAGCTGGGTGTTATTTGTATATAGGAGAGAGCAATATCTGCATATAATTTTGGAACTCATTCTTGATACTCCCTTACTTTCATCCCCATCATAACATCCTTCATCTTGTCCTATTAATCCTACCTTTAACATACACTTTTCATGTATCCAATTCTTGCCACCCCTACTAACAAATACCACCCTAAGTTCAAGCCACTTCGATTTCTCATCTGGATAGCAGAATAGCCTCCTCGACTCTGTTCTCCACACAGCAGCCAGAGTGATCTTTTAAAAATAACAAAAAGGGCATCTTGCCATGCCCCTGCCTAAAATATTTCCATGACACTCCTTCTCCTCTAAATAAAATCAGATTCCTTACCTTAAAGGCCCTATATCAGCTGGCTCCTGGCTCTCTCTCAATTCCATTCTTTTGTCTGTTTCTTTATTTTGTAAATTTAAAAACTTTTTTTAATTTTTAATTTTTATGGTTACATAACAGTTGTAAATATTTATGGGGTACATGTGATGTTTTGAGACAAGCATACACTGTAACGATTAAATCATGGTAGTTGGAGTAGTTATCACCTCAAACATTTATCATTTCTTTGTGTTAGGAACGTTCCAATTCCACTCGTTAGGTTATTTTGAAGTATACCCCAACCCCATTCTAAATCATCTCCTCCACATTCATAGAACCCTAGGTGCAAGGGCTTCTTGGGTTCTGAAAAACTCCACCTTCTTTCCTAGCTCAGACCTGGCCCTGCTGTTCTCTCCGCCGGGAATATTTTTCCTGCTATTCTTTTAGGGCCTGGCTGCTTCTTTTTTTTTTTTTTTTTTTTTTTTTGAGACGGAGTCTCGCTCTGTCGCCCAGGCTGGAGTGCAGTGGCGGGGTCTCGGCTCACTGCAAGCTCCGCCTCCCGGGTTCACGCCATTCTCCTGCCTCAGCCTCCCAAGTAGCTTGGACTACAGGGGCCCGCCACTACGCCCGGCTAATTTTTTGTATTTTTAGTAGAGACGGGGTTTCACCGTTTTTAGCCGGGATGGTCTCGATCTCCTGACCTCGTGATCCGCCCGCCTCGGCCTCCCAAAGTGCTGGGATTACAGGCGTGAGCCACCGCGCCCGGCCGGCTGCTTCTTATTCTCCTTCTTATTCTCTGGGTTGCAATTTGTTTATCACTTCTCAAAGAGGTTTTCTCTGTTCATCTGATCTACACTATCTCTCTTTTCATTTCTTTTACAATACTTAGCACAATATTTAATTATATACTTGTTCATGTATTAGCTTATTTCCTGCTTCTCTTCCCCACTAGCTGTGAATACCTCTGCTATCTGCAAAGTGCATAGCAGGTGGTAGGTGTTTGAATAATGTATTTATTGAAAGAAGAAACAAATGTCTTTCTTGTTTACTAGTCAAGGGCTGGGAAAGCTTATACATTTTTTCCTGTTATCCAGCTATTATTCTCCATTCATGTCTTAAATCCAGGGTTACTGTATATCCAATACTTGTATTTCTAAGTCACAAATTTCCCTCAAAAGCCTGACTCAACCATCATAAATCTCTTCCTTGTATTTGTTCTCATATATGCAAAATATATAAGGTTATTTTCAAGTAATGAAACACGTTGAATATTACAGAAAAAGCTAGGCCTATATATAACTTATGAGAAAAGTTTTCCCTAAGAGTGGTGATACTATCATATATATTTGTTATATATCATCTGTATATTTACAAAGAAAAACATAGTTTTTCTCATTAAAAATATACTATATTCTTGTTGTAAAAATAATCAAACAATATAAACATTGGCACCACTGAAATGTAGAAAGTGTAAAATATCTCCAAAATTCTTACTCCAGAGAGAACCATTGGTGACGGGTGAATGCATATCCACCTTTCTAGACATTTTTTCTCTGTATATCATATTTTAAGCACAGGCTGAGATTTTGTTGTTGCTATTTTATTTCATTTTTACTACAGGAGGACCCAATTAGACTAACACTATGAGACTTGCTTGCTGAATAATACATTTTGGACATATTTATATGCTAAACATATGGTTCTTCCCTTTTTTTTTTTGTTTAACAAGTGCCTGATGTTTCATTTATTTACTGTCTCTGGATGGTTCCTTTCCCTTTTCACCTGGTCAGTGTGGAGGAGAGGGTCTCAAATTTTGTCAGGTTTCTCTTTTTTTTTTTTTTTTTTGAGACCTCTGCCACTCCTTGATGCAGGGACCAAAGTCACCAGTCAGAGAACAAGTCATTTCTCTACCTCAGCCACCATTTTGTTCTAAAAGGTAACATAGAACAAATGTTAAGTTTTCCAAAGTCCAGATTTATGATCAGAGTTAATGAGCTGAATAATCAGCTGTAAGAAACACTGATTAAAAACATTTACATGAGTTAATTTGTGTTACTGACTTTAACTAGAATGTAGGCACCCTCACCATGCTGGTGAGGGTGCCTAAAAGAAAACCATACTTCCAAACTCTCGCTTTAGTAACTGTACCGCTTACAAAGAGCCCAACAGTAGCTGAAGTTTATTACCGTTATGTTGCTGTGAATGCCACCAATATGTACTGTCAGACTTGTTTTGGGTGAAAAAAACAACTGCAAAACCAATTTTTTTTCTAACATCTGATAGGGACTTGATGAAGCGCTAATTGCTAGGTTTACATTTCAGGAAACAACTTATTTTATGTTATGGATGCTAATTAATCCAAAGGCAGTACATGGCAAATACAGTATTTACAACTAGCATTGATGTGATGCCCCAAAACCTCATTACCAGGTCGAGTTGTCACATGCAACACATCTACTTTTTTGTACATTTCAAATGTATGCACATTAGTTTGGATAATGAAGGTATTATTTCCTGCTCCCAGCCCCTTGCCATTGTGTTCCGTAGTCACAGTAGTTGAGATTATTTTGAAAAGTTTTCTGAAAATCTTTGTAGTGGGCCCCCAAATTAGCTCATCATGGGGAATTCAAATCCTACACCACTTTTGCAACTACAAGACAGGCCTCTTTGCCATATGCTATTTTTAGAGCAGGGCCCACAGCACAGCCTGAACAATACAAAGCCTTGGGCTGAGCTGAGGGCAATGGGAGTTTGTGAGAATGGTTGTGGCAATGAGACCAATGAAGAAGAATAGTGCTCCCAAGGGCCAGTCTAATTGTTAGGCGAATGAGTGGTTTGGGATGCTGGGAAGACATTCTCCTCAACTCCAGTTGTCCTGATATCCAGAATCCCACATCTGTGAATGACTCCCTAAACCATACCCCCTTTTGGCCTCCTGGTCCCCAACTGTCCTGATACCTGAATTTCTACTAATGTCTGAATTTCCACTCTTTGAGACTACATCCCTAAGCACGACAATTTATCCTATATTAAGCTTGATAAAACATAAATACATATGAGAGTCAGTGTCACGTAGCAATTTAAGAGGGCAGGCTCTGAAATCCAACAGCCTAGCACTCAACTCCCACTCAGCTGCATATTGGCTGTGCAACCTCAGGCAAGTTACTTATCTTCTCTGTGCCTTCATTTCCTCCAGAAAGTAGGACTAATGACATTACCTGTTTCAGGGGTTTGTCAGGGGGACTGAATATGGTATTATCCACTGTTCCTGAAAGTAAGCATTAAGATAAATACCATTAGGACAGACTTATTAAGCATCATCTGGCAGAAGTGCTTACTTTTGAAAATTACTTTTTTGCATGTGTAAAAATTATTTGTCGTGTAAAAATCTTTTTTGTTGGTGTTTTTTAATATTCAGAGGGAAAATTATGTTTTGGCTATTTGAAAAATTCTGCCAGAAAAAAAGCCCAGTACTTGAGAAAATGCTAAATTAAATCTATATAAACTACTAACCCAAGCAGACTGTAGGGAGTAAATCTGTTTAAAACATTAAACATTTTGTAGAGGGATGAAGGGCTAACAGTAAAGATGAGTATGAAAAAATACATACCCATTTGCACACAAATGGCTGTTTTTGTTTTTGTTTTTTTTCTTTTCTAGGGGAGAAAGGCCCATAAATTGGTTATGGAGTGGGGTTGTGGGGAGGTTAACTGAGAAAGGAAAGCTAGTCTGCTAGCGGCTCTCTGGGTCAGGAGTCAGGAACCACTCTTCCTTGACTAGTGGGTGGGTTCACATAAGCCCGCTGATTTGAACATTCTTACTTCCTGTATGCCAGGCACTAAGCCAACACTTTCATTGATCAAGTCATTTTCATAACATCCCTATGAGGCAGGAAACCATTATTACCTTCTCTTTAGGACCCGCAAAGGATACCAAAACTGCCCACAGCATAGGTGTAACTCTTACTTGCTGTGCTCAGCAATTAAGGGAGGCCCTGTGCCTTGTTACTCATGATCCTGAAGTACCCACTGGGGAAAGCCTAGCTCTGGAAATGTCTCATTCCAGAAAAAAGGAATCATGATGATTCTGATTAAAGCAGGACTTGCCTCCTAAGAGTAATAATAATACAGTAAGAAACAGAAATTACTTCAATCATTCCTGGTGTGTGTGTGTGTGTGTGTGTGTGTGTGTGTGTAAAAGAATGGCTTTTCTAAATTAAAAACAAAAAACCTGGCTCTGAAAACTAGAACCAAATTAGCGGCAACAGTAAGCTCATTTAAGGTATATTTGTGAAGTGCCTACTATGTAACCATGGAGAAAATAGATTTGTCCTTTGCCCTTGTGTACCTTAAAGACTAACAAAGGACACCAAAACACAACAACACATGTGAACCAAACTAGGAAAGGGAAAATTCTGGACTCAGGGAGCATAAAGCACTCTGGCATGACTCAAAATACTCCTAGAGTTATCAGATTCCCCGCTAGTTAAAGATGCCATATATTTAACAATTGTCTACATCAAATGTGCACTTTTAGAGAATAATAAAATTGTATTTGCACACATTGTGTTGCTAATTTGGCTGCAGTTTGGAAGTAGTTTGGATCAAAGCTAGAAGCCTAGCACTTCTGAATTCCATTTGTAGTTATGATGTTGAACCCCAGGTGTGAAGCTCTCATTTCAAGGATAGTAGAGGGAGGAGAAAAAGGATTTGAAGCCCTAAGAATACAGTCAAAGGAAAGATTAGTGGGATGCATATGGAGTTTTAAAGCCTGAGCAATAATGTGAGTATGGTCTTCTAGAATGACAAGTCAACAAGGAGCTCCTGCTGAGTGAACAGGCTGAAGATCGGATCACCTTCGTAGAACTGCTATAAGCTGGTCATGAGCTATACAGAGCCACCTCCAAAGTGGAACTATGACTTTCAGAGTAGGGTCAAGAAAAGCTAGTTAGAACTTTAGATTTAGCATTAGAAGAAAAAATGATGTTCTCACAGATGGTATTCATCAGGCCAAATATAAATGCTGAATGATGAAGATCAATTAGGCGACAGTCTTTATGTTACTAGGCTGCTCTGATTAATGGAGATCACAAGCTTTGGAGGTAACTGGACCCCAGTGTAAATCCCAACTGCACATTCTGACTCCATAATGCCAGGCAAAGTCACTTTAATTTTGCTGGGTCTTATTTTCATTGTAAGTAAAATGAGGAGGGTAAAACCCAGATGGCAGGATAGCTATGAGGATTGAATAATTAGCACAAAGAACTCAATGAAGGGAATCTACTGTTATTATCAATAATGATACAAACTACTTTCTCTACAGTACCTGTTGCTTGAAGTCAGTAGTTAGAAGACTTTTAAAAAATACACTAAGGTCATTCACTCACAGGGCAAACAAAGACAACACAGTTTCTACCTGCTGCAGTCTGCAAATAGGAAACCGGATCAGAGAGGACATAGTACACATGGTCTGGTACATAGTAAGTACTCAAGAAAAGATTCTCATTATTATTATTCAGACAAAAGATTGGAACCCAAATTATTTAGTTAGCACAATTGTCCTTTTCATTTCTTGTCATGTAAAACACATCTCCCTAAGATTCTTTAGGCCCAAGGTCACAGAGCTCAGCCAGCACCAGGTCCCAGCTTGGTGATTCACTGACCAGAATGCAGTGCTACCAAGTACCAGGGGCTTATCTGTTCCCCAAATCACCTGACGCTGCTGACCACTCAGGAAACTATTCACTTGAATTCTGGCTCCTGGGCCCTCCCTACCATTTGGGTGTGGGTTTCCCCTTTCTGTGGAAATTGATGGCTTTGCTTCAAGTCTCCTTCCTGCTGTTTCCAGTGGCATTAGGCAAACAGAGTCATTTGTGATGTCATCACTGTCATTTCCATTGGCCGGATTATCTCTCCCTAGTGACTAATATCATTCATCACTCCTCTGGGATCTAATTTTCATGACGAATCAGCCAATGAATACTTCCACTTAACCTACAATACCATTCAATTCCAGTAAAGTCCCACGAAGAAAACGGGCTAAAAACTGTCCCTCCTTTAACTCCAGGTGACCTTGAAAAGGTTTGCTTCTTTCAGAGCAAATTTTTATGAGGGGCCAATTTATTTTATTTCATTTTATTATTTCTTTTCTCTTTTTTTGTAGAGACAAGGGGTTGCTATGTTGCCAAGGCTGGTCTTGAACCGCTGAACTGACCTCATGCAATCCTCCCACCTCAACCTTCCAAAGTGCTAGGATTACAGGTGTGAGCCACCATGCCTAGTCTTAATAAATACTTATTGACTACCTACTATGTGCCAGATCTCTTCTAACTGCTGAGGGAAAAGCTGTGAAATATCAATGAAATCGCTGACATGATTTTCATTAAATACTTTGCATGAGAAGAATAAGAGAGAGCTAAAGAAAAGTTATACATGCAATAAAAGCTTGAGGCAATTCTCTGAATGATTTTAGCCATTTTCCCACAAAGCAACCCTCCAAAAATCTAGCAGTGCTTCTGATTAATCAGTTATTCATGACATATGATAATAGTTATGAACTTGGATTGAACGACTGAAACGGAGTTTGAATCGTGTCTCTCACTTACTGGATTGAGGGGGGTCAAATTATTTCACTTATTCAGATCTCGGTATCCTTATTGGTAAAATGAGATTACTGACACTGACTTCCTGAAAGAGCTGTTTTGAGAATTAAATTAAATGCTATATGTTACCCCATGGTAAGTACTGAATAAGAGTACTTATTTAGACAAAGAGTAATTATTCAGACAAAAGATTTTTGCCTGACTTGCTTAGTTAGCTCAACTGTCTTTTTCATGTCTCACGATTTAAAAGACATTTTCCTAAGATTCTTTAAGACTTTTTTACAGATGTAAATGCAGAAGCCAGCTAATACACTGAAGAAAAGATGGGTAGACTCACTAAGGATGAGAAATTCATAAACCTAGGTTCTTGGTCACCTCAGGAGTTCACCAAGAGATATTTTGTATCTTTCTGGCCTATCAGCTCTTGTGGATCAATTTTTTAAAACTGTAGACAAAGTTCATTCTTCAAGCAAAGTCCTAGAAAGAAAGCAAAGGAGAGAGAGTACACAAAGGAGGCTTCTGTCCCTACATATCGTAATTTCTATACCATTAGTTAACTTCTCTTTGTCAGGAAGGATTTGAACTGAAAGAGAAAAAAAGATTTAATGGGAAATACTGGAAAGTGCTATATTTTTGAGTAATTTTACAATGGAAGTACTGGAATATTTTCCACAGGAATCAGCCAATAGATTGATTTCTTGATATTTTTCTGTTCCTTACTAAATTTTCAGCAACTCCCAGACACTGTGATTGTGGGGAATGTTGTTATAATAAAAAGAAAGATTGTGTATTAGAAGAAACGTATTTTAGTGAATTAATTTGGAGGTTCAAGGTTTAAATGCCATTCTCTAAAAATCTCTAATTGTGCACAATACAGATGTTATTTTTCCATCCTTACATTTTACATATCCATTATGAAATTCCAGTAATAAGACGATGGTAACATTATCAATTTGGGTTAACAATTATTTAGCAAATTCGTCTTGCCAAGTCATTTTTACCCTTCACCAGAAGAAATATATGTATTAGTATCTCAAGAATAGTTGACATTGCTAGCATATTGCGATTTGGTTCCTGGTGTTGGCAATCTTTGGTATTTCTAGTCCTGAGTGCTAACCTACCACGCAACAGAACCTCAACCCCCGTTCTAGGATACTTGGGCAAATATATATTTATTAGTCATATATTTATATATTTTTAACGATATTGTCATGTCTTTCCTCTTGAAATTATCTTGAAATTCTATCTTCCTGAGGGCTGGTTAAAGAAAAGGCGCCACTGAACCACCCAAGATTGAACAATTCACACACACACACACACACACACACACACACACACACACGAAGGTGTAGCTTGAAGCGCCTGCTTTCAGTCTTTCCCAGTCTTTCCAAGCATCTCTCAGGCTGAAAGCAAGCGGAAGTGATTGAGAAATCCCTCCAGGGACTGGTGCCTCCCACAGGGATCTACAACTTTACACTCCATCCCCCCTTCCCCTCCCATCTCTAAACCCCCTGGTAGTGAGGGGCGCCAGAGTCCCCGCCCCTTCTTGCTGCCAAAATTTGTTCTTAACCTTTTTTGGGGCAGGGGACCTACAGAATGCTATGGACCCTCCATGAATGGTGACAGAGGTTGGTGGAAAGCACAGCTTAAATATTTTGCGAAATTTTCAAGAGACCACGTATTAGAAACACACTCCGACCTGCAGGATTAAGAACCCCATTTCTAAAACTCTTGACTTGGGGTGATTAAATCGAGAGCGGAGCTCAGGTGCCAAATCTCTTCCCGAATGAAAAAGTGTAGGAAGGGAAGGCGCTCCGGCGCTGGGCCACTTTCACTTGTAAGAAACCAAAAGATGGGGACTGGTGGCAAGAGATGGGGACGGAAGAGAAAGGAAAGGAAAAGGAGAAATGTGAGAAACAGACAGGGACACGGTGGGGCGGGGAGAAGACAGACATCACAGGGGAAAATGGGGAGAAGGGACAGAGTCCGAGAGGCACAGCAGCAGAGAGACAAGGGGGAGGAGGAAAAAGAGACTCGGAAGGGAGGAGAGAGAGGAGAGGAGAGGAAAAAGACGAGAGGGGAAGTGGCTGCACGCGCGCCAGGAAAGGGAGAGAACTTTCCCTGCTTTCCCTCCCCGGGGCAGGGAATCTCAGAAAACCCCACTTCAGCGAGGTGGCGGGGACCAGGAACAGCTGCCCCGGCGCTGGTGACGCCTCTGGCCTCCGCCTCTTGCAGCCGGCAGGGCCTCCGGCTGCGAGTCCCGCACGGGCCGGCCGAGGAGGGGACATGGTCTGGAAGGAGGCGGTCCCCGTTCGTCTCGCTTTCTCCTCCCCTCTCCTCCTCTTAGAGGCGTGCACCGGGGGCATTTGAGAGGCTGTGGACCCGCGGCCCCCCCGCCTCCGCCCCCCCAGCCCCCCATTCAAGAAGCCGCTCAGCTATCCCGGCCAGCACAGGGCGCCCGGCGCGCCTCGGAGCGCAAGTTCCTCGCCTTCTCCTGCCCGCTCGCTGGGCATTATGCGGCCAAGCAGCCGAGCCCCAGTCCTCCTCCTCCTCCTGCTCCTCCGGCTCCTCCTGCGGCCCGAGCGGCTCAGCTCTCGGCAGGCGGCGGCGTTGCTCAGCCGAGCGCAGACGGGACCCTCGCAGCGAGACCTCAGCGACTCCTAAAGTCAAAAGTTGGCGGCGGGCGCCGGGCTCCGCGCGCTCTCCACGGCCGCTGCCTCGCGTCGCCGCCGCAGCCAAGGAGGGCAGGAGGGAGGGGGGTGGGGGCAGCGGAGGGAGGGGTGGGAAGCACCATGCAGTTTGTATCCTGGGCCACACTGCTAACGCTCCTGGTGCGGGACCTGGCCGAGATGGGGAGCCCAGACGCCGCGGCGGCCGTGCGCAAGGACAGGCTGCACCCGAGGCAAGGTAACCAGGCTCCGGCCCCCGGGACCCCGCCGGCCCCGACGCCGCCTCCCGGTCCTCGCTCCTGGGCAGGGGCACCCCGCAGCGGAGGCTTCTCTCCTTTTCCTAGAAAGAATTATCTCCCGCTTTGCAGCCTCTCCCTTCTTTGGGTCATCCCCAACCAATTGCTAGGGAGGGACACTATGGAAACGAATTTAGGCAACCCCCCCCTACCTTGCTGTTGCCAGATATATCCCCATCCCCACTCCCACGCCGCAAACTAAAGTAACTTAGTAATTGGGGGCACCAGATAGCGTCATGTTTTATTTTATTCAGGTTATTTATCAATATCTGAAATCATATATATTTTGACTTGTTAATTGTCTGGCTCGGAATAGTGTATCCTCAGCACCTAGCACAGGTCCTGTTACTGGCACATAGTAGGTGCTCAGCAAATATTTGTCCACTGATTAAGGGTGAAGGGATTGACTCGAATGGGCTGGAAAATAAGGTCAGAACAAAGTCCCCACCTTCGTTTTAAATTAAAGCTTAAGGAAAAATGAATTATTGGTTCATATACCTCTGCTTCTCTCCGCAGTGAAATTATTAGAGACCCTGAGCGAATACGAAATCGTGTCTCCCATCCGAGTGAACGCTCTCGGAGAACCCTTTCCCACGAACGTCCACTTCAAAAGAACGCGACGGAGCATTAACTCTGCCACTGACCCCTGGCCTGCCTTCGCCTCCTCCTCTTCCTCCTCTACCTCCTCCCAGGCGCATTACCGCCTCTCTGCCTTCGGCCAGCAGTTTCTATTTAATCTCACCGCCAATGCCGGATTTATCGCTCCACTGTTCACTGTCACCCTCCTCGGGACGCCCGGGGTGAATCAGACCAAGTTTTATTCCGAAGAGGAAGCGGAACTCAAGCACTGTTTCTACAAAGGCTATGTCAATACCAACTCCGAGCACACGGCCGTCATCAGCCTCTGCTCAGGAATGGTAAGTGGGCGCGCGCCACCTCCTCTCCCCTTCCGCCTCCTCGCCCGCTTCTAGAAGACTTAATTGTCCTCTAAGCCTAGAGACCCTCACTGTGGCGAGGCTCCGCTCCTCTCCGGCGTTAAATATCAGCTAGAAACTCGTATGGTTTGGGTAGCTAGCTCTGTGCGTGCGAGTACACTGGCGTGGAGCGCACACACCCGCCCCCAGGGGCTTCTGGATGTTTCAGAGCTTTCTGGAGTTTGGACTCGGTTCAGCGGCGCGTTGCCCAACGCTGCGAGGCGGCCTGGAAGTCAGTTTCCAAACTCGGAGAAAGTTACTGGAGTTGCGGTTCCCTGCAGCAAACTTGGCCACCCGGGAGCGGAGCCGCTGAGCGCAGGGCGGACCAGACTCCTTATTGGTGCGCCTTGCATCGGGGATGTGGGGCTGAGGATCCCCTGCCCAAGGCACTGGGAGTTCCTTCAGTGTGTGTTGTGGAGGGCGGTGCGTAATCTAGAGTCCCCGCTTTCTCTCAGGGCCTTTATTCACGCGCCAGGAACCCTGAGGCTGAACTGGATTGACAGGGAGCAGGTCCCGTCCCAGGAACGGAAGGGTGGGCCGAGGGCTCTGGGGGCGGGGGAGAAGGCGGAGCCTACCCCGGACGCTTTGAATTGGGGTGGAACCGAGAGTGGGGGTGCAGCGCAGTCCAACTCTGCACCCTACTGGCGGGGTGGCCGGGAGAAACGGGATAGTGGGAGACAGCCTGGAGAGGCTGTCCGGACGTGATTTCGGTTCCTCTGGGGTTTCTACTACTCACGGGTTCCAGGGAGTGGAGAGAGGGAGCCTGCGGCGCACGTTTCCCTAGGGACTGAGGCAGGGCGGGGAGGCCGCCTTCTTGCGCTGCCAAATAGCATTTAGCAGGGAATCCACGTTGGTTCCCCGACTCTCTGTCGACCCCCGCATGTGCCCTCCAGTGGATCTTACAAGGCATCTGCCCCCCACTTCTCCACGACATTTGAGGAGTCGCTGCGGTACGGTTCTGGCCCGAGCAAGGGTGGTCCTTGACTTTCCCAAGCGACGTGCGTTTCTGCCACGCGCGTGTGACGCAGAAACTTTCCCGGGTCAGTCTCTCCCAGCGCACGGCGCTGTAAGCGCAATGGGGTCGTAGGCACTGTGCCCGGTGATGCCTTTATTCTTCCCGAAGCACCCACAGCCCCTCCCTCCCTTTTCTAAGCGGGGCCTTGGATACTCACCCCCAGACACTGGGCTGCTCCATCAGTGCGCTGTCGTTCGTGGGTCTTAAAGTTCCCAAGCACATCCTTCCTTCTCTGCCTTTCAATGGAAGGATCGGGTGGAGAGCGTGGCAAGCCTGAAGACTGGGAGGGGGTAGTTCTAGCCTGCTGGGATTCAAGGAAAGGGATAAACCCCTTTAGCCCCCAGCAAAGCGCCCGGAGCCGTGGCTCCCGAAATGCGCTGTCGAGATTGTTTGGGGGTGGGCGGAGACGGCAGCTTGGCGAAGTGGGAGGGGGTGCTGCAGTGAGTCATCGCTGCCCCAGGACCTAGGGCAAGAGCTCTGGAATCCTTCTGGTCCTTGAAAGGTTAAGGCTCGGGTAGGCAGAAGCCAGCCGTCTGAGCCCAGAGCCTGGAGTGCCCCTAGATTCCAAGATAGTAACCCCCAATTCCAGGACCGTAGGGATAGGACTGCGTGTGTACGTCAAGTTTGTAAACAGCCTTTACTCCTCCTCTCTCCCCGCCTCCACACCCGCTGAAGCCTAGTGGCCCCAGCAGTTGTATAAATATTTTACTGCGCAGGACCTTCATTTTCATTGGCAGTTTTAGGTGGTAGTGCGCACGTGGTTTCTTTGGGAACTGAGGACTAGGGCTTCAGAAACGACTACCTGGACTGTGATAACCTCATTTATATTGCGTTTAATTCGCAGTCTGCCTCTTTTGGGGAAAAGGGCCCTCATACATCTTAAAGATATGCGTTCTGGTTCTTCGTATCTTCAGCCATTAATCTAGCTCCAAAACCCCTGCCCCTTTGTCTTCCTTCTGGAAGTTATCTCCTCCCAAGACTTCCCCTTACCACTTCTGCAGCAGTGGCATCAAGATGTTGCTAGTTCTCCGCCTAGGAGTCTTCCAGGAAATCTTGAAGAGTCTACCAGAGTCTACCAGATTTTGGAGTGGGCTGTGCCATCCTGCCACCCCTAGTCAGTTGTCAGTTTTTCTGAATTTCATCTGAGATGGGTCGCCCGCCTCTCCTGAACATCTCTACCCTAAATCTATCCCGCTTCACTTTTCTCCCCCTCTCTCCTTAGGACTGATGTCTAAGAAATATTACACTGGGCTTCTTCTCCAGTCTTTCTCCTCGATCGCTAACTCCATTTGGCATTTAAGACTATTTACAGTGCACTCACTCACATCCACATGTCCAGTCTCAGCTCCCAATCTTTCCTCCACAAATCCTGCATTTCAGGCCATGGGTTTTACACTGCTTTCTCTGCACCCCACCCTCAATCCTAGTCTTCATTGCCTTTGTGCCTTGGAATTTACTTGGTCTTCTCACTCATCTTCACATGCTCAAATCCTACCCTTCTTTGGAGGTGTATATAATTTATATCTCTTCTTTCCCAGAAGACCTTTTCATAGTTCCCCATGTTGATGTCATCTCTCCCCCTCCCCCTTCATAGACACTTCTGAGAGTCTCTCTTATGATGCTTAGTACGTTCTCCCTTGTATCAAGGTTCTTGGTACACATGTTCTATCCTTTTCTCCTTGGCAACAGGGTCAGCATCAACTCATTTTTCTCCTATATTGGAGCTTTGTATGTTGTATATACTTAGCATATATGTTTGAATAAATAGTCACCTTAACCAAGAAAAGATAACTCTTAGGCCCACCTTTGTGAATCAACAGTACAATTAATTTTGGCATCACATTGATATGATTTATTGAGCTCTTACTATTAATGTCTGCCTGGCACTACTGTAAGTAGTTTACATATGTATTATCTCATCCAAATCCTCCAAGAACCCAATCCTCAGAACAACACATTTTACTGACAAAAAAAAATCTGAGACTTTGAGAGCTGGAGACTTGCTCAAGATCTCACAGCTCGTAAGTGGCAGCGCTGGGATTTCAACCGGGTCTTTCTGATCCATGTGCTTAACCATAGACCAGAGACTGATCCTGTTCTCCTGAAGAGAACCTCAGGGTTCTTTTATAAAAAGGCACGAGACTAAAGTCAGGTTAGACTCAATGCTGTGCAGCTGCTTCTGTACCATTGAAGGGGAATTTGGGCCCAATCACTTCCTCCTTCTGTGTCTTGGTTTCCCCATTTACCAATCAAAGGTGGCAAATCGTCACCAGCTGAGCTCCCTGGCTCTTTCCCAGGACTCATGTCTCTGATAGGCTTCACATGTTGTGATATGCTCTCTGATTTGTGCTCAGAGAACACCAGAGTTGTGTATTGAACACAGGCAGAGAATAAATTTATTAAATCACTGCTTCTCTGGCAACTAGCTACTCTGTCTCTTAGTCTGACCACACCTGAGCTGCCCTTTTCTTAAACCAGGGGCTCATGAATCATGTGGAGAGCTTTTAAAACAAAAAACAAAAACATTCTAGATCCATCCCTAGAAATTCTGAATCTGTGAGTAGGGGGTAATGCCCTAAATCTAATTTAAAAACAAAAACAAAAAACCTTCCCAGGCAATTTTGAAGCTAGCTGTTTTGGGGAGCCAACGTCTTAGCCTAGTGCTGCTCATACTTTATCATGCGTAAGAATACCCTGGGAGCTCATTAACATTTCAATTCTTGGGCCCTACCCCTAGAGATTTTGATTCAATAGATCAGATTTGGGGTGGAGCACAATTATTTGAATTTCTAATAAGCTCCTGGATGATGCTGATGCGGATGCAGCTGCTGATGTTCAGGGAGTCATTTCTCCTGTGTCAATGGAAGGATGCAAGGCATCAGATTTTTTTTCCAGCACGGGAAATGAGAAAGCGGAGGAGAAGAGTGGAGCTTGATTTCTCCTCTTAAACACCACTCAGCAACTTGGCATGGGGAATTTTTCAGTGTTCTTGTAATTTTTAGTTTGGGTGGTTCAATCTTGAGGTATCATTTATCATTTGTAAAAACTTGGGTATGTGGGGTGAAAAGGAGCAAAAATGACTTGCAAGGTGCTTAGAATGATTAGTAAGAGCAAATTTTATCCTAATGGTTAGAGGCTAACACTGGCAACACCAAAAACCGTTCACGAGTTCTAAGCCTTTGCAAGGTGTCAGGCATTTTGCTAAGCACTTAATTATCATTATCTTATTTAATCTGCACAGTAACTCTTTACATTAAGTATCTTTATCCCCAGCTGACGAACAAGGAAGCTTAAACAGAGTGGTTAAGGAACTTGCCCAAGGTGAATGGGTAGGTGCTGGTGCTGAAATTGGAACCTAGGGCAATCTGGCTTCAAAGCCTTGCAGGACATCACTCCCCTATTTTGCAAAGGAAAGGGTTGGTGAGAGGATCATGTGCCAGCGTTACAGGTGGTACCACCTTGAATGCATTGTGGCCAACATATGCTTCTTGAATTTGAATCAATGGGAAGACTTCAATAGGCCAGCTTTTCCTGCTGGAGTGCATACTTGTCCCTAAGTTTCTAGGCTCTCTAAGTTTCCAAGACTCTTTCGACAGCCTGCAGGAATGATTGGAACTTGAGCTCTAAGGAAGTATTTCTTAGAGACAGATTTGGATAGCAGGTACAATCAACTGAAGTCAAATCAAGAATAAGTTACTGATATGACACTTTGGGAGGCTGAGCCAGGCAACATATTGAGCCTGGGCAACATATTGAGACCCCCATCTCTACAAAAAGTAAAAAACTTAGCTGGGCATGATGGCATGCACCTATAATCCCAGCTACTCAGGAGGCTGAGGTGGGGGGTTTGCTTGAGCCCAGGAGTTCAAGGCTGGGTGAGAGAGCAAGACCCTATCTCTAAAATAATAAGAATAGTAAATAATAAATAATTTTTAGAAAATATACTGATATGACAGAGAGTGGAAATAAACCACTTCTCCGCATATGTTGCAGCATTTTCAGTTGAAACAACCCTCCTGAAAAAGAGATTGGGTAAAATGACACCATCTCTACTTGAAAATGTTCTTTTGGTTTTTTTCCTCCCAATGACTGAGTTACGTTAAATCAACCTCCCATCTCTCTTCATTTGCAGCTGGGCACATTCCGGTCTCATGATGGGGATTATTTTATTGAACCACTACAGTCTATGGATGAACAAGAAGATGAAGAGGAACAAAACAAACCCCACATCATTTATAGGCGCAGCGCCCCCCAGAGAGAGCCCTCAACAGGAAGGCATGCATGTGACACCTCAGGTATTTGCTTCTTGCTTAAGCGGAGAGCCCAGCTCTTTGAGATGGGTAAATTGCTATACTACAGAGATGTAGCTCTCTTTCAGTCTACAAAGTGCAACCATATGCATTATTGTTTATTCAGTCCTCAAATGATGTAGGGATACATACCCCACTGTACAGATGTGGAGACTAAGGAGAGGTTTAGTACCTTGTCTAAGGTGCACAGCTAAGAAGTTATAAAGTCAGGATTTGAACTCAAAGCAGTGACTCCATGCCCTCTATGGGAAGAGCCACCTTTTCTGTTGAAGTTGCTGATTTTTAGGCTTAACCTTGAGTAATATTCAGGTCATGATAGTAGCACCCTCAGTCACCAAATGCATGTATTTTTTTTTGGCATCTTCTGTTCATTTGGGTGTTTTTTGTTTGTTTCACCATGTAGGGTTACAGAAATGTCTTATAAATGGAAGCCACGAAAACATATATGTGTTTGTTGAATGTTTCCTAGAAACTTCAGGTTTGCTCATGTTCTGTGACTTAAGGAACTGTAGCAAGGTACCTGTACGTTATGCTGTGAGGTACCAATCAACCAGTCAAATCCTATGTGCCCACTGCTAGTCTCCTTCCATCCTGGCCAGATTCTTTGAGGTTTTGCGCTGACATGTTTGGCCATTGTCAAGGATATGTCATTCTGGGCACCCTGGAAAGCTTCTGTCTGTGTTTCTTCATCTGCAGTCTTGTAGCAACACTTCACTGCCTCAGAAGCCTGGTTACTTTCTGCCTGATGATAGGTTATCCTATGAAATAATTCCTCAATTTGGTCCTGCGTCTTAGGATGTTCGTGAAAATACTTAAAAAAAAATTCTTGGACTTCCCTGTCTCTAAAACTTTATCTTTCTTTCTATTCTTTATTTTTAAAATTGCTTCTCCAAATTAAATAGCATCTCAGGGTCTTTCTGGTATCTCCAAACAAGGCCTAAATTCAAGACCACCAGGGAGTTTCCTCAAATGCTCCCCAGAGGATCACTTACTTCATCTTATACCTGTACCAGGTTGTTCACTGGGATAGCATGTGGTGTCCTATTCTCTCCTGGAATTATTATTTCTAAAGTGAATCCTTTAATAAAAGATAACATTGACTATTTATAACCTACAAGTAGCCAAATTTAAGGGTGTAACATTGTAGGTCTTTTGGCTTTATCCCATCCAGTTCTGTGTTCTTACCACCATAACAAGATGGAATATAACTAAAGCATTCTGTCAGACTCTAAAGAGCCAAGGGATATGAGGAGTAGAGGGGCAAGTATACTTAGATACATCAAAAACAATAGTTTCAGCAGCAGGTATACAGTCAAGACTGCCAGCCACCAGCAAGTTTAATGGACAGGACATTTATCACAGTTTTGACCGTGCTAGTAAGACCATTGACCTAAACTTCTTGACTTCCCAAATCTGTATTAGCAAGTACACATTTTAGACATGTGTATAAATGTAAACATAACATGAAATGTATACATAACATACAGAAATGAAATCTGCAGTTCCCCTCCTTCCATCTTATTAGTATATATTCAGAAGACACTGAAATATTTTTTTCACTGATGAATTTATTGACCAATGACACTTCATGATATTCTTCTCCCCTAAAGCGGCTACAGGTCAACATTTTAAAAAATGACTATTTATTATTGTTTTATTCTGTACATGCATTATGCAAAGCACTGTACATGTACCACCTTGCTTAATCCTTATCACAAACCTATGAGGTAGTTACCATTCCTAACTCTGTTGTATAATACCTGGAAAAGGAGCTGAGATTTACAGAGATGAAGTAGTTTGCCCAAGATCTCACAGCTAGTCCACAATGATGACCCATGTTTCTCTGTCTTATTCCGTGACCCATTTTCTCTGTGCAGGAGTCTGTGTGGAAAAGAGAGAGGGGGCAGAAAGAGAAAGTCTTAATTAGTACTGTGATTCAAAAAAATCTTCAAGGTTCATTTTAAAATATTAATTATGCAAGTTAATGGACATTTGATTTCCTGGGCTGGAGGAAATGTCATTGTCAAATCCTGTTAAAAACACAAAGAAGAGTGAATCTTAAAAATGTCAGGCTCGAAGACAATGAAGATGCGTTAGTTAAAAAAAATAAAATAAAAGTCTATTTTGGTTCCAGTCGTTATTAAGGTTGGGGCCTTTAATTACCACCTTCCAAATCACAATGCCAGTACTTTTAGTTTTCCTCCTAGTGTTTGCTTGCTCCTGACCAATATGGCATGCCGTTCCTTCATCCCTTGTAATGAACCAGGAGCCCAGCAGTTTTGATCAGCTCTTCCAAAGGTTGCTGCTGGGCTGTGCCACTCTGGTCTCTCTCTTCCAGCTACTTCTGCACCCCTTCTTTGAATTCAGATGCAGCTTCTCAGAACAGTTTAGAATATGGCACGATTCACCAGCAGGTATCAGAGGAATGGACCAACAGGTCAAGGACACCTCTGGAACCAGGTAGCCTTTGCACAGGGAGTGAAAGTAGGTTGAGGTGGGAGTAGTCCCTCTTGCCAGAGAGAAAAGGGGCTGCCTAGCAATAGCAATCCACTCAGATTCAGTGGTTCATCTTCCCTCCCAACCCCCAATCAAGAGCAGTGGTTGGTAACCAAAAGTGACCTTTAGAAGTACTCTGGGAGCCTCATACAAATGCAGATTCTTTAAAACAAAACAAAACAAAACTAACCCCTCTCCCAGGCAAATGTGATGAAGCAAGAATCAGTGGTTTTAATAGTGCTCCAAGTGATTCAGATGTTTAGCTAAATTTGAGAGTCACTGCTAAAGTTGGGTTTAAGGCAGTAGTCATTATCTGTCACTTGCTGTTGGCATTGCTGTGGACTTGACTTTCTACATCAGTGCTTTCCATGTCTCCTCTTCTCATAGGATGATAGGATACTGGAACTGGAGGAGTCCTTAGCAGTCTTGTCTAGGCCAACAATCTAATTCTGTGCAGATAAGGAAACTGAAGTTGCAGGATGTTAAGATGCTTCCTCCCAGGAGTGATATCCTATATATTCAACACCAACCCATCCGAACCTTCCCTAGCCTTGGGAGAGAGGTCTCCTGCTGAGCTCAGTGTAACCCTTTAGTTACCAGATCATGGGAGTAGGAGCAGGGCAAGACACAATGACTGTGACACTTTCACACGCAGATGGAATATGTCTTGGTCATTTCTGAATCTTGAGGTATGCCTAATTTTCAAAAAAGGATTCTGAGATAACTTATGTTAAAAAGGGAAGCATAGAAGGAGTCTACTGCAATGAAAACTTTATGGGTTTAGAAAGGAGTCTACAGTTCCGTTTCTTCATTCATGCGTGCATTTATTCAGTTAGCCATCAAGTCTTTATTGAGCAACTTCTCTGTGCCAGGAGGAGAAAACCAGGAACTGTCCATATTCCTGGTTAGTTGTATGACTTCAAGCACACTTTAGAATATAAAGTGAGGATAACATGTACCTTTCAAGATTGAAGTTAGGGCTAAATGAGTATGAAATAATGAAAGCTCCCAGGACAGTGTTTATTTAGCATGTGGTAGACAATCACAGAATGGTAGGTGTTTTTTAAGGTTCATGAAAATAGAAAACAAAACACCACAATGAGGAAAGGAAAACTCCAAATACTAAAATTCAAAGGTAATAGCCCAGTGCTTCTGGGTAATCATGAAGGGTTTAGGGGACTTGCCCAAGGTCACCCTGCCAGCTAGTAGCAAGGCTGAGGGTGCTTTCTGTCCCCTTGTTTCCTCTGTACCCAATGCAACATTTAAATATTTTCTTTCTTGCAAGTTTCTCTTGGCCCAGTGGCTGCCCTTCCTGATTGTCTCTGTTTTGTCATCACTGGTTATGTCTATGTGTATACATTTGGGCCATTTGAGTGTCTCTGCATTTATTTGTCTTTTCATCCTATTTGTGAGTTCTTTAGGGTTCACGATGGGAAGTGGGGTGTCTTCTCTCCCTATGGCATGCCCTTGTGACTGCAGTGTCCTTTACATACTGGGTCCTCAGTAAAATTCACTGTGCTCACTGCCTGCTAGCCCCACACACCAGGGGCACAAGCAAAAGGCCTATGGGAGCCCTTTGGAGAGTGGCTTGCTTTTATAAGCCACTTCCTGCGGATCCTTCCCATTGCTTGTTTCCAGATGAGATCCCAAGTTCTGTTTCACGGACACTCTCTATTTGACCCTGAATTTTGCACAAGAGGATTTAGTGGTTCTTATCAGTGCTTCCTGGTAGGTGGGTGAGAGAAAGGCAGGGAAGAAGGCTGTTTTGTTTGCCTGGGCCTGGAAGGCAAGTGTTTTTCTCTAACTCAAACTTCTCCCTCACCTTCCCATCTCAGCAAGGCCAGGTAATTTTTGTTTCTTAAGGCATTTAAGAACTGTCTACTCTGTGACCCATCAATGCTGTGCCTAAGGAAATAATCAGACAATTGTGTAAAGGTGTTTATGAACGAGATCCAGTACAGTGTTGTTTATTATAGCAAAAGCCTGGAAACAGCCTAAGTGCCCTTTGGGAGGAAGATAGATCAATACATTATGGGGCAGGCATATAATGGATTCCTATGCAGCTGTTAAAAATGATGGCCTGAATTTATGTTACCAAACACAGAATATATATTCAGTGAACAAGCAGGTGATAAACTAATATGTTTGGTAGGATATTATTTTTTTTTAATGATAAACTCTATTTGGGTACATGTGTGTAAACAGAATATCTGAAGTAAAGGCATGAAAATATTAACAGTGATTATTTATGGTTACTAGGAACATAGGCAGTCTTTACTTTTGAACTTTTATATTCTTCTATTTTGTGACTCCTTTGCATGTTTCTTTGATAGTTTCATAATCAGAAAATACAGATAAAATGAAACAGGGATAGTGGCATGGATTTATTTTGCTAGACCTATTGAACTTGTCACTGGAGACCAATAGCCAAGCCACATTTTGGTCTCTTAGGATCTTAGGACCTTAGAAGTGGAGATTATCGGTCCTTTATTTTCTTGGAATGAGGCAGTCTCAATAACCAGACAGATAAAAATCCTGCCTTGTGTCTACTTCTTTGGGACATCTGTGGCTGGTTAAAGTTGAATCTCTCATTCAACCCAGCTAAATTGCCTTGTGCCTGTTGGACTGACCCTGGTATTATTAAGATTTAATCTCCATTAGGCACTGGGGACTCTGTTTATCACTCCCATTAGAAGGTACCATCACTTCCTGATTGGGATTTCCAGGCTGCAGTTATAAAGGCTGGAAAACATAAGATGATAATTAAAGCCATCATCTGTTAGGCTCTTATGTGCATATGGGATCACTATGCTACACACTTTACACACATTATCATATGTAATACATTGGTCAGCATTGTAGGGTAGGTATTATTACCCCTATTTTACAGTTGAGAAAATTAGCTCAAAGAGGTTGAGAAACTTGTCCAAAATGTCACACAGCCAGGAAGAAGAGAGTCTGAGCCTTAACCCAATCTATTTCCAATGTGCTATACTATGGGCCAAATTGCATAGAAAACACAAATGGAAACTGCTATATAGAAACTCCTTTTTTGGTTTATTTGGTTTTTTGAGACAGAATCTCACTCTGTTGCCCAGGCTGAAGTGCAGTGGCGCGATCATAGCTTACTATAGCCTTCAATTCCAGGGCTCATGGGATCCTTACACCTCAGCCTCCCAAGTAGCCAAAACTAAAGACATATGCCACCACACATGGCTAATTAAACAACAAAAACTGTAGAGACAGAATCTCCCTGGGATTACAGGACTGAGCCATCATGCCTGGCCTACAAACCCCTTTTTAACTTCATTTTTGGAGCATCTTCTTTGACTACCATCTAATTTCCATTCCCTAGATGATACTAATAAGAGTTGACATTTGCTGAGTGTGTATTATGTGGTAGCCTCTGTTCCAGGCACTTTACAACTTTACATGGATTACATATTTCAATTCTTACCGCAAACTCCATTTTGCAGATTGGAAAACTGAGACACAGAGAAGTCTGTAATGTTGACTTGCCTGAGGTTATAAAGCTCATCAACATACCATTTTCTTCAGCCCTTATGTCCTGGTCTAGTTAGGGGATATTTTTTGGCCTCGGTATTGATTTGACTGCATTCATATATGAATTATTTTTGCTGGCAGGAATTTTTAAATGCCTGTCTGGAATTTGATTTGATTTGAGGAAGGCTGCTTGGTGCCTGAAATTCCCACCAAGACTCTAATGACTCACAGAGGCCTTGTGTCTGTCTCCAGCAGGCCTCTGATGGAGTGTATGCTTGTTACACATTAACCTCTTGGATCCCATTAATAATTTAGCATAGATTAGCTGATTAGATTAGCTGCCCTTCGAGTGGTACCCAAATGGAGTGAGAGACGGAGCTGGGGAGCAGACCCCTGAGGGGGCTTTCGGTAAAACATTCTGGGGCAGCCTATGGGTTCCAGGCAGTGACGGAAGCTTTGGCTGACTTCAGAATCCTGCCTGGGCCCCAAGCAAGTCAGTGGTTGGTGGCTAATTAGTGACTTATGCTAGGAACTTGTCTGCCTGCACTTTCACCACACACTTTCTGCATTCTTAGACCCTTTCAGCCTTGTAAAGATCAAGAACAGGCAGCATTTAAGGAACTGTGTACTTGGCAATGTGGAAGCACATTATGGTTATTTCATTTACTCCTGCAACAGTTCATGGGAGGAAGATGCTCTGATTATTCTCATCCTACAAATGAGAAAGCTGAACTCAGAGAGGTGAACAAACTTGTCCACAGCTTGCAGAAAGGGAAAAAGCTGGCACTGCAACTCAAGACTGATTATGAATTTTTAAAGTTAGTTATTGCCATTTGGGATTTATGGTTTGAGCCTGATTTCCTTTCATTTTCCCCTTTTTGTTCTTCATCGGTGTTTATACATTTTTTTCTCTTTTTTATAGTCTTCAATGACTTTCTGTCTAATAAACAGTCAATATAAGCAATGACCTCTAAAATCCTTGGTAAATTATTAGAAAATCACTGTTTTAAATACATTAATTCTTTATTTCTTCAACTTGATCTACTGAATGGTACTTATAAAAATTCTGCTTTCCTTTTTTTTTAAAAAAAAACTTTAGTGTTAATAGTGCAGTACTCCAATAAAGTCATTAAGAGGTAGTAAAAAAGAAACTTCTAATACAGGAATTGTACCTTCTTTCATTTGTTCCCACTTATTCATTAAATTTTTTTAAAAATTATCATTTTGTTTTTAAAAACCATTTTATTATGAACATCTTCAAGCATACATAAAGCTAGAGACAATAATAAAATGAACCACTGTAAACACCATGAATCTTAATAATGACTAAGATTTTTCTACATTTGCTTATTTTTCTTTATGCTGAGTATATTAAAACAAACTCAAGATACCATCTCTAAATATTTCATGATAAATCTTTGAAAAGTGGGGATCTTTTCCTAAGTAACTATAATATTATTAATATTTGATACGTAATATTAAGTAATATTATAAATAATGTTTCAGCAAAATTAACAATTCCTTCATATTGCCTACACAGTACCTATATTAAAATTTTTCTCATTGTCCCCAAAATGCCTTTTTACAATCATCAGTTAGATTGTGATCTAAACAAAGTCCACACATTGCAACTCATCGTTGTCTCTTACGCAACTTTTCACTTTGTTGTCGTCATCGCTGTTGTTAAAATTGCTATTTTCGTTCTAGTTTGAGATTTGCTGCATATAGCCCCTTTTTCCCTTCCATTGCCCCTACTCTTTGCTTCATCTTTATCATCATCAGGTCAGGCTGCAGTTGCAAGGATTAGAAAAGCAAGGCCAGTCTGCAAGGCCAGAGCAGGTACCCAGAGCAAAGCCCCTGGGCCATTAAGCCACTTCTCAGAGTGATTTAATTGAAGGGAAAGGCAGTATCTTTGGGAGGTTTTTTGACTCCTTGTCTGAAGTGCCTTGATGGCTGTCATTGTGATGTTCCTATCAATAGGAAGATCCTCAATTTACAGTGCCGTCATGCATAGGGTGTGTGTGACCCATGCATTCTTGTTAGGTAATTTTGTGAACATCACAGAGTGCACTGACACAAACCTAGATGGGATAGCCTACCACACACCTAGGCTACGTGGTACATAGCCTATTGTTCCTAGGCTACGTGGTACATAGCCTATTGTTCCTAGGCTACAGACCTGTACAGTATGTGACTGTACTGAATACTGTAGGCAATTATAACGTGATGTTAAGTATCTGTGTATCTAAACATAGAAAAGGTACAGTTAAAAATTTAGTATTACGATCTTAGGAGACCACTGTCATATCTGCATTCCATCATGGACTGAAATATTAAACTACCTTTTCTATCCTTAAAGGATCTCCCTCACCTGTGTTTTGAAGCCCAGAAGGGCCAGTTTGCAATTAGGATTGTAAGGTGGCAAGTTAGGTTTGTACCTGAGATTAGAACTCATTGACATATGAAATATGCGTATTCCCCAAAACCTTTGTTGTTGTTGTTGTTTTGAGAGTCTTGCTCTGTTGCCCAGGCTGGAGTGCAGTGGCGCGATCTTGACCCACTGCAACCTCCACCTTCCAGGTTCAAGCTATTCTTGTGCCTCAGCCTCCCAAGTAGCTGAGATTACAGGTGTGCACCACCACACCCAGCTAATTTGCATATTTTTAGTAGAGACAGGGTTTTGCCATGTTAGCCAGGCTTGTCTCAAACTCCTGGCCTCAAATGGTTCATCTGCTGTGACCTCCCAAAATGCTGGGATTACAGGCATGAGCCACCACACTTGGCCCCTAAAACTTTTTAATTAAGCTTCTGGATCCAAAGACAGCCAGAAGAGCTGCCTGCTTTACACCTTCTGTGCCATCTCAGGACCTTTCCCTGTTTCTTGCTAATCATATTTTAGGGATTCCTGACACTTTGCTTCAGAAACCCATTCCCTGCTGAAGAAAAGGGGTGCTACAAGGGTGAATACTTGATAATGTGTTCACCTTCATAGGAACCATCTGAAACTGGCTAAGACGCACATCTTTCTTTAGAAGGGACTTCAGAATCAGCAGAAGACTCTGGAAGAGGGCCATCTAGCTGACAGAGGCAGGAGGATTTTGGTGTTAACCTGAGAACCCTTCAGACCTTTCACTTGAGTAGGCTGTCTTTTCAAAGTAAGACATGGCAAAGTTTCTTGAGTTTCTTCATATGAGGGGATAAGCCCACTTTGGTTAATAAAGTGCTATTTTATCATGCATTGAGGTTTAACATTTGCACCTTTGTATCTGCCAAAGATGGTTTCTTTATGATAATTGTATCATAAAAGAGTCTTTATTATAGCCATTTATGGCTGTGTTTTCTCATTTGACTTTTTACCTGTGGACCAGATATCTGCATGGATGTTCTGTGCAACTGAAAATCATTAATAAATAATCTGAATATCACAAAAAGAGCATGGGTAAATGCAAGATCTGATGTGGTATGCACATGTGACTGAGTAGTGGGCTTTGAGAAGGAGCAAAGTCAAACGTGAGGCAAATGTTGGCACAAG
Source organism: Homo sapiens (assembly GCF_000001405.40). Taxonomy (NCBI): domain Eukaryota; kingdom Metazoa; phylum Chordata; class Mammalia; order Primates; family Hominidae; genus Homo; species Homo sapiens. The sequence continues at coordinate 64,671,653 of NC_000003.12, read as the reverse complement.
TCTTCCTTTTTATTGATTCCCAATTCCTATATGACATTAGAATTAGAATGAATGTTAAAAATGCAGTTGCTGTGTGGAAAAAGTTCAAGTTAATGTTATTGGCTTGAGAATTTTTCTGCTAATTATTTTTTATTTTTTGAAAAATCTTTTTATTTTCCATTCGTGTTTCCTAGTGTTTTCCTTCCATTTTTCTATTAATGTATAATTTACATGCTGTAACATTTACCCTTCCTAGCATACAGTTCTGCAGGTTTTGGCAAATGTATACAGTCATAGAACCATCGTGATAATCAAGTTAAAGAACAGTTTTTGGTGTCCTTTGTAATCAGCCCCTCTCCCCACCCCTGTTTTCTGTCTCTATAGTTTTGCCTTTTGCAGAATATATAAATAATCACTAAGCACAGTGTGTTTGAGGTTCATCCACATTGTTGCCTGTATCAGTAATTTCATCCTTTTTTATTGGTGAGCTGTATTCCACTGAATGGATATATCACCATTTCTTTAACCATTACCCACTTGAGCGACAGTTTTTGACCATTACAAATAAAGCCACTATAAACATTTGCATACAGATTTTTGTGTGAACATAAGTTTCCACTTCATTTGGATAAATACCTAGGCATAAGATTACTGGCTTGTGTGGTTAATGTATGTTTCACTCTATTAGAAACTGCCAATATATTTTTCAAAGTGGTTATGCCATTTTGTAGCTCCACCTGCAGGGTATGAAAGTTCCAGTTCCTCTGCATCCTTTCCAGCACTTGGTATTGTCAACATTTTGTTGTTCTGCTTTTGTTTTTTGAAGTTTAGCTATTCTAATAGGTGTTTAGTGGAATTTCATTGTAGTTTTCATTTGCATTTACCTAAAGTCTAATGATATTGAGTATTTCTTCATGTGCATATTTGCTATCCATGTATCTTTTTTGGTGAAGCGTCTGTTCAAGTCTTTCAGCCATTTTTTAAAACTTAGAATATTTGCTTTCTTATTACTGAAGTCTGAAAGTTCTTTATTCTGTATATAAGTCCTTTGTCAGATATAGTTTTTAAATATTGTCTCCCAGATTGTGGCTTGTCTTTCAAAAAGTCTCTTAATTTGCAAATGCTTATTTCATACATAGCTTCTTTATTTTATCGCCAATACTTCATGCACCGTAGATTTCATGCAGTCCCAGAACTACATAGCAAGAAAGTATAGTGGAGCATGCAGTATAGAGCTTGCCCAAAAAATGGAATAGGAGAGGTGTATTTAGGATTTATTATTCAAAGCCATGGTCTAGGCCAAGAGAAAAGGCAGTTGTTATTTTTATTGCTCATCTGTATCCAGAAACACAACTCTCCATGTCCAACCAGTGTACTTTTTGATGGGAATGTGTTGTCTTAGCTCAGGGGTGAAAACAGGTCCAGGGGAGCCTCTGCATAGGTAAGAATGCAACTGTGTTGTTTTGCATGTATGTTGCATGTGTGTATGTGCATGCAGACAGGAGAGAAAGAGAGAGCCAGAGGGACAATGAGACTGAGACAGAGACAGAGGTAGAAGAGTTTGGTATTAATAGTATGAGATTCAGTCCTTATGACCACATGCCCTGCTGCTGAAGAGGGATAGAATATATAACTCCATAAATCCTGAAAGCTTCCATTCTGTGCTTTGTGGACAATTTAAATGCTTTTCCAGCGGTATCTTTGATTGTATACTTTTTTTTCTTTCAAGCCAGTTTCCTAATTCTTACATTTCATGTTATTTCATTGTAACAAGTCAGATTAGAGAAAATAGAAGTGGTTTTTCAGAAACTATTATCTGTTTTAGCAGGTCCGAAATAAAATTTTCCCAGTGAGTAATGGAGATGTGTAGACTGTACTCCCCTTAATATAATTTAACATCAGCAAAAGTCCACTCCTTTTGTGTTGTTCTCTCTCTTTTGGAGTTATTCTGTCTTATTCTACCCTGCCACCCTGCTGACTGTTTCATCCATACACTTTCTGACAGTGACAGTGGCTCAGGGGGAATCTCTGTTGGGTTTTGCCCCTTTGGAAACTTAGGACTTCATTTTTAATCATTATTCACTTTTATCTTATAAAATATAAGAATTCATAAATTTTTAATACTGGAGGAAACTTTAGAGAGAACTTCTATTCCAGGCCTTCTCTTTATGGATAAGAGGATCAAGGCCCAGAACTTCGAAGGGACTCCTAATCTTGGAGCTAGAATGAATGGCAAAATTGAACACAGGCCTCTTACTTCCCAGTCCTGTGTTCTTTCCAGGCTGTAACAAAAGGAAAAGCTGCAGATGGTGCCTGGAAAGGGGATGTTCAAAAGTATGACTCAAATGAGCTTTGGGAAGTGCCATTGTATTTAAGTGTGGGAATAATTAAGAATGAACTGGTGAGACTGTTCAAGAAGTTGTCTCAAGCTTATAGAGAAAGATAGAAAGCTTTCAATTCATTTAAGGGATTAAGTTGTCATATCGAGAGTTGAGTGTACAGCAACCAAATATGATTTTAAAATAAATAAACCAATCAAGCCTTTTCTGAGCTGGGCCAGGGTATTGGGGAAGGTGGCCTGTGGCTGGGGAGGAAGACCAGTGAGGTTCACTGGTCATTGGAGCACAGCATGCCCCTGTGGTCACTCACTTCCGTGGTCATGGAACATGGACATTGTGATGCAAAAGGGTTTCAGCTGCAGGCCTTATAAACCAGTCCTCAGTGCCTGTAAACTAGGAGACCTGTGTATCAAAAGAATGTGGGAGATACACTCCCTACGAGTTGCTTAGATGCCTTTTTAAAGAGCTCCAGCCCAACTGCGCTTTAATCTCTGATATGAGAATGATACCTAGACCCACCACAGGCACCACATTCAGCTTCAGGGCCACCCACGAGCTGCAGTGAAATGTCAGATAGCAGGCAGATCCCAGCGGCAGGCCTGGGAGCCACTTCGTTCCAGCAGCCTTAACCTGCTGCTCATTCTAAGTAATGAGAGTCAGCACAGCCCGTGCCTCCAGAGGACTTCCTACCCACCAGGCCCTGTTCCGACACTTTATGTAGACTAAGTCATTTCACCTTCCCTACTGCCCTATTAGGCATGAACTATCATTATTCCCTTTTCACAGATGAGGAAACTGAGGCACAGAGGGCTGAAGTGACTCACCAGAGGTCACACAGATTGAATGCAGAGCAGCTGGGATTTACACACGGGTCTCTCTGATTCCCGAGCTCACACTCTTATCTCCCGTAATACGCTGTCTCTGGTATACACTCTGCAAACACTTCCTGCCTAGAATGCACCATCCTATACGGTCACCAGGAGGCCCTTGAGATGTGGCTAGTGTCACATGTTGAAATAATATTTTGCATAATGGGGTTCAATAGACTCTATTATTAAAATTAATTTCATCTGTTCCTTTTGACGTTAAAAAAACGTGGCTACTAGAAATTCTTAACTTTCACGTGTGGCTTGCATTTTATTTCTACTGGAGAGTGCAAGCTTGGGAGATGCCAAGCCGTGGCACAAAGCAGCCTGAGAGGCAGCCATGGCAAGTGCACTGCAGCCAGGACAGGGTGTCTGTGGGCAGTTGGCACCCTGACAGGCGGAAAGGTCACTCTCCCGCTACTGCTAAGAGATGGAGTGAATCGAAACCAACATTTCCTAAAGGGTACTTTGCAGGATATTAATAGCAAAACTAAATAGTCTCTTAGTAAAACACAGGCCCTGGGATGTTCAGCGTCTTATACTACTTCAAATAGATACTTTAAATATTTTCTCAAGTTATTTCAAGTGTCCCTCAGTTTCCTCATTTCTGAAATGAAGGTAATAGTTCCTACCATATCGGGTTGCTTTGAGGAATAATCAAGTTAATCCATATGAAGTGCTTAGGAGAGTGCCTGACACAGAGAAAAGCAACTCAACAAACGTTGGCCAGTATGATTATAGCCTATAGTCATTGTTGTTATCACACTTAGTTGAAGGAGCTACAGAATGGAGAATGAAAAGGACACAGAAGGGCTTTTGGGGGTAGTGCACCCAGCTCTCATGCCCAAGTCAGCAAATTTAACTCCCCAGGTAGCTGGAGGCACCCACCCCCTTAGAAGGTATTGAGGGGACCCTCAGACACCTTCCACTGCCCACCACCGCCCCTTAAAAGCCAAGAAGCTTCTCAGTTGTTGCCTTCCACTCGCACGCCCTTCTCTCCCTGAGAGGGAAGCCCATCCACACATCCCACCTGCGTCTTGTTATAGTTCTAGTGATGGTGCTGTCCCCATCACTTGCCTCTTAACTTGGCAAAGATCCCGTAAGTTTGGCAATCATGCGACTCAGCACATGTAAACTGGTTTCTTTCCTGCAAGACTTCTCAGGGCTCTTAAAATGCTAATGTGCATGGAGAAAGTTCCAGATGTGCATGCTGTGTTAAGTGTTTTGCAAAGTTAATTGATTTGTTTTTGGAACTATCTTATGGGACTAATGTTCCATAAACCACTCTCATGGAAACATAGTTTATAAAGGTTCAGGCCAGCCCAAAGTGAGTCTTAGCCACAATCTCTTCTGCCACCACTCTTTGTATTTATTTACTGTCAGCACTGTGCATGTAGCACTACTTGACACTGGGCACATCACTTAAAAAAATAATAATAAAACAAAAAAACAACAGCTCACACTATTATTTGTTTGGTTGATTTTTGTTGAGACAGGGTATCCCTATGTTGCATATGCTGGTCTTGAACTCCTAGCCTCAGGCATTCCTCCTGCCTTCACCTCCTAAATTTCTGGGATTACAGGAGGATCCACTGCACCCCATCAAAGATTCTTTCTAAAACAAAATTGTTTTGTTTGAGAATGTCAATATACTAATTTATAAAGATCAGATGTTTTGCATGCTACAAGTAAAACAATACCACTAATAATTATTATTATGTTAAATATGTATTGGACCTGTCCTCTGTGTCATGCCCTGCTTTAAGGGCATTTTATGTATTATCTCTTTTAATCTCCACAGTTACTCTTTGCAGTATGCTGTTATTACCATCATTTTACAGATGAGGAAACTGAGGCTTTAAAGAAGGAAATGACACAAGAAAGGGCAACTAGAGTAGCTTTAGGGGAGGAATGGAAACCAGGGTTGGCCTGGCTCCAGAATCCAAGTGGAACACCACAGATGATTCCTGTGCAGACTTCCTTCTCTCTGTCAAGCTTGGGTGGAGCAGAAAGGGGTCTCGCCTTGCTCCTGAATCCTCCCTTTGGTCCTGTGCTCTGTGAAGTCACAAGGTAGCCCAGCGCCTTGAGGAAACTCAGTTAAATTTTGATAAACCTTACAAAATAGAGAGCAATAATTAACTTTCCAACTGTTAATGTTAACATTCAGATCTCCTCGGCCCAACCCCATTTGGTAGGAAACACTTCAGTGAGTAACCACTGAATAACGAGGCCTGGCTGGTATTTGCTGAAATAATTCCAGTTATTTAGTAACATACTGTGCATTTTATTGTATTGCAACGTGAAGTGAAGCTCATTTAAAACATTTTTACCAATAAATCAGCAGATGTTAAAGTTTTTTGCTGTGAGGTTTTTTAAAATAAGGATACTATCTTAAATTTTTGTAATCCTTTTTTTAAAAGATTGGACCCACGTTTTATTCTTGTTTTGTCATTGCTGTTGTTTATTTCAACTTATCTAGCCCAGTACTTGGCACAAAATCGATGTTCCACGAGTGAATTTTTTTAAAAATGTAACTTATAATTTATAAGAAATTCTCTATATGCTTTCTTATTTAATTCTCAAAATAGCCATAAGATGGAAGCAAGTATTTATATGCCCATTTAAAGGTCAGGAAACTGAGGCCCAGAGAAGTGACTCAGAAAAGAGCCTTCATATGGGATAGTAGGGTGAAGACCAGCCCTCAGCACTTCTGGTTTTGTAGTTCCTCCTTTTTTCACAGTATTAAAAAGTTGGATGTCAGAAATGCAATCAGGCACACTCTGTGCTGATTTGCCCCACTAGGAGTATACAGCTCATGGCTTTGAAATTGTTAATGTAAGCCAGAAAATTGTTTTTAAGCACACTTAGTCACTCTACCTTAAATGGTTCCTTTTAGTTCCAACTCACTTTATGACTTTGTGACTGGCAAAAAATAGAAAAATATGATAATGATATTTATTCATTCGTTCCTATGCACTAGGCACTGTGCTAGCCCTTTGCATGCATGATCTCCAATTATTCCTCAAAGCCACTCTATGAAATAGGTACTGTTCTTACTCCACATTGTAAGTGGGAGGACGGAGGGTGAGCAGGAGTCAGTTATTTGCCCAAGGTCAAATAGGACTTAAATCGGGCCTCCCTCCCTTCATTGCATGAGTTCTTCAAACATTGGCTGTTTGTGGCAGTGTAAGCGTGACTACTTCCCTTTTGTGAGCATCGACGCCAAAGTAGTTGCAAAAGCCTGTATTAACTCATGTCCTTGTAATAAAATGTGAGAACTGTAATACCTATGATGTGGCGATAGGAAACATACAGTTGCCAGTTAGAGCTTTTTTAAACACGTCTAAATTTATTTAGATGCATATATGAGGATTCAGATTGCTAAGTATTACACTTTTCTTCTAATGCAAACATGCGTTTACTACTTGGAGGCATCAATATGCTATTTTAGGATTTGAGCTGGGCCAGGTTCTTCATAAGCTATTTAATTAAGTAAACATGATTAATTTTTGAGGAACCCTCAAAGAAAAAGAAACATGAAAAAATGATGTCCTGTTTCGAAGTGTCTTATTTGAACTTCAAGAAGAAGCAAGAAAATGGTGTAACCACTTTGGAAAACAATTTGGCAGTTCTTCAAAATGTTATACATAGAGTTACTGTATGACCTAGCAACTCTGCGGCTATGTATATACACAAGAAGAACAAAAATATATTCACCCAAAACCTTGCACATGAATGTTCATAGCAGCAATGTTCTTATTCAGTTGGGTTGAATGTCCACCCAAATGTCCACCAATGATGAATGGATAAACATTATGTGGTATATCCATACAGTAGAATATTTAACAGTAACAAGTAATGGAATACTGATGCATGCTACAACATAGACGAACCTTGAAAACATTGTACTAAGTGAAAGAAGCCAGTCACAGAAGGCCACATATTGTATGACTACTTACATGACATGTCAGAATAGGCAAATTCATAAATAGAACAATATAGGTTAGTGATTGCCAGGGGCTGAGGAAAGGGGAGAATGGAATGGCTGCTAAGAGGTATCGGATTTCTCCTTGGGATTATGAAAATATTCTAAAGTTAGATGGTGGCCATGATTGTGGAACTCTATGAATATCCTGAAAACCACTGAACTTCATACTTTGAAAATTGTATGGTATATAAATAATCTTACCAAACTAATATTAAAAATTAATCATAAATGTAAAACTACGTAGGAGGAAAAAAAGAAGAGCAAGAATACACAGACCATTTTTTCAGTGCTTTCCAGGACAGTGAAATTTTATTAGGTAGCCCGTTCTGATTAAACTGTAAGCAAAGTGACTTTGCAAATTCCTGAAACACTAGCCTCTATTCCTCCTTTAGCATTATACTAAAAGCTCACAAAAGAGAAATGTGGATCACTTTCTGTTTATCCTAACAGTGTGTACTCCGTTGGTGAAAACTATTCTGTTATTACAACTCTATTCAGAAGCAACAGAGTTGAGTGGGTATATAAGATATAGTGTCTATTTTTAATGCTATTTTTAATGAGAAATTCAAAGTTGCTTGCTAAAATGGTTAATGTGATAGAAATTAGTTGGACCAGTTAGGTGAATAAATATCATTCTAACTCATTAGGAGAAAAAGGTCAAATTGATAAAAGACTGAGGACCATTCTGTTTTAGAAGATATTGCTTTTGATCCTGAAGAAATAATTTGGGTTTTACATTTTCATGCCACCTAAAGTATGCTGAATTATTTCTTCGATACACAGATTACTTGTGGGTGAAATATCCTCCAGAAATATTACAATTACATGAGTTGTTTGCTGGTAGAAATTGTAGCCTTTTTCTGATTAATGCCTTCATTTCTTTGATTTTATTTATAAGTATACTTTGTTTCCATTTATGGCCTTGATTCATCTGCAGGTTTTCTTGTGCCCAAGTCCTCTCTGATGATTCTGATAGTACATTTGTTTTTCCCCTCTGATGATTCTGATAGTACATTTGTTTTTCCCCTTAGTGGTCAAAAAAAAAAAAAAAAAGAATTCCATACAACATTTCCTGAGTGTTGTTCTCACTGCAGTACTCTTCTCTAAGTAAATCCAATAAATAAAATCATGATATTTACAGAAAACATTAAGGATTATTTACTTTTCACAAACTTAGTGATATAGTTTCTCTTTTTTAAACAGCTTTATTGAAGTATAAGTCCCATACATATTATTCACCCATTTAAACTGTACAGTTTAATGATTCTTTGGTATATCCACAGATATGTATAATCATCATTTCAGTCAATTTTAGGATATTTTTATCACTTGAGAAAAAGAATCTGTACTTTTTAGCTAACCACACTCCCATCTCCCCACTCCATCTCTGTCCAAAATGCTTGAGACTAGAATTCTTTCAGATTTTGGGTTTTTTTGGATTTTAGGATGCTTGCATATACATAGTGAGACATCTTGAGCATAGAACCCAAGTCTAAACATATATCTTTCATATACACCTCATACACATCGGCTGAAGGCAATTTTATTCCATAGTTTTATTAATTGTGTGCATGAAATAAAGTTTGTGTTAAATACTTATGTGTGGAATTTTCCACTTGGTGGTGTCATGTCAGCATTTAAAAAGTTTTGAATTTTGGAGCATTTTGGATTTGGGGTTTTCAGATAAGGGATACCCAACTTGTACTACTCTACTTTCTGTCTCTGTAGATTTCCCAGTTTTAGACATTTCCTATGACTGGAGACCTTTGATGTGTGGTCTTTTGTGACTGGCTTCTTTAACTTTCCTGGTAGAATAAAGTCCATCAAAGTGTTTTATAATGATAAAAAAGTCAATTTATAAGGAAGATATAATAATTATAAACATGTATGCACCTGATAACAGAACACCAAAATATGTAAAGCAAAAACTGACAGAAATGGAGGGACAAATAGACAATTCAACAACAATAATTGGAAACTTCAGCACCCCGCTTTCAATAATGGATAGAGCAGCCAGGCAGAAGATTGACAAGGAAGTAGAAAAGTTGCCCAACACTATAAACCAACTACTAAGAGATATCTATTGGACACGTTACCCCACAAACAGCAGAGTATTCTGAGGTGAACATGAAACATTCTCCAGCACACACCAGATGCAAGAACATAAAACAAATTTCAATACGTTTAAAAGGATAAAAGTAATACAGAACATATTTGCTGATCACAATGTAACAAAATTAGAAATCCATTACAGACAAAAAATGAGAAGCTCAAAAGTATGTGGAAATTAAACAGCACACTCCTAAATGAACAATGATTCAAAGGAGAAAGCAGAAAATATTTTGAGATGAATGAAAATGAAGACTCAACATACCAAAACATGGGATGGTGCCAAAGCAGGGCTTAGAAGAAACTTTAGAGCTGTAAATACTTCTATGAAGAAAGAAGAAAGGTCTCAAAGCAATAACCTAACCTTCTACTTTAAGGCAACGGAAAGAAAAGAGCAAGTTAAAACTAAAGCAAGCAGAAGAAAAGAAATCGAGATTTGAGCAGAAATCAACAAATGAGAAATAGAAAACTAATAGAGACTTTAAATCTTCTAAAATGTCTAACACTTTACTTACTATAATAAATCAAATTGTAATATTTACAGAAGACATTAAGCAAGGACTATTTATTTTTCACAGTATAAGTGATATACTTTCTTAATGTATTAAAAAAATTTAATTTTCAACATAGCTTCCATACACCTGTTGTAAAAAGCAAAAATCTTCGTGAAAATATCCACCAGGCACTGTCTTTTTCTCAATTCATATTTACTTTGGAAGCTGTTCACCAAATCATGAGCTCATTTCAAACCGTAGCTGTTGAGAAAGCTCACCTAATCGAAAGAGCACAATTTCGGGAATTGAGCAAATCTACGACTGATTCCTTGTACCTCCACTTCCTGCAATGTGACTTTGAATAAGTTGCTAATTTCTTTGAGACTTATTTTCCTCATCGGGAAAATACAGGTAATTTTCTCACTTTGAAAGGAGTAAGTAAGATAACATACATAAAAGAGCCGAATTCAATGCCTGGTACATAGTAGGTGCTTGTTTAATATCTAGTCTACATTCATTTGATGATTTAACAATTGATTTGGTCCTGGTATGCATATATTGAAAGCTCATATATGTATACAAATGCCAGTTGGTAGACATGCAATACTTATTGGCATTGGTATACATATATGAGTGTTCTTGAAAGAAAAACTAGAAGAAGAATCTAATGTTACATCTTATGTACCAGGTTTTTGGCTAGCGATATTATCTATAACTGGACTGCATAAAACTTGTTTGACAGTTTGTTCAGATTTTACTATAGTAGTCCTCCCTTACCCTTGGTGTATATGTTCCAAGATCCCCAGTGGATGTCTAAAACCACACATAGTACCAATCTGATTGCCATCAGCCAGAAAGTTTCTGTTCCTGTCTTCCAACCACAAATTTAATGCCTTTCCATCTTAAATAAACTGATTGCGCACTGTATCCGTAACTTTTGCAGTTTGAGGTGCGAAAGCAAAACTAGCACCAGCTTCTTTTCATTCTTCACAATTTCACAGAGGGAAGATTTGTTCTTATCATAGACCTTAACAACCTCAGCATGCAACGTTTTTTTTTCTTTGCTTATTAAGTTGGGAATTTTCACCTTTTCGCTTAAAGGAAGAACTTTACAGCTTCTTTTTGGCTTAATACGAATTACCAGTATCACTACTCTTGCACTGTGAGGCTGTCATTAAGTAAAATAAGGATTCCTTAAACACAACACTGCAATACCTTGACAGTCGATCTGATCACCGGAATGGCTACTAGGTGACAAGGTGGGGTGTGTATATAGCTACCTTAAAGGATGATTTCCAGCCCCAGGCAGGATGGGGCAGGATAGTGCCAGAGTCCATCACACTGCTCAGAATGGTATGCAATTTAAAGGTTATGAATTGTTTATTTCTGGAATTTTCCATTTAATATTTAAGGACTGAGGTGACTGCAGGTAACTGAAACCAAGGGAACCGAAACCATGAAAAAGGGGGGACCACTGTATTTTAATAATGACTAAAACACTCAGGCAAAATGCACATCCTGGCCTAAACTGATTCTTTTAGCAATTGGTTATAATGGTCAAATATTTAGGCCCTTCTAATATGAAACCACTTAAAATTTAACTGTTTTTAATTTTTATTTTTACCTTTGGTATTGATGTAACAAATTCTATTCCTTATGTGTTAGGTAAGCATACTTCTTCATTGTACAATTCTGTTGCCTATTTTAGACCACAAACTGGTGGCATTAAAGCATTAAAGCACATTTATGATCTGATTGTCAAGTTAACTGATGAAATTCTGTTTTTACTCAAAGTATATTTTGGCAGGCACTTTAATGCTTATTCTGTTTATTGCATAGTTGATGATGCAAAAATTCAGTATTTTCATCAGTAATATAAACTTCAAGCCAAGTTGGAAACTAGTGATTCTCAAAATTTCAGTGTTAATATCAGTCACCTGGGGATCTAGTTAAGTTTAGATTCAGGCCTGGGGTGGGGCCAAAGAATCTGCATTTTAACAAGCTTCTAATTGTCAATTTTGCTGGTCCACGGACCCTACTCTGAGCAGCAAGACTGTGGAGAACCCAAGAAGAGGCCTAGGCATGAGCTGGAAATGAGTAGAGCTAATCTGACATTATAAATCATGGTCCCAGCTGCCTGCCCAGACTCTCGGAGTTTAATTTATTTCCTTAACTGAGCCCTGGAGTAAGTTAATTAAAAATTCAGAGACATTGAATTGCTGTGATTCTAATATTTTAAGTATTGAAATGATCTAATAATGTAATAAAATACCTGGTTGTGCATTTTCTACAGTTCCTCTGTATCGTCTGTTAGCCTGTCCACTTCTCAGACCTCTTTGTATTAGAACTCATTGAATAGCAGGAGTGATATATATGAAACATTTCCTTTTTTTTTTTTTTTTTTTGTTTGAGACAGAGTATCCCTTTGTCTCACCCAGGCTGGAGTGCAGTAGCACAATCTAAACTCACGTCAGGCTCTGCCTCCTGGGTTCAAGCAATTCTCGTGCGTCAGCCTCCTGAGTAGTTGGGATTACAGACGTGTACCAGCATGCCTGGCTAATTTTTGTATTTTTGGTAAGGACAGGGCTTCGACACGTTGGCCAGTCTGGTCTCAAACTCCTGGCCTCATGAAATTCACCTGCCTCGGCCTCCCAAAGTGCTGGGATTACAGGCATGGGCCACCGTGCCCAGCCTCCATTTAAGTTTTTCAGAGCTCTGTAGCTACGTTACTGGCCCTTACTATATCTATGGCAAATAACAGTGAGCGTGAGATTCCTTGAATCAATCCCAGCAAAGCTTTTGTTAACAAATGAATAAGAATCACGTGCAATTGTTTCCCTTAAGCTCGGGCCTGATTTTCTAATACCGTAAGCGAGCAAGTATGAAAGCTTCCCAGGGAAGCTAATCTCAAATCCTTAGTCACTTAGGTGGGAGTACGGATTGAGGTGCATCTGTAGAGTCCATGGAGGACTTGTTTTTGTATGTAGTTTGACCACAGAGGGATCAATTTAAAATGTGTCAAATTAAATTCTTAATATAAAATAGATGTGGCTTGAAATGTAATGCATACCATCTGATTTGTTACAGAACACAAAAATAGGCACAGTAAAGACAAGAAGAAAACCAGAGCAAGAAAATGGGGAGAAAGGATTAACCTGGCTGGTGACGTAGCAGCATTAAACAGCGGCTTAGCAACAGAGGCATTTTCTGCTTATGGTAATAAGACGGACAACACAAGAGAAAAGAGGACCCACAGAAGGACAAAACGTTTTTTATCCTATCCACGGTTTGTAGAAGTCTTGGTGGTGGCAGACAACAGAATGGTTTCATACCATGGAGAAAACCTTCAACACTATATTTTAACTTTAATGTCAATTGTAAGTACATTCAAACGAAGGTGATTTATGAGGTCTCTAAATGTGCCATTGGGGAATGGGTTTCCACTCAGTGCTTTGGAGGACCATTCAGAACTGGCATTTCAGCCATTCAGGCAAGTGACTGAAGAGAACATAAGATTATTTGTTGGTTGCCTTTTTAAACTGACAACAGTGGTTATCAATACGGAGTGTTTATTCTGTGTTAGACAATGTGCTTCTTACTTAAAAGGTATAATTTTGAATCCTTCTGGCAACGCTGCCAGGTGAGATTATCAATCATGCCCATTTTATAGATAAGAAAACTGAGTCTCAGAGGAGTTAGGTCACTTGCCCATGGTCAGGTAAATCACTCATAAATCACTTGGACGCTGCCTGTGGCCTTTAGCTTGTCCAGTTCCGAAAACCAATGCTTTTTGCCTCACTTAGGAACTTTGTACAGCCAGTTGTGGATATTCAGTAGTATTAGGGAGGCTGGTTGTGAACCATAGTCACCTGTGGAACTTCTAAAAATAGCCTCTTCCCCAGGATTCTAATTAAGTAGCCTGGGGAGTGAGGCCTAGGAGGCTTTCATTCTATTTTTCTACTCCCATTTTGAATTAAAACCACAGTAAATTTGCACGATTTTTTAAAAATCAGAACCAAAGTCTATTGTTAAAAACTAAGTATCATTCTCTATGCAGACTTCCAGGCCCCTTCCCAGTGGCAGCCACTGTTGAAAGTTTTTGTATATGTTTCTAACAAGCACTGCCCAATAGAAACATAATGCAAACCACATATTTAATTTCAAATGTATTTAAATTAAAAAAAATTCCTAATTTTAAATTTTCATGTAGCCACATTAAAAGAAAAAGTTTTTAAGAAAATGGCCAAGTGCAGTCACTCATGCCTGTAATCCCAACACTTTAGGAGGCTGAGGTGGGATAATCTGAGGCCCAGAGTTTAAGACCAGCCTGGGCATTATAGCAAGACCTGGTCTCTATTAAAAAAAAAAACCAATTAGCCAGGTGTAGTGGCATATACCTATAGTAGGCTCAGGTGCTCGGGAGCTGAGGTGAGAGAATCTCTTGAGCCCAGGAGTTTGAGGCTACAGTGAGCCTTGATTGCGCCACTGTGCATCAGCCTTGGAGACAGAGTGAGACCCTGCCTCAAAAAGAAAAAGTAAAATATAAACAGGTAAAATTAATTTTAGCAATATGTTTTATATCAAATATTATTTTAAAAATTATTAATGAGATATTTCACATTTTTTATACTAAGGCTTCAAAATCCAGTGTGTTTTACACTCTCAGCATACCTCAATTTGAGCTAGCCACGTACTAGTGCTCACTAGCCACTTGTGATGGGTGGCCACTGTTGGGCAGTGCAACTCTAGGTATTTCTTATGCAAACATGTTCGCATATACAGCTTCTTTTCAAACAGGAGGCATTTTCACATACTGTATTACACATTGCTGTTTTTTTGAACGATTCGAGATGGGTCCAGAAAAGCCCGTATAGACTTCCTCTTTCTCATTTTCAGCCGTAGCATAACTTTTCTTTTAATAGACGAGCCCTGATTTACCTGAACTGAAACTTATTTTTAATAAATCCCCCAGATGAATGTGAAAAGCAATCCTGTTTGGGCATAGCTTTAGGGTTTCTTCTTCCCCCCTTGTGGCCTATGGTACTCCTTGCCTTTTTGTTCACTGCTGTGACCCATTCCCCTCTGCGCCCCCCAACCCTGCCTGGCCTCCGTGCCCCTCTCACCCCCACATGCCGCTCAGTCCCAGATACTCCAGCCCTCTCATGCCCATGAGGGAAGGGAACATCTAATCAGGCCCTGCGCATATGCACAGCCTCATTTTCACCTCTTAATTTCAGTTCTCTCCTAAGAATTTTGATTATGAACATGGACTTTGGGTCAAACTGCCCTAGGTTGAGAGTTCTGGCTCTTCTACTCACCAGTGTGTAGCCTCAGACAAGTGACTTAATTTCTCTGAGTGACTTAGTTTCCTCATTTGTTGAACAGAAATTTTAATAGTACCCAGCCCAGAGTTTTGCTGTATAGAGACTAAATGCATTTGTGTATTTAGTTTTCAGCCCAGAGTTTCGCTGTGTAGAGACTAAATGCATGTGTGTATGCAGTTTTCAGCCAGCTCACAATAAGCATTTAGTAAATGTTAGCTCCTATAATTAATTATAATACTGCAAAAATAAAAACCCCACCAGGTTAACGAGGTTGTCAAGGACACAATGGGTGGCAAACATTAAAGAATAGCAGTGTCGGCTAACGTGCACCCAATGTGAGATTCTATAAGTTGGCAATCCAGGACTTCAGATGAGAGGAAAGAGCTTGATGGAAAATTAATATCCAGTGTTCTGGTACAGAGAACTGTTAAGTCACGTGGCAATGCAATTTCAGAGGAATTTAAATTTGTTTGAATTCACTGTTATCTAAAACTGTGATCTATGAATTTTATGAAGAGACTTTACAAAAAGTGTTGTTGAGTGAATGAAAAATTCACAACCACAAAATGCATATGTTGCAAGAAACGTAAAAAAGAGGTGGAGCCCAACGTAAGACGTGACTTGCTTATTGCTTACACGGAGTTCACAATTAACTTTGAAAAATTTATCTCGGTTGCAGGTAGCCTCTATCTATAAAGACCCAAGTATTGGAAATTTAATTAATATTGTTATTGTGAACTTAATTGTGATTCATAATGAACAGGTAATAAAGTTTTTTTCTTTTTTCTTCTATCTGTATCCGAAATGGCATATCTAATTGGGATCGGTACAACAGATTAACCATAATTCTTCTCTGTATTTAGGATGGGCCTTCCATATCTTTTAATGCTCAGACAACATTAAAAAACTTTTGCCAGTGGCAGCATTCGAAGAACAGTCCAGGTGGAATCCATCATGATACTGCTGTTCTCTTAACAAGGTATATGGATTTCTTATTCCTCAGATCTTTCAGTCTCAGGTCAAGTTGATGGGATGTGGTCATGCATTCCTAATAGTCAGCTGCTAGTGGAGGGTTTCTCAGCTTAGGCACTGTTGACATTTTGGGCTGGACAATTCCTTCTGTGCATTGCAAGATGTTTAACAGCATCCCTGGCCTCTGCTCACTACGTATTAGTAGTACTCCCTCCCCTCAGGTGTGACAACCAGCAATGTCTCCAGACATTGCCACTGCCCCCCGTGGGGAGGGCAGAATCACCTTGGTTGAGAACCACGAACCTATAGATACCAAGTGAGGAATAAATGTGTTAGGCAGACCTGAAAATACATGCCTTATATAACAGGCAAGGGCAGCTGCTGTTCAGATGGACCTGGCGTTGCCATGTAGTATATGAGTTCAGTGTTGCCAGCTTTTGTGATTTTGCAAAAGCCAGAAAAATGAATTTTTTAAAAATGTGAAACCTCCCAAGTTTTCTATGGTAGCTACTATCTCAAAATGTTAAAACACTGTAGCAACAAAGACGCGTGCTGGCTTAATTGTGCCTCCCACCTCCTGCCATCTCAATTGTGGTCATGAGCACGTCCTCTTAAATGAAAGTAAAACAAAGGTATCTTGCACCTTCTCAGGAATGTTCTCAAAGAGTCTTTACGAAACTGGAATCATTTACCCCAGGGTATTGGGAAAATCCTGGTTGGAGAGATTTCTTACTGCTCTGTGACCGCCCTGACCACAGAAGAAAACTTCTTAATGTAGTAGTTTATAATTCTTAAATCAACAATTCCAAAAATTTTTTGAGTTTTGAAACTCTGGTCTTATGAATTTGCTTTTTTTAACCCCCACCCCAAAGTGTGTACTGTTGTGAATGCCTAGACGACCCTAAAGTATTTACTTGTATTGACATTTACTCTTTGATGTCATCAAGGCCTAAGTCTGCTTTGCTTTCAGACAGGATATCTGCAGAGCTCACGACAAATGTGATACCTTAGGTGAGTTCTCTGTGCGTATCTTCTATGGCTAAAACCGTTTTACTACATGTTTGTATTTCAAGCCACAGTTGCTTTTTAGAGTAAATCCTTGTTGGTTTTTTTCCTTCTAATAGGCCTGGCTGAACTGGGAACCATTTGTGATCCCTATAGAAGCTGTTCTATTAGTGAAGATAGTGGATTGAGTACAGCTTTTACGATCGCCCATGAGCTGGGCCATGTGTGAGTTACCTTTCAGTAATTTCATTTAATTTGGAGTGACCTAAACCTTTTATTCCTTCGCATCAGTGAGCATTTACTTGACTTTCGAGTGTGTAAGAGACTTCCCGAGTCATAGTAGAGTTGCAGGGTTGAAGAGCTTTGAACCTAATTAGGTGAAATGACTTTGACTTCCAAAAGTTGAGTAAATGCAGTGCACTCTCTTTAGTCATAGCTTGTGTGTATCTTCAGTTTAACTGCTCAAGTTTAATACACAAGGTCTAATATTCTCCCTTCCTACTGGGAACTGGAGAAATGGGGTCTTTCCATTCCTTCTACTGAAGCAGAGGATATATTAGCCTAGAGAACTTTCCTGATTTAACACCTTTGTCTAGGAGGGTCCCCCACCATTACTGTGGCCCCCAAGATTTTTACAAATCCAGACCATTCCCGATTCTAGTTATACACTGCTCTAATTCTGATATTTAGCACTGGGAACAGTAGTATCCCTTTTTTCAGGAAAGAGAATGAACAAAGATAGAAAGAAGGAATCATTTCCTAATTATGGTCACTAAGTGGCCGTTATGAAATGGCCTTTCCCTTTTGTTTTTTAGAGATAGAGCACGGTTAGAACATGGGGCAAAACACTGCAAATTGACTAGAAATTATTCTGAGTTTTGATCTGCATTATTTTCTTTCTAGGATGATTAAATTACTTATACTATCTATTTCGAAATAATTTTCTGAAAGGATATTAATAGATCAATTTGTGTGGCAGATGGTAACTTTACTTAGAGCTAACATCATTTATTAAACAAGATTTTCATTCATACATTTAAGGTCCCCTATGTGCAGTGTAGTGTACGAGGCACAGAGGGAGATGCATATACACAGGTGTCTCCAATTTAGCTCAATATATAACAGGTATATTTTTAAACTAGTACCTTTCAAACATATATTAAGAGCACACCCCTTTTCTTTTCTCCAGAGGAAATACAGTCAAATGCCTCATATTTAGAACATAAAAGAGGTCTGGCTTTCCATTAAGCATTTGTGGCAGGCCCAACCTGCTTAGTCAGCATCGTCTCTATCCTCGTGGTTTCTGAGGCACTTTTGTGAAACTCAAGGAAGCCTTGAAGAGAATTCCCATTCCAGCTTCCCCAGCTTAGTGGCGGTGGGACTTGATCAAGTAATTAAAGCTCTCTGTGGCTCAGTTTTCTCATCTGCAAAATGCAGATAATAACAGTACAGGTGTAGAATTCCTTACCCAAATGCTTGGGACCAGAAGTGTTTTGGATTTTGGATTGTCTCAGATTTTTGCAATATTTGCATATCCATAATGAGATATCTTGGGGATGGGACTCAAGTTTAAGCAAGGAATTTATGTTTCATGTATACCTTATGCACATAGCCTAGAGGTAATTTTATATGATATTTTTAAATAATTTTATGCATGAAACAAAGTTTGTGTTACACATTTATGTGTGGAATTTTCCACTGGTGTCAGGTTAGCACTCAAAAAGTTTTGGGTCTTGGAGGATTTTGGATTTGGGGTTTTGAGATTAGGGATGTTCAACCTGTACTATTCATTGGGTAAAATAAGTGATTAAATGAAATAAGGCATCTAAAGCATTTAGCACATTTTCTGGTGCATTGTGAATGCTGAAAAGTTGTGGTTATTATCGTTCGTAAGCGTCCAATAAGCATTTATTATTATTTAACTCCTGCAGTGAGCAAATGTGAGTAACATTTGAATGAAAATAAATTTTCAGCTTATTTACATGAGGTAATAAACTTGACTTTATCAAGTAATTGTGGGAGTGGGGAATAAACCTCATCTGGGGATGGGAAATAAACACCACTATAAAGAAACCACTAAGATTTGAATGCCTTGCTTGTTTTAAGTTTGTTGATGCAGGTATTGCATTGATTATGCATCAGGGAACTGGAAACCAAGGCATTCGTTCTTTTAAGAAAATAGATTCTTAAGCATAGGAGTCTCATGTTTTAAGAACTATTTCTAAGTTCAACTAAGATCGAGTTTTTCTGTCTCTATTGGCAAGTATTAAGAGGCATAAACTTTAAAGAAAAAGGGAAAATGTGATAAATTAATGGAATAGACTCCATAGGCTTTTATTCCAACTTTTATATGATGCAAGTCTATGTGCTTCTGTCTGACTCACTTATTTCTGTAATCAAGATGAACTAGTGAAGGGAATTTCTCTCTCAATGCTAAATTAATTACATGCATTGGGGATAGTCATCCAGAGAGAGGGAAGGTGACCCTTCTGAGGTTGTCACCCAGTAGATAATTGCCTGAGCTGAGAATGGCATGTGGGTCACAGAATTGGTGTTTCTGGATTTAGGAAATACTTCCTATTTTTTTTCCACTCCTGCTGGCTAAGCCAAGAATGGCAAATATGTGTTCATGCTGCTGCATTCCCTTCCAGGCCCATAAGGACGTTGGCAATCCTTCATAGCCTTCTCACAGGCGGAACCTGGATTAATTTAAGAACCCTTTTGTGCCTGGCTTTTCAGGAAGCCAGTACCAATCAATTGGTGCTGGCATGAAGCATGAAACTATTTGCCATCTCTGAGTTATGCCAGTAGAATTGGCATGCTTCTGGTTTCCATGCATACCACTACCTTTCATGGGTTTTATTGTGCACAAACTTTGCATGCCTTTAGAATGATATACCTACGCAGGTATATAATTTGTCACCCTGATCCAAAAAGGGGAAGATGCCAAGACCCATAGTGAGCCTCTTATTAGAAAGCTCTTGGCTTCAGTTTTTGACACTTCCCTGACTCTTTATATTCACGTTATCATAAGCTGCCAAATTCTTGACTCTATAAATTGCCCTTTAACAGCTTATTAGGAATTCCAACTACTGTATTCTAGCACCAACTACAGCATATTCAGAGCCTCTGCAATTCCTAAAAGTACACTTAAACCAAATACATGGGCCAGCCTGCATCTTTTAAAATACATTTTATGCCTTTACACTTCGTATTAAGTTGGGTGAGAATTATGTTTTAATCTACACTCTATCTTGAATTGTCTTACATTTTATTCTGCTTACCAGGGTTCAGGTTCTTATCCAAAATGAAGTTAAATTTTTTTCTCTTAGATAGTTGCATTCCTGAAGCAATTAGAACAGCATGATCCCTTGGTGTTTATTGACATTCTCATCATTGTCTCATTGGCTTTAGGTTTAACATGCCTCATGATGACAACAACAAATGTAAAGAAGAAGGAGTTAAGAGTCCCCAGCATGTCATGGCTCCAACACTGAACTTCTACACCAACCCCTGGATGTGGTCAAAGTGTAGTCGAAAATATATCACTGAGTTTTTAGAGTAAGACTTGAACATTCTTTTAGCACAAACTTCTAGTGCCTGGCCTACATGTAGTGAACTAATTGTGGGAAAGACAATATGAAGTCAAACATTCCTTTTGAGTTATTTTTGTTGACATTCCTTGGAGAAGGCAAAAAAAAAAAAAAAAAGCTCTCTGACATCTGTGTAGTTCATATCCTTGACAGAGTTTAGAAGATTACAGACTGAGCTAAAGAAAAGGTTGGAGTCTTAAAGAGGATGTGGAAATGTTGCTTCATTTTGGGTAAAGTTTTGAGATTTGTTCAGACATTGGGAGAGGGACTATGAATGTGATTTCTTAATGAAGGCCACAGGTATTTATGCACTTCTAATTTAGTAATTTGGGCCTGAAAAGGGGTGGGGTAGTGAGATGATCCCAAAGCAGATTCCGTGGATGAGTGGAAATTACAGCAGCTCCCACATTGTTGAGTTGAGGACATTCTCTCTCTGCGTCACTCTTCCTCTCCCCCTCTTCCCTCTCCCTTTTCTCTTTTTTCCCATTTCCTTTCTTTTCTTGTTTTGTTTTTTAAGCTTCCTGCTAGGCTGCTCAAAGATCCAATTACATTATACAATGCCCCTGTGTCACAGATTTATTGCTCTTCTCGCTCAGAAGTATGAAAGGTTAAGTGATTGTCCCAGAGTCACTGGGTGTATATTTCTGCAACCACGGGGAAGAGGAGGCTTTATCAATCAGAACTCAACGGGTGTGAATTTTCCGGGAGAGGTGTTTGCTGAAAACGGAAAGAACCAGAGGGTTGCTGTTGTTCTTTTTAACCAGATGGTGTAAGGTGTTTTCTTTCTATGAGTCATTGATTCGCTCACGCATCCCTTCAGCAAACATTTACTAATCACCTGTTGTCATGGACAGGGCCCTGTGCTTTGATGAAAAAGACACTATCTTTGCCCTTAGAAAGCTTACAGTCTATTGGGAAAGATAGTCAAACATAAACAGATAATTGCTGTGAAGTGTGATCAACGTTGTAACAGGTGTATATTTCCTACTGGCTATGTTGTATTCATTGCATGTGGTTCTACAAAGTAAACAGCAAAAATGTAACTTCAGCATCTGGATTTAATCTTGGATGTAAAGAATAAAGCACATGTTAAAAAGTAACTGTCCTCTCTACCATTACAATGGTGGGGTGGCCTTTACTGTTACCTGGGGGAGACCTTGACAGCCACCGTTCTCACCATCTGTGTGTTTCTGTGTGTTTCCGTAGCACTGGTTATGGCGAGTGTTTGCTTAACGAACCTGAATCCAGACCCTACCCTTTGCCTGTCCAACTGCCAGGCATCCTTTACAACGTGAATAAACAATGTGAATTGATTTTTGGACCAGGTTCTCAGGTGTGCCCATATATGGTAAGTGTAGGAGGGCCACTTCTGCCCTCATCTACTGATTCTGCACTTCTTTTTATTCATAGTTTTCCATTGCATTCTAACTCGACTATAAACTACCCAAGGAAAAGCTGAGAGTAAAATTGCATATTAGTGATCATAATAATTATGAGGATGACACAACAGTACTGCTGCTCAGTGTTAAATAGTGCTTTACCTGCACTTTCTCATTTCATCCTCGTGACAGTCCAAAAGGAAGATGCCATCATCACTTTCATTTTACAAGTGAAAGTGAGGCTCAGAGGCAGCAAGGTTACGGAGTTGGGAATTACAGAGCTCAGCTTTTTTCTCTCCTTGTTGCCTTTAATGCCCTTCGACTTGTCCAGGTGACCTAAATTATAGGGACTCTTCTAGATTCAGAAGAGCTAATTCATGAGACAAACATGTTTCTGTGTTTTAGCTTGTCAAGGTAGCATCCTGTGACCACCTGGGGCTTGAAATCATTTCTGGTGGGGCCTCAGCTGGGGTGGCTGTGTGATAGTTTTGCTGCATGTGTTGTGGATGTTTGGGCCAGTGATAACATCTAGCAGTTATCCGGTTACAGATGAGCAGAGCTGTGTTTCTATGGGGTGGCCCATTCTGTCTCTTTGGGGTGGCGTATGTGTGTTTCTTTTGCTGGGAGTGTCTTCAGAGATTGCCTGGTGAATTGAGAAGTACAATAGTATTCCATGGAAATAATAACAAAATTTTGAGTAAACTTGATTCATGGCAATATTTGTTTTTGTGTTATTCATGATAGGAAAAATTAGGAGTCATTGAAATGCCAAGCAAAAGAAAGGTTAAACAAATTATAGGGTCTCCCTTTTATAGCAATTGAAAATGATCTACATCTGGGAACATGCTCCTGCTATAATTTTAAGTTAAGATAACAAGATAAACAATTTTATGAAGTATGATCTCAACTCTAAAAGGGGAGAAAAAGCTACAGAAAAGACTGGGTAGTTTGAAACTTTTTCTATTTAAAAAAATAAACTTTTAATACTTGTGCAACTTTTCTACTATAAGTGTGGTTTATTTTAATAATTAGGAAAGATAAAAAATCTTTTAAAATTGTGCCCTGAAATAGAGCTAAATATAGCAAATGGAATAGATCTAAAAAACAGAGTGTTTAGAGGAGGAAGAAAGCAAGTTGTAGGATATGTCAGTATGGTGCAGTTGTAAAGCTTAAATGCTGTCTATTACTGGAGATTTATATGCATTTGTAGTAAAAGTGTTGGAAATGATGAAGTGATGAACACTACTCAGGACTGTGGTCACTTCTGGTAGGAAAAGGAAGGGAAAGGAACCTAGGATGAGTACATAGGGCCTTCAGCTGTGTCTGTGAAGTTTTCTTTCCTTAGCTTGGTGGTGGGTACATGGGTATCCATTACCAGGGATAGAAATGTGTTTTATGGGCTGCTGTCTATATTTTAGCATTTATCATACCAAGAAAAGAATTTCCTTCCCCACTTACCCTATGTCATTGGTGAAACATTAGTTGAAAGCAAGCTTTGCTTTGTTTGATACTGCCAAATAAATCACTTGTCACTCAATTGCCATTTCATTGAATTGAGCAGATGCAGTGCAGACGGCTCTGGTGCAATAACGTCAATGGAGTACACAAAGGCTGCCGGACTCAGCACACACCCTGGGCCGATGGGACGGAGTGCGAGCCTGGAAAGGCAAGTAATGCCCTGTTCTGTCCTTCTGTCTTAGGGCAGAAATGTGCAAGATTTTGGGTGTATGATCAGACACCGATGTTTAGAATATAAGACAATGCAGTCTGTTTTAGCTTGCATAATATTTTTTAGAGGACAGATGTTTAGAAGTTAGACAATTAAAAATTGTGAAACTTAGATTATAGCATAATGCTGATACCAGAGAATATACCTATCATTATTGCTTCAATATTAAGACATTCTGTCAACTTAAGACTTTCTCTCATTTAAACATTTCTAAAATTACAGTGTGCCTATGGGAACATTTAATGCGAGATTGTGTTTCTTTTTCTTCTCTTTTGGGGATGGCACTGGAAAGCTATTGGTAAGTTGATGGAACAGTTTAGAATCAAGGAAATGTAGAAATATAGTACATCTATTGCAGGTACTACTATGATACCAGGCTTTTGCCAACCGGTGTTGTTCCCTTTAAGGAGCTATAATGTCATTCAGGATATATCCAAATCCAAGTTCTCGTGAGCTGGTTATAATTGTTCCTACTGATTTGTTAATAGATAAACAAAATCTGCTACTTTTGTGGCCCAATGGTAACAGTGTCTCATGCACCTAGGAGTATGATTAACTTAACCTTCTGTACCTAGTGTGCATCTAGAAAAATTGGTGACATGTTAGTGATACCATCATCAGCCCAAAAATTTGGTAACAAAAAGTTTTAGATATAAATCTTGATTTAAAAAAAAAATACACATGGAAATTGGCATTCTATCTGTAACTTACCAAGGATACAATCTCTGAATGATATTTCTGAGTGTTTTGTTATCCTTATATATATTTTTCCCTTTTTTCCCTCCTCTTTCCATTGTCCACTTTACTTACTTTTAATAATTTATTCTCATCTCATTTCCTTTTCCTCCGCTTTACCTTATAGAATTGGTAGCACCCAGAATGTTTCTGTGGAAGAAGTCCTAAGAGATGATGGAACTTAATTCCCTGTTCCCTGATCTTATAGACAAGAAACTTCTCAGTTTCTTGTCTCACAATGAGTAACTTGTCCACAGTCACTCAGATCATTTGGTGCAGCCCCTCCCCACCCTCATTTCCTCTACTGCTTTGTCTGAAGGGGCAGCAGGGCCTACTGGAGTGGCCCTAACTGAAGCTCACTGAGCTCCTATAGTTTCTGCTGGTCAAAGAGGAAGACTAGTGGTTTTTTCAGTGTTAAAGGATCCTGAGGATATGAAAGTTTAAAAATATAAAGTCCAATGCGAAAATAAAAACTTATAATGAAGATACTTTTGTATTTGACTTAAATTGGCAACAGAGTCAGCTCATGTTCTCATTTCTCTATGGCTGGGACCTCATCAACTGAGAATACAGCTTTCCTCAATAGCAACCTAACACAAAGTTTATACGGATACAAGCGTAATAGCTTCTAGAGCTTTCATTGGTTTAAAGGGAAATATATCTCTTTGGCCAAAGAGTGAATCTTTGCAAGACATGTTGAATCTTTGCAAGACATGTAACTTAGTGGATTGGTGGCCACAAAATCATATTTTGGTCAAAGAATCCATGGCAGCCATTAAAAATTGAATATGACACTCATTCTTACAAAATCAAGATGTGGCCTCAGAGTCCTTCTAAACACAAAGACCCAAACAACTGCTACCAGTTGGTAGGAGATGACAATAAACATGATACCTATTTGACAACTTGGTTAGTTGGCTTGGGTTAGAACCAGCCCATTATATTACTTAAATTGAATCTGTTTGATCTCAGTGAAATCACTGGTATTTAGTTGTGGTTCTTAACCTGATGGATCCACCCACTATGTCTATTTCTGACACATGTTATTGCTGCAAAAGAAACACAACAACGAAAAATTTTCAATCATGTGATGAAATGACTTGCATTTAGTAAAACTGTCATGAACGTGCTGTCAAGCTCCAGATAGCAGTATGGTTACCCAACCAATTCTGGAATGCAGAATAACTTGGAGGATGTCAATTATGTCTTTTCCCAATCTTCTGTTTTTGCAGAAGAGGAGGGATCGTAGGGTAATTTTCTATCTTCTGAGGGATGGGGAGCTTCGGGAGAGCTTTCAGCAGACCCTGCTCCTGCTAAACACAAGCAAGTGGGTGTGCTTGTAGCAAGAGCAGGAGCCTTCAAGGCATTCCCAAGGCAGGCTCAGGATGCTTTTGGAGAAGAACTGTGCAGAGAAAATGATAGATCCATTTTTAGTTGTTTTAGAAAAGTGGCCATGTCTAGCAGCTTTTATTAAAGATGTGGATATATATAAATATCCTGAAGAGTATTTACACATTCTAGAAATGCCAAAGAAGGTGAATATATTGGCATAGAAATTCTCTGAGTGTTTTGCTTTGTTTCTTTTTCATAGAGTTGCCAGTATGTGCCTTTTCTCTATATGCTAGCACATTCTGCCTCCCTTGGCTGCTGGGTTAATGTTTTTTCTTTCTTTTTCTTCTTTCTGTTCTGCTCCTGCAGCAGTAATCTGTCTTGGGCTGCTGACACAATGTTATTTTGATGAATGACTCACTAATGTCTCTTTATTTTCTCCACTCTCTTAAGTCCATTAGCATTTTCCTTTTAAACTTATTTGTGAGTCTGAGGTTTGAAACTCTTTTGTTTCAAGTTTCATTTGGACAAAATCAACCTCCAAGTCCCCATTCCAACCTCTTAAAAAGATACATTTCTATAAAATATTATTTAAATGGTTTTGGACATTTTAAATAAAGGCTGACTTTATTTTGGCTCTTATTTCACCAGCCACTTAATGTTTTGTTATAATGTAATAGTAATTTTGCTATGTGATTATTATTTGTAGAATTTGCCTGGTAAAATAGATTATCTTGGTGCATGTTTCCCAAACAGACCCCCTTCCCAGCATCTGTCATATCAGACACTTTTCATATTCCTCTGAAGTTCTTCCTTTCTTTTGGACACCTGTCAATGGTCATATTACTGAGAAATATTTAATTTCCATATCAGTTTTGAATTAGAAGTTTTCTTTTAAAAAGCAACTATGAGGACATTTGAGTGCAGTGCTAGATGGTAGCGCTCTGATAAACCTACCCCCTTGTTTTGTTCCAATGTTTATAGTAATGCTTAATGAGAAGAGTGGTCATTTGGAATTTGCTCTTGTGTGGAAGTAAAATCTATAGAATAAAGAGATCCAGAAACTGAAGTCTGAAGTGTTAAGAGGGAAAAAATGTATTTCCAGAAAACTCCTTAATTTTGTCCTCAAGGTACAAAATGGCTGTGGTTGCTCCAGCCATGGAGTCTGACTTCCCCGCAGAATGAAGCCAAAGAGTTCAAAGGGCCTCTTCAGGAATCCTACCCAGTGAATTCTGCTTACATCTCTCTGACCACCTCTATCCGTAGGGAAACTTTGGAAAATATAGGTTCTATTGCCAAGATAAAGGGGAGGATGGATATTGAGTGAATAATCTGGAGTCTCAGTCTTACCTAGCCATCTCATTAATCTTACTTTTGGTGAAAACTTCAGTCCTTATTTAGATGTCGGAAATTGTCCCCTTTGCTCACAGTTAAGAGGCAGCATGTGTCCCAGTTAAGAGTATGCACTGTTAAGTCTTGTCTATATTTCAGTACCATTCCTGCCTCTTTGTGATGTTTGGCATCAACTCCTCTGTCCCTTCATTTTCTTTTCGTAAAAATGGAAGTAATAATAGTACCTACTTCGTAGTGTGTTGTGAGGACTAAGTTTGTATATATAATGCTTAGAACAGTGCCTGACAAATATTAAGTGCAGTGTACATGTTTGCCATTATCATTGCCACTGTTATTTAAGTGGGGTCCCCCATGTGCTAAGTTGTATACTAAGTATGTTACATACTTTGTCCCATGTTATACTCCAAATAATTTTGGCCAGTAGGTCCCCATTTTTTGATTGTGGAAACAGACTTTAAGGACTCACCCAAGGCCACAGAGTTATTTTGTAAAAGAGTTACCAGTCCCAGTGAGACCTGTTGTATTTTGTTAAGTTTTGTCTGTCTAGACCTGCTGTGTCCAATATGGTGGCCACCAGCCACGTGTGGCTATGTTAAAATGTCGACATGAACTGAGATGTGCTTAGGTATAAAATACATCCCAGGATTTGAAGACTTAGTATGAAAAAAAAAAAGCATTAAAAAATCTAATTAGTAGGCCAGGTGTGTTGGCTCATGCCTGTAATCCCAGCAGTTTGGGAGGCCAAGGAGGGCAGATTGCTTGAGTCTAGGAGTTTGAGATTAGCCTGGGCAACATACTAAGACCCCCACCCCTAACTGTCTCTATAAAAGATAAAAAAATTTAGCTGAGCATGGTGGCATACACCTGTGGTCCCAGCTACTTGGGAGGCTGAGGTGGGAGGATCAGTTGAGCCTGGGACGTTGAGGCTGCAGTGAGCCATGATTGCACCACTGCACTCCAGCCTGGGTGAGAGAGGAAGACTCTGTCTCAAAAAAAAAAAAAAAAAAAAAAAAATTATTGAGTAATGTTATGTTGACTACATGTAGAAATAACAATGTGTTAGATAGATTGGGCTAAATATATTAAAATTAATTTAAGTTTTTTATTAGTTTTTTATGTGACTTTAGAAATTCTTAAATTATATATGTGGTTCATGTTCTGTGTCTACTGGACAGAGGTACTCTAGACAAAGCCGTCCATCTGTTCATTTATTTTTATATGTATATTTTCTAAGAAATGTTCACAACCACTGTAAAGACAAATATGAAGTGATTTCCAGAGAGCGACGTAGTCCCCACTGCCTCAGTGCGCATTTCATGGGTCCTGAGTCACCCAGGGTTCAGATGCAGAACATCTTAAGCCTCAGCCAAACAGCCCAGGGAAAGGGACGTGCCCTCAGATACTGTAAGAGGATAATTACAAGGGAGGAGGCCAGGCAGACTGGAGAAAGCTTAATTGCACTGTTTAAATAATTGTTTACCAAGCCTTGTGTGGGGGTGGGGCCTGCTATTCCCACTGAGACCTTCACCTACCTCTTCTTTTTCCACCTTCCCTGCATACTGCCCCACCCCCTGGCCTTCAGACCTCTCTGCCTCTCCCCTCTTGGTGGCTGTGTCCTCCCTGGGGATAAATCACGACAGTCGCCACCAGCTCCGCTTCAGAGATCTGAGCGAGCCGCGGGGCGTCACCCTCCTGTGGCCACTGCCGCCACTTTTCCTTTGTCCACTGCTCAGTGACCTCGGCTTTGTGTCAGGGCTTCACACCCCAACAATGGCAGAGGGTCGGAATGGCTTCTCTCCTCCCTTGTCCTGCTGAGGAGTTTTATTTTGTTTTATTATTATTTTTTAAACGTCATGGCCTTCTTCCTGCTCCAGGCTGGAGAATCTGAAACCGCTAGTAACAAACAAGTCATAAAGTTTAGGGCTCTCTGTAGTGTGTCCGTTTTGCTTTCGTCTCATCCTGACGCTTTCCTGGAGTGTGTTTATAAGAATCATGTAACTCGCTTTTTTTTTCCCCCCTCTCCAATATAATTAAAATTGGGAGCAATAAAGCATTATAGTTTACCAGACTTGTAACTTCTCTAGGCCTTGTTGATGGAAATTCACTATGCAAATCTTATAACTCATTTTGGCCCTGTCTATAACCACCCTTCCCATTTCCACTCCTGGTTTTTCCAAGTAAACTAATTGAGTGGTTTGAAGCTTGCCATTGGAGTTACCCTGTCAGCCTGGAGCCAGTCACTGGCCAGTTTTATTCAAGCAAGCTGTAAAGGAAGACCCAGCCTAAAATCACTAAGTGTGAGATTAAAATCCCTATAGCTTCCATTATTCATATAGATGATGAACCTGCAGCATTTCAAACCCACACATGGAAAAGAATTACAGTATGGTGTGTTTAAAAGGACAGCCAGTCCTGTAACAACTCACAGCGCCAAGTCTCCCTCACTATTCCCCTTATTAAATACAGCACTGCAAGTATGGATTTTGTGTTCCCAAAGAAATGGATGTCCCCGTGACAGATGGATCCTGGGGAAGTTGGAGTCCCTTTGGAACCTGCTCCAGAACATGTGGAGGGGGCATCAAAACAGCCATTCGAGAGTGCAACAGACCAGAGTAAGTCCTAGAATGTATAACTGTTATTACTGCCGTGGCAGGAACATGAAATTCCTAAAGGGAATAATTTGGTGGGTGAAGAGTACATTCCAACTTAGAGAGCTAGAAAGAACGTAAACTTCAAGGGCTGCTTAGACCCACGGTACCCAAAGTCTATTCCCAGGCACTTCCCCCTGTATTATTGTTTACTCTCAAGATCCTTTGTTATTCAAAGTTTTATCTACCAAACAGGTGATGGTTTTGTGGTCGGTCTGTTTCCTAGTGTTGACAATCAGGCAGGTCTCACTCTCCCTGCTACACTCAGAGCTTAACAATGAGAACCCACGGACACAGGAAGGGGAACATCACACTCTGGGGACTGTTGTGGGGTGGGGGGCGGGGGGAGGGATAGCATTAGGAGATATACCTAATGCTAAATGACGAGTTAATGGGTGCAGCACACCAGCATGGCACATGTATACATATGTAACTAACCTGCACATTGTGCACGTGTACCCTAAAACTTAAAGTATAGTAATAATAAAAAATAAAAATAAAAAAACAACAAAAAAGCAAAAACAAAACAAAACAAAACAAAAAAAAAGCAGGCAAAAAAAAAAAAGATAGCACACTAATGGAGTGACTAGATAGATTTTCACATGGAAACAAAAAAATTGGACATTTTCATCCAGTTTGTAGACTAATATATTCCTTCTAGTTAGACCTCAAGGGACCTGGGACCCCAAATCAAGAATTACTTTTTATTTTTTTTCTTTTTTTCCCACCAATAATGTGTTCTGTGATAAGGAATTACTTTTTTAATCAATCTAGTTGTATTACAGGTGAGACAGCTGAGGTCCCCATCCCACAACCTGACATTTTACAGATTGGGAGTCTCTTGCCTTTCAGAATAATTCTCATTGTGTGACCATGGCAACCTCTACCAGCCTAACCTTGTTAGGACTGACATGTTTAAATAAAGTCCATGGACTTTTTTCCCAGCATTTGTCATAGCAGACATGGGCGGGGTGGAGGGTGGGGGAAGGTTGTTTATAGATAATAAATTGCTATCTTCATTATAAAAAATGACATCCAATTTTACATGGATCTAAGACATACATAGTTGAAAAGGAATAGAAAATAATAGGTAAGTAAAAGTAAGTAATAGTTTGTATGGCACTTCCTCAGACTTGCCATGGAACCTATTTAGGCTGGGAACCAAGAAGTCTATAGGAACAATTTTTTGATGTAAAAACCAACAACCATTTTTAAGACCCCAGCTGCTTTGGGATTTTGTAAAATGATTTCCCCTAGCAGTCTCATTTATTTTTAATAGCTTAGATCACGGATAGCAAACTCTATTGTACTGAGAAGCAAACAGGTGAAGTAAAGGAACTAAGTAGGCTGGGGTAATACAATAGTTGTATTGTAGAGACCAAGTGCAGGGCACTACTCAGGTCTGGCTGATTGTTCGGCAGTGAGAAAAGAGTCTAATATTGGCAAAGCTTCCGAATCTTTTCTATGAAAAATCTGAATTGTGTGAATCAAAAAGAATATAGCTGTAGGCAACTGGTTTGCAAGCCCTGGTCTCAGTACTCTGTACTACAAATCACAGATGATGATTAATTAAGTTATTTTTGTTCATAACCCAACCTTATTTCATGTCCATGTAGTGGTCAATAAGGAAGATAACTAAAGGGCTGTGAGATACAGACTCTGTTCCATAAAACTAACACTGTAGCTATGGATAAAAATGAATAAGCCTTAGATTTTCTATATAGCCTATATTTTGAATTAGTTTTTTAAATATTAGTATAAATATAGATCATGCTTCAAAAAATTCAGACACAAACATATAGAATATTTTAGAAGTTGTCACACTATTCCTACTTCCTGCCTACTCCCCATGAGAAATAATCACTGAAAAGTAATTCAGTGTGTGTCATTTCAGACTTTTCAGATTGTGGATGTAAATACATATTATATGAAATAAGTACCACATAATATAAAATAAGTATCATATAATATAAAAGAAGGCTGGTACTGCTTTTTAAACTCAGCTATGCATCCTTGTTGCTTGTATTGTTGAAGCTTTAAAAGAAAACCTTGTATCGTAACAACTAATATGATGAATTTTTTACATATTAAAAACTATTTGGTGGCTACATTGAGCAAAGTTATTAGTTTATAGTAAATGCTATCATGAGGGTATGGATATTGCAAACAGTGACCACTTTATAAGCACTTTAAACATTTTTGACTCAAGGATATTCCATTCAAAAGAAGTGTTTGGCCTTTTTTAAAATAATACTTTGTTAAGTCTTGAGCAATTCTAGAAGTAATGTGAAAAGTGGAGAGAGATAAATCACTCCGTAATTGGAATGGGCTAGACAAAGAAAATCACCCAGTGTAAAGATCTCAGCAGAAAAGGATCTTGAGCTTCAAAGTGCAACAAAGATCCTCACATTCAGAAGTTAAGAACCGATCATTAAAGACCTCAATTAGAGGTCCTTGTCCCTGCTGTTTGCTATGGGAGGTTTTTTTTTTTTTTTTTTTAAAAAAAAAAAAAAAAAAACAATCCACCTAGTTGAGTGTCAGCACTGACATCATTTCATTAAAACTCCTCCAAGTTATTTGCACTTTAGGATGTCCCTGTTAATTGAGGAAGGAGACTGCCTCTGAATACGGAGGTTACAATGGCTCTGGGGGAGTCAATTTGAAAAGAGAAAGGAACACAGAAAAGGGAAAATCAGATCCAAATCTCAGTTTAAAAGCTTGTTCAGAGAAATTCACAGAGCAGATGGTTCATTATGTAGAACGTAGAAGTGGTTGCTGTCATGCTTCTCAAGGAGTTTGAGGGGAACAGCTGCCCCCCTCACTGGGAATATGCCTTTTGTCAGTTCGACGAGCCCTTACAATATAATGGAGAGCTCTGTTTTTAGAATCCAAGGTACAAGGTATGTCTCTATTAAGGACACTGGATTTTTTTTTTCTTTTTTCACAATATTTATCTGATTCAAGAGTGTATTTATTTAGCATCCAGAGACTTTATAGTATATTCTTAAGAGTTTTTTTCCCCCTGAAAGCGTAAAAGCCAAAAAAGATAAGTAGCCTTGCCGTGTACATGAGATTATGCTCTACTCCATGAACAAGCTGTAGAGACCATACGCTTTCTAATTTTGGTCACAAGATATTTTGGTCTCAACTGGTATATATGGTGTTACAGGTGGGGCCCTCATATTTTGTCTTTAAGTGCTTTATTTTTTTAATCTCAATTTTGATCCATGCCCTACAGATAAGATGATCATAGTTCTGGTTTACAAGGACAGTCCCTTGTTCTATCTGTTGCCCTGAAGGAATTATTAATAGCTCCCATTTTCACTCTCAGAACGTTCTTGATTGGGCAATTAATTACACGGTCACCCAGCCTATAAGACGTGTGTAATAGAGTAAAATTTAAAATCAGAACCTCCAAAACATAGCTTAACAGTACCAAAACCAGACTGAGCTTTGGAACTAGAAGATGTATTTTCAGGCTTTTGGGCCCTATACTTGTTTTGTGCTCAAAATTTGGCTCAGAGCTTCCTTGTGGCTGAAACAAAATGGTACGTAGAATTGTTACAGTCCATCAAAAACAAAAATCGTGTCAGTTCCTTAGGAAAGACACAGCATTTTCTTTTTCCAGTGCTTCTATTTTACTTTTAAATTAGGAGATAGGTTAAAATTTAAAAATAATAAACTCATAGATTTGAGGGTTAAAAGGATTATGAACTAGATATTTCCCCCTTAGGCTCTCTCCATAGCAACTGGTTATGAAATCTTACTTTAAAAACATATTTAAGACATATGTCTATTTCATCCAAAAAAATGAATTTCTCATTTGGCTGTAAGGAATTACAGCAAGGCTTTTTCTGAGGCACTCAGTTTGGATGAAGTTGTTTCGAAATGTTGAGAATTGGTTACTGTGGAAGAGCCATTAACTAATGAATAAGTAAAAGAATCCAGTTTCATAGACTGCCCCATTTGGAAAGATCATTAAAGATGGGCTGGTACAGCTCCCACCCCATCCCATCTAATCTTTGAATAGCCTTTCAGCATTCTTCATAATTGGCCATCAGGCCCCTTCTTAAAAACCTCCAGGCACAGGAATTACACTACCTTCTGGGGCTGCCTGTTGTATCTTTAGAAATGTCTTGTGCCAACCCTAAATCTGACTACCCTAATTCATCGTACCTAAACGTAGAAGTTGATTTCTGTTCAAACCCTTTTGCAGACCAAAGTTTAGCTTTCCTTGAGGATAGACTGTACCTGTGATGACCTCTGCAAAAATTTCTTTATAGCTTTGGTCATGCATCATCTTGAATTTCCTTTCTATGTATTAACAGGCATGGCTGTGTAATATGTGCTTGAAAGAAAGATCCAATTTGGCTGTGCAGAATAGTAATTACTCTAGCAATTTCCTTAAACCCTCCCTATCCCTATTTGACATGCAATATTTTAAAAGGATCTTAATAGTTGGGAAGTGTGGCTACTATTTTTTAAAGCTATGTTTCCTATTATTTTCAATATTTGCCTACTAGAAAAAATACTCCTATTCAGCTAAATAATTAAATTATAAAATGATTTTTTTCCATGCTGAAAGATGAGTTTGGTTGGCTGAAGCTTTCTCTATTACATAGTCCATGTAAATCAGGCAGCAATCTGGGAGAGAGGAAACATATGTAGTTCAGAAGGCCAATTTATATTTGTTAAAGTCATGTCAATAATTAAGGAAGAAATTGTAACCTGCCTTTACATAAAAGCAAATCAACTTGCAGACCAACTTTTGATATGGAAAGAGGCCTGTCTCAAGGGAGACAGCCTGGAAGAGAGGCCAGGTCTTGAGCTTCTGGTCAGGGAGAGTTGGGTTGGGCTCCCCTCTCAGCAAAGTCAGTGACAGAATTTGGAACGTAGGACAGTGACACAAGAATAGTCCAGGGATCAGGAAACCTTTTCCATCAGGGCCAAATAGTAAATACTTTAGGCTTTGAGGTTTATGTGGTCTCCATCACAATTACTCAACCTTACTGATATACGAAGAAACAAACAGACAATGTGGGTGTGGCTGTGTTCCAATAAATCTTTATTTATGGACACTGAAATTTGAATTTCCCATAGTTCACATGTGTCCCAAAATCTTCTTCTTTGTAAAAATTTTTTTCAATTACTTTAAAATTTAAAACTTATTCTTAGCTCACAAACCATGCAAAAATCAATGGCGGGCTGGGTTTGGCCCACAGGATGGTAGTTTGCCAAATCTTGTAATAGCTAAACTTTTATTAATCACTTACTGTGAGCCACACTTTGTGCAAGTGCTTTGAATGTATTAATCTAGTTAACCCTCACTACAGCTTTATGAAATAGATATTAGTATCATCTCCCTTTTACAGATAAGCAAACGGAGGCTTGGCAAGATTAAGCAACTCGCCTAATATTGCATCATTATTAAGAGGCATAGCTGGGATTCAAACCCTCTGTTTCCAGAGTCCATGTTTCTAACCATAAGGAGTATTGCCTCTCACATACAGTATTTTTTGTGTGTTTATAAAAAATGTTTTTTATAAAAATAAATCCCAAAATACTACTTGCCATGTTATAGTGGTCAAAGCAAGCAAAGGTGGAAACTGTTACCATCTGAAGGGAAGCCACCTATAAATAATAACTATTTGCAGTCCGAAGAACTGCTGCATTTGATAAATTTCAAGAATCAGCTAAGACGTGTCATATAAGAGAACAAAAAAAATCAATTTAAAAAACTTTATGTTCAAAGGGAAAGAAGTATGAGTTACTTTCAGGCAATAAATAAATGATTGATCCACCATAGTCAGCTGGGACATCTAAAAAGATTCCAGAAAGATAATTTCAACTGGAGGAAAAATTGAAGGGGGTCTTCCTTGTAGCACATTTGAAACAAGTTTTACCTGAGCAGGTATACAGTCCTGATCTATTATTCATGGGTCATCTGTGATATTTTATGCATGAGACTGGGGTGCCTTGGTACTGAGAAAAGGGCTTGGATCTAGGAAACCCATTCTGCATCTCTAAATGGCACCAAAAAAGAAAAGAAAAAAAAAGACTCTGAAACACAGCATATGGATAATGTAGCAGACGTGCACAGAGAAGAGTCTGGGAGACTTGGATTCCAGTCCTGACTCTGCTCCTTTGTTAGCTGTGTGACCTTTGGGCAAAGTACTTCTCTAAACGTCCTGTCACTTGGTATAAAAGCACCTCATCTTCCCTAGCCTTGGACAAGATATGAAGGAGATTTCCCAGTTTGAATGAATAGTGCAGATATACAGTATATGGGCTTAATTGTGCTTAATGCAGAAACAGACAGACGTAGACACGACTGTGTTATGTGCCATTTTACATCCCTAGATGCAGTCTTCCTTATGATAAATAATGGTGAATGTTGATCAGACTTCTTGCTAAGTTCCTCAGAGTCACAACAAGCCTTTTAAGTACACAGCATCGTCTCTGTTTTACATGTGAAGATAGAGCCCAGGAAGGTGAGACAGCTTACACAAAGTCACCCTCCCCAGCTTGTAACTGCAAAGCTGGTGCTCTTACTTCATGTTGCAAATCTTTGATCGAGCAAGTACGTTTATAACAGTATCAGGACAAGCTTCTCTAGGAGGGCCTTTGTGGGACCTGGGCACGCTGCAGGAGCACTGAGTCCTGCCTCGGTGCTCAGAGTGGGTGCTCAAGCCAACTGCAGAATTGGATCAGATTAGATTGGGCAGTGTTGACATGAAGTATCATAGTAGGTAACATTTTATGGCATCTACTATGTGCACTTATTGTAAAGAAGGGGAAAAATTGAAGCTCAGGAAGACTGAGAACTTAGTCTAGGGCCACACAGTGAGGATAGGGCCAGATTGGAACCAAGATCCAACTCTAGAGCTCTTTCTACCTCTCATTCTATATTTCGTGAGCAGGGATATATTTCTCATTCCCCAAAACTCCTGTTTGAAACAAAGCAGCCAAAAACCCATTTTTTATAGTCCAGATTACTCTGAAAGATTCATTCTAAAGGAAAAAGGGTGAAAAATGTCCTTTCAGTTGCAGGGTTGTCCTAGGGCAGTTGTGAAACCCGAGCTGTTTCAGCCCTGGGTGAGTGAGCCCCAACGTCCTACGATTCTGTGATCTTCCTGTTTCCATGATGAATTTGGCATGCTGCTGACTGCTGGTAGATGTGTTGTATAATTTACTCTCTGGATCACATCTGGAATATACATGCACAGGGTTGCATGCGGAGATTAAATTTGCACTGTGATGCTTTGCAAGGCGTATGCCATACACTCGTCACACAAAAGCTAATGAAACCAGTATGCTCTTTCCTGCTTCTCCTCTTAAGTTAGTCAAAATATGAACACATTCCCATTATTCCATTTTATTTGTGAAACAAAAAAGCAAAAACAATGGTTGTCTGGAGAGAGGGAGTAGAGGGACAGAATGAATGGAGGTGTGAGGGAACAAGTTTATGATGGTCTCCTGTGAATATGTCAAGGTACAAAAGGAAGATAGGGAGCATTCCAAACTACTCTTGGGTACCTTTCACCTTCTACATTTTAAACATTGAAGCACCATGAATGTTGGGAAGAAAAGGAACAAAAAGTGGCCTAATAGATTCAGATTCAGGCTTCGCATCTCATATTTTAAGCTATACATTCTAACATTTATTCTCACAACAGCCTACAAGATAGCTACATCCCATTTTGCAAATATAAGGGAAGATTGCGGAGGCCAAGTGACTTACCCAAGGTTATACACATCATGGTATTGAAGGCAGGATGCAAAACCAGGGATCAGAGCTCTTGCCCATTCCTCTGTCATTTGCCACCCTAGATTTACTTCTCTAGAAGACAGGAAGTCATGAATGAAGGAGTGATGTTCAGAGGAATACATGATAATACAGTGTGTGTGCTCTTCACATTTTTTCTTTTTCAGACCAAAAAATGGTGGAAAATACTGTGTAGGACGTAGAATGAAATTTAAGTCCTGCAACACGGAGCCATGTCTCAAGCAGAAGCGAGACTTCCGAGATGAACAGTGTGCTCACTTTGACGGGAAGCATTTTAACATCAACGGTCTGCTTCCCAATGTGCGCTGGGTCCCTAAATACAGTGGAAGTAAGTGTGTCTGGTGTATCTGTTCACCGTTGGCCGGCCGGCACTGAGGCCAGGCACAAAAGTCAAGTTGTATTGTTTCTCCTCTCTAGTTCTGATGAAGGACCGGTGCAAGTTGTTCTGCAGAGTGGCAGGGAACACAGCCTACTATCAGCTTCGAGACAGAGTGATAGATGGAACTCCTTGTGGCCAGGACACAAATGATATCTGTGTCCAGGGCCTTTGCCGGGTAAGTCCTTGATGGTGTTTTCTTCACTGTGTTTTCCCGCTGCCAACCTGTGATTTGTGGCTTCCTAGATAGAATAGCAACTGCTAGTATCTGTGCACTGTTGCCAGGGCAGTGGTTCTCAAAGTGTGGCCCCGGGATCAGCAACAGCATCAATATCACTTTTTTCTGATGCGTGTAGTGCCAAAGTTTGGGAGCCGTTGCCCTGGATTTTTCTTGACATTTTCAGTCTCTGTGGGGGTCTTGCACAAAACCTCTCCTTAAAAATTTATTGTAACAATTTACACCCACACTCCTTTGCTATAAACTCAGTGCTTAAGCAAATGCTTCCCAAATGCTTCCTGACAGCAAATTTTTTAGATTGAATAGCTGAGGGTGAGAAATATGTCAGGAAGAAGAGCTGGCCTCACTCAAGTTTCTCTTTGCATTTTTAACCACGATCATTTTTACCTGAGACATTCCTGTTAATTAATTATTCTTGAAAGGGAAATTGAGAAACTTCTGGGAAACAGCAAAGCATCAGAGCAGTGATTTCTCAGGGGCTAGATACCATTTCAACGTTCTCGTTAGTCAAAAATTATTCCTAACCCGGTTGGGCTCTGAGATGATGCCTCTGGTTGTTTTTTTTGTTTGTTTTTTTTTTTTTGCCTGTGGTCCAAAGGCATATTGGAGTTCCTGGTTGGAAGGATTTGATTGAAAGAGCCCCTAAGGGCATCACCCACTGACTAATAGCTTATACTGCAGATTTCCTTGTCTGTCCATTTCACAGCAACACATTGAGTTTTTCCTCAAAGATTAGTTCACACAAATGAACAAAACGGACAAGAATGTGGACTCTCTTCTTCTGGTCTTCTGGTCATTGTCAGTGTATGTTTCAGAGTTCAGTGTACATGGCTGCATTGTGTTAATATGAGGAGAAATTCAGCAGGCCACTCGATGGAGCCTCAGGCCTCAAAATGGAGGCCCATGGTCATACTTTGGCTGGCATTCATAGCCAATATTTAAACGTATGGGATTTTACATAAAGTCAATTTTTCCAGCTTCTTTGGAAAATTGGGAAAAAATGTCAACACAGGGCTCCCATTCCCTCATGGCAGCAATAGTCTGGAGTGGACAGCAGCTACTCCCTTAAGATGGGGCATGAGCTCTTTAATTAGATACAGTTCTTACCTATTCCCTTTTTTTTTCATTCCTAAGCAATTTTTTAAAAAATTACTGTGCTTACTTACAGACTAGTGCTTTTCAAACTTTTATCTGTAGATGAAGCACCTGAGGAATCCTATTAAAATGCCAACTCTGATCCAGTAGATCTGGGTGGGTCCTGAAATTCTGCATTCCTGACCACATCAAAGGTGCCCATGGCTGCTGGTCCAAGGACCACATTTTAAATAGCAAGGCAGTATATAATTTCAGTTTTCAACCTTTCCAAGTTTTAAAGGACTTGACTTTCTTGTCATTTTTAGTGCACACGATTAAAAGAAACACATTATTTGCCATTTTATAATCTCTATAATGCTTACATTTATTTCAAATCTTTTCTTTTTAAAAGCAAGCTGGATGCGATCATGTTTTAAACTCAAAAGCCCGGAGAGATAAATGTGGGGTTTGTGGTGGCGATAATTCTTCATGCAAAACAGTGGCAGGAACATTTAATACAGTACATTATGGTAAGAATCTGCTCCTAAGAACCATGAGAAGGAATATGGTCAAAGTTTGAAAATTGTTAACCACATGTAATATGCAAAAATATTAATGTCGAGCATAAAAATCAGTCTCGTTATGGTGGATTATCCATCGACTAGAAGGCACCTAATAGAATTATATGAGAATTATATTCTATTCCTTTGTTGTCCACTTTTTATTCCATACTTAGAGAAAGTGAACCATTCTGTGGAGTACTGAATTTCTGCTAAATTCTTTTCAGGTTACAATACTGTGGTCCGAATTCCAGCTGGTGCTACCAATATTGATGTGCGGCAGCACAGTTTCTCAGGGGAAACAGACGATGACAACTACTTAGGTGAGATGGGATGCCTCACTACTTGCGAGTTCTGGTTCTATGGAGCAGTGGCCAGATACTGCTTCCTTCCTTCTCTGGCATGCAGAGGCAGAGCTTTCAGATGTCATGGATTTTCATAAAATAAGTGGCTCTCAAAATTCACCATTGTATTTCTCCCTCATACATACGCCCTCAGAGTATTGATTGAAAAGTTGTGTAGCTGCACTATTTGATATCAAGGGATTTACTCTGGATCTTAAAAAATAGAAAGGCCCCAAGTCAAATTTTGAAAGTACTTATCCTCTAAGTTTAGCATAAAATCCTTGCTCTCATTGAGTCTTTTCAAAAAGCTGTCCTGTGGGGAACTGACTTGCAAATATTTTATTAGAAGCATTACTTGACTTAATTTTTATGTTATCAGCTCTAACCAGTAGCAGACCACTGGTAGACTTATTCAGTATTTCATTATGCCTGTTCGTTGCAAAAGTTTCTATGGTGACACGTATTTTTCTCAAGTCATTACTAGAATAGCAATACTATACAGATTTTTTATCCTCTTCTCACTGAACTGAGGTGCATGATTAATTCATATCTATTCCTTATATTTAAACCACAACATGCCGATGACCCTGTGTTGATTTTCAACAGTTTGCTCAGCCCAGTCCCATCTTATTTTATTATTTTTTTATTTTTTAACTTAAAGTTCTGGAGTACATGTTCAAGATGTGCGGGTTTGTTACATAGGTAAACGTGTGCCATGGTGATTTGCTGTACCTGTCAACCCCTCACCTAGGTATTAAGCCCAGCATGCATTAGCTATTTTTCCTGATGCTCTCCCTTGCCCACACATCCTGCATCCCACAAGCCCCATTGTGTGTTGTTCCCTTCCCTGTATTTTTGGGACAGGGTCTCACTCTGTCACCGAGGCTGGAGTGCAGTGGTGTGATCACAGCTCACTGCATCTTCAACCTCCCAGGCTCAAGTGATCCTCCCACCTCAGCCTGAGTAGCTGGGACTATAGGCACTCACCACTATGCACAGCTAGTTGTTTTTTATTTATTTTTATTTCTTATTTATAGAGATGATGTCTCACTATGTTGCCCAGGCTGGGCTTGAACTCCTGGCCTCAAGCGATCTTCCTGCCTTGGCCTCCCAAAGTGCTGAGATTCCAGGCATGAGCCACCATGCCCAGCCCAGTCTCACTGTAATTTGTTTTTCTGTAAATTGCTGTAAGTGATTGTGAAATTTGCCTAATTGCCATTTAAAAGAAAGAGGACATGGAGAGTAGAGTCATGACTGAAAGGGATTTAACTGATCACCTTACACAAAACTCTTCCCAGCCGCATGGCTTACACTCAGATCTAGAATAAATTAGAGCTGTCTTGCTGGGCAGTCAATCTTAAAAAGCAATAATGTACTTTCTTTATTGTAATATCCAGGCAGGAACTCTATTTATTCATCTGAATTCAACCTGTATAGAGGCCCTTAATCTAAGCATTTGGACATATTCAGCTGGTAAATGAGTATTTGTTGAACTGAATTAAAGTCTATATCTCTGTTTTGGAATGTCTACATGAAGCTGCATAGATAGACAGTGAGCCTTCAGCTAAGCATGCTAATCAAGTATGATATTTATACATGACTCCATTATGGCATTTGCTATCACTATTCATTCAGTCACTCACTCACTTATTTAATATGTGCCAGGCACTGTTCTAGGCACAATGAACAAAACAGATAAAAAAAAATTTGTGTCTTCTTGGACGTTACTTTTTAGTGGGACAATAAACAATAGGCAATAAACAGTAACCTGATAGATAAGAAAACTCCATAGTGTTATAGTGATAAGTGCTGCTAGAAATCAGAGCAGCCTAAGGCAAATCGGGATACCAAGGGTGAGATGTGGACAGTAGAGTTGAAATGTTTGAATCATAGAGCAAGATAATAAGCTATTTAGGGGAAGAGCATTCCAGGCAGAGGGAATAGCCATTGCAAAGTCCTTGAAGTAGGGAAGACGGAGGCAGTATGGCTGTTGCCAAGTGAGCACAGAGGACACTCCTAGGTAAGGTTAAACAAGACTAGGTCATACACGACCATATAACCATTTTAAGAACTTTGGCTTGGACTCAGAGACATCAGGAGCCACTGGAGGTTTTGAGCTGAGGAATGACGTCTTACTGCATTTATGTTTTTAAAGGAGCACTCTGGCTGGTACATTGAGAAGAGATGGTGGGGGAAGTGTGTACAGGACAGAAGCGGTGCCATTGATTAGGAAATCATTGCAGTAATCCAGGAGGGAGATGCTGGTGGCTTGGCCCCAATGGGAGCAGTGAAAGTGGCAGTATGTAGTTAGATTCTGGATATCTTTTGAAGTTGGAACCAATATGACTTGTTGATGGATTGAACATAGTGTGTGAGTTAAAGGTACAAAGGAGTTAAAAGTACACAAGACTAAAGGTACAAAGGAATCTCAAAACTCCAAGGTCAAAACCTGAGCAATGGGAAGGATGGAGTTGTCATCAACTGAGATGACAAGACTAGTTACATATTTATTATACGACCACTAGTGTTTTAAAGTTAGGGCAGGGTCTTTACATCTTCAGCTACTGATATGAAGCCTACATATGATTGGTACAAAGCAGATGATTGCTGAATTGTTGAACAGCCGTTGTCAATGCTGTCTTTAATGACTACCTACTGTGCACTTAATGGAGAATGGGGTTAGCTTGAAAATGTACATTCACCTCTTCTTTCAAGGGCCGTAAAGCCTTACTTGGAATTAATTACTCAATCACTACATCAGCTTTTCACTACCCCAAACATCCAAATGAGTGACAACTTTATAAGACAATTAACAAAGTTCTTGGAGGACTGTTTACAAATTATTTTGGGGGGGGAATCCATTTCTCCTTGCACAGCTGCAGAATGGGGCAAGTATTTTTCTTTGTACACTTGGTTATAAATTTGAGCATGTGGCTGCAGTGTCCTTACTACTTCCTAATTAAATGAAACAGCATTGCATGCAGCCTGCTTTATAAATTAATTTCCTGAGACCTGAAGGCCATGTTGAGTTGCTCCTTTCTTCTCTTCGAAAGAGAGAAGGATTCTCTGCTATTCTTCCCTTTCTTGGAAAAACAATCTCCCTCCAAGTAGTGGCCTCAATTCAAGTCAACTTAATCAATGCACATCAAGCACCTGAATTCAGGGAGGGCCTCCTGATAACCTTTTATTATTCAGTGGAGGTTTCTTAATCTCCTTGTAAAGAATGAAAACAAAATTAAGGAAGATTTGTCATCTGGCACAGGCAATCTGAGCCAGTTATGACACTTTAACGGAATAGAATGGGAAAGTCACCTGTTGGCATAAGGAAGTCTCTCTAGAAGCAAATGAAAAGTGTGCAAGCCTACATTGCAAGTCACAGTCCACTGAGTGTGAAAGTCGAGACCTCAGAGCCTTTGAACCTCACGGTGGTTACTCAACAAGTTAGGAAGAATTTGATGTTGTCATCAAGTCTGGCATATGTAAATATTTACTCTTGGCTTGATGGAAGATGCAGCACATGCACTGAGAAGGTTTTACAACCCACACTGAGTCTCGCGTTGAGTCCAGTCACAGCTGTTCCATTGCTAAGCAATATTCATCCTTATCCCTTATGTTTTTTTTCAGTGTCAGCCAAGCCATACTTTTCTGTGTATTCTAGGAGGGAGGAATTTCCAGGAGAGAGGGCCTTTTGTAGCAACCCAGCTCTGATGGGTGCAATGGGAGGGAAACCAACCCAGGAAATTAGCTCCCTTAATCGCATTAGTGGGAG
Source organism: Homo sapiens (assembly GCF_000001405.40). NCBI lineage: Eukaryota > Metazoa > Chordata > Mammalia > Primates > Hominidae > Homo > Homo sapiens. The sequence continues at coordinate 64,627,664 of NC_000003.12, read as the reverse complement.
GTTGGGCATTAGGCTCTTGTTTTCAGGAAACTATTTGTTTCACAAAGTACCAAAGCAGGAAGCCTTCCTGTCAAAGGTCATCCTTTCACATGGACCCCTTCCTCCTGTTGAGCTAAAGCCAAGTTGTACCCAGGGCCACCATGTTCGTATCTCTTTAGAAGAAAAAGTAGCCATTTCTGTGATACTTATTTGTCTCCAGTACACTTAGCTCTTGATTAATTGTGGCAATGGGAAGATGGGAATCGATGCAGTGCAAGATAAAATAGGATTTTTTTTTTTCATCTGATGATTTTAAGGATGTCTGGGGCCAAACCATTTATCACGGCAGATCGTAAGAGGAATCCGATATCATTTGTGCTCCTCTCTTTCTCCCTACTCACATCTACTGGAATAAAGAATATGCATGGAAGGGTGAAATGCCCTGAGTCAGCAAAGCATGAAAGGAAACCTGGAGACATTGGAAAAGACCCCCCAAATTAACCCAGAATAGACTATCACTCTTTGCATATGACCACACTGGATTATCACTTGATTTACAGAACCGGCATCTGACTTTTTATTTCCTCCTTTTTATCAAGACATCAGCTGGGTAGCTAGCATGCAACTTCATTTGAAAGAACTGGGTGATTTTGTTGACAGCACATCATACTGTCACCATTTGAATGACCCGCATTAGGGAGCAGCCTCAGGATGCCCAAGGTGCCACGGAAACAACCTTGGCTTCAGTGACCCATTGAAACTCCTGCCTCTTTCATGGCTGATGGGTCTCGCGCTGCAGGAGCTGCAGGCAAGACGAGGTTGTCAGAGGTTTACACTGACTGAGAAAGAGTCATTTGGCTGGAAGCACTCTATCCTCCTTGTCATGAGTGTCAGACTCCATCAATCACTTATTCTTTCAGCATCATCGATTGAGCACCTACTATGGGTTGGGATCTTTCTTGGGCTTATAAAAGTAAATTTGTATTTTATCATCTTATATATTTAAGGGGTAGGACTACAGGTTTCTTACGTGCATATATTGGGTAGTGGTGAAGTCTGAGCTTTTAGAGTACCCATTACCCAAATAATGAGCATTGTACCCAATAGGTAGTTTTTCAACCCTTATCCTCCTTTTATCCTCCCACCTTTGGTACTCTCCAATGTCTATTAGTCAAAAAAGTGGATTTTTAAATGGCTGCTTTGCTCAAGGGCTCATGCAGACTAACAAAATGAGCAATTTACATTTAAGAAAAATCTACAACACAAACATACTTAGTTTCTATTTGTATACAAGAGAACGAATGCATGAACTCATTTACTCATTTAACAAACGTTTGTTGACCCCCTTCTTGGAAAATTTTAGTAGTTTGTAGACTCTGGAAATGGATTTCCATGATTAGGAGCCACCTGGCCTTGGGAAATTAACTATTTTAAGTCATGCCTTTCTCATCCATAAATTAGGCTTCTATAATAGACACTACCTTATAGAAGTGTGATAAGGAGACAGTACATACAAAGGCATTTTGATCTGCCAGGAACTAAAGCTGATATGGATTCTTATTTAATCCATATAACAATCCTATAAGAAACTCATTATACAGAGGAAGAAACTGAGGCTTGGAGAGGTTAAGTAATTTATCCAAGGTGATACAAATAGAAAATGGGAAAGATTGGTATCCTTATGGGTCAGACTTCAGACGCTACACACTTAACCAGTTCACTTTACTGCCACCATGTAGAAGGATATATGGCTGACCTGGAAATATACAGGACTTGAAATTTAGGTTTATTGGTGGGAGTGAATGGTCAGACTAGGAAGATAGGTGAAGATTAAGATTTGTAAAGTTACAGGGAGGCTATGCTAAGGAGGTTGTACTATCTTGTAGGTAGTGGTGACTTCCAAAGGATTTTGAGCCAAGAAGTTGGAGGGTATTTTATCCTTTTAAAAGCTAATCTTGACATTTCCCAGTGTCACCACATTCTTCTCAGTCATTTCAGATGAAGGCACCTTATTCTTCTCTTGGGGCCAGATGTTGTTTATGTGGGTGAGAATTCTGGTAAATGAAGTGCTGGATTAGGAACAGAATTCAATGCAGTTAATTCCTAATCCTGGAATGAATAGCCCTGCGTCAGTAAGGTGTCCAATTGCATGAACTCTGTGAGGTTCCCATGTCTATGAAAATTAAGGATCCTGCTGCTGCTGAACCACAAATATTCAGAGCTTCATCTCTGCCCTCTTTAGTATCCACATAAGGATATAATATTTACTTAACCTAAATCCTTGGAACCTCTTCTGTGTACACATTGCTTCTCTCCTGAGTGGTGAAAGATAATGTGTCACCTACATTGATGAGATGGCCTGCATCAATGAAAGATGAGTTAGGATCTAGCTAATACCTAAGACATCTTGTCCACTCCTCATTCCACAACCAATACAGGTATCATCAATATGATGCTAAGACATGATGCTGTTGGTGAATCACGTTCAGCATGGTTTCTTGGGCGGCTGTTACCAATTGATTGACATTGGCACCGGGGATGAAAATTATTTGCCATCTGTGAGTTAAATGTCCTTGTTTCTTTTATTCACCTAAATATATGGCCTGTATCTTTCAAGGGCATCCTCACTACTAAAATTTGCTACTCTTGCACAAATTACAGACGGTAAGGGGGGGCCTTTCTCTAGTCTTTGTTCAGAGCCCAAATTTTTAATAGCTCTGATTTATTAAATACCTGCTTCATGTCAAGCCCAACACTCAAGAGGACTTATTCAAGGAGCAGTGGTACCAGGGGAGAAAAAAGCAGCACAATCAAAATTTTGAATTAAATACTAAAAGGAAAAGATGTGATTGAGATTTTATCTTGAGAAATTAATCAAAAATTATGAAAATAAATTTATTTGTATTTGACCATCAACAAAATTACATCTTCATTTTAATCATGCCAAGGTTTTGAAAAGAATAAGGCAATTGATAAATATTTTTGCATATATTTTTCATATCAAGTCACATAATAGCAAAGTAGTATATTCTTGACTGAAAGTCTGGATTTAACAGTGAAATCTGAAAGGGAGTCAATTTTAGAAAAGCTTTCTAGAGATTTATTAACTTTCCCAATAAGCTCTCTTGACCTTTTAATAAATAAATAATTTCTTCTGAAGCAGCTGTTGTCTCATCCTCCTTGTCAATTTTCTTTCCTGTTTCTTTTTTCAGCTTCATCAAGGGATACTTGACAAATAAAAATTGCATATATTTAAGGTGTTCAACTTTATGTTTTTATACTCCTATACAGTGTGAAATAATCACCAAAACCAACCTAATTAATGTATCTATCACCCATATAGTTACCATTTCCTTTTGTTTTCTTTTTTCTTTTCTTCCCTCCTTCCTTCCTCTTTCCTTTTCTTTCTTTGTCTCTCTTTTCCTTTCTTTCTTCTTTCTCTTTCCCACTCTCTTTGTTTATTTCAACACTTATCATCTACCCTTTAAGCAAATTTCAAGTGTGCAATACACTAAAGTTAACTATAGTCACATTGCTGTATACTAGATCTCCAGAATGTATTCATCTTGCTTAACTGAATCTTTGTATCTTTGACCAACATCTCCCCATCCCCCCTCCCTCCTGCCCCTGGCATTTACCACTCTACCCTCTGCTTCTATGGGTTTGACTATTTTAGATTCCATAACTGGTCTAACTCTGCCAGGTTCTCATTTGGCCAACATTTTGGCACTCGATTCAAGCAGTTCTCCAATATCACTTTTGCAGCATCACTGATTTTTTTCATCTTTTGCAAGATCTGGAGTAGATTCATTCATTCTTCCCCGAAGATACATATTTACTGAGCACCTGCCATGTGCTCTTTCAGAAACTGGGGTACAGTAGTGAATAAAATGATCCCAACATTCTTACCATCATGGGTCTTACATTCTTGTTTGGAAAGAGAGAGTATAAACAAAGTGCCATGGAGAAAGATGAGAAAGCGGATAGAGAGTATGTAATATGTGCTAACAATGGGAGGCAGTTGCAGGTTTAGAAATAATGGTCTGGGTTGGTGTATTAATCTTTTACTGTGTAACAAATTATCTCAGGACATAGTGGCTTAGAACAACAAATATATACTATCTCTCAGTTTCTCATGTAAGGAATTTGGGAGCAGCATATACGGGTGTTTCTGGCTTGAAGTCTCTCATGAGGTTGTAGTCAAGATGGCAGTTAGGAATGTAGTATTATCTGAAGACTCAACTAGGGCTGGAGAATCCACTTCCCAGATTACTCACTCAGAGGGTGTTGGCAGAAGGAGTCAGTACTTCCCTGCTGCTTGCAGGCCTCTCTGTGGGTTCTTTAGTATCCTCACAACATGGCAGCTGGCTTCTTCCAGAACCAGAGGTCCAAGGAAGAGCAAGGCAGAGCCAAAGTGCCTTTGGCCTTGCCTTAGAAGTCAGGTTCTGTTGTTTCTGCATTGTCCTAGTGATTGCAGTCATTCCTATTGAATGTGGGAGGGGATGACACATAGTGTGAATACCATGCCACAAGGCTCGTTGGGGCCATATTTGAGGCTGGCTACCACAGTGAGCTACACTGATAAGGAGATCTTTGAGCATCATATTAACCATGGATTTTCAGATTTCAACATCTGTCAAACAAAAAAGACTTAACAAAGATTCAACAGGCTTGACTAATTCTAGTATATATAGATTTGTCTAGGAACCAATTTTGTAAGTGTTCCGTTCACTAATGCATATTTTCAAATCATATAAACACTTTTGTTTCCATCTATAATTCTATAACTGTGGGTCTTGTATAACAAGATCAAGGTTTATTAGGACACCTAGGTTACATTTTATTTTTCACAGATACCACAAGGGAGTAGGTGCTTTTATCTCCACTTTAGAGATAAAGAAATGGAGATGGATGGAAAATGATTCCCAAAGCCACACAGCTGGCAAGTAGCAAACTTGGGACTTGAAGCCATGCCTGTCTGCCTCAAAAGTCCCCATTCCGTGCACAGCGACTCTCTACCTATCCAGATGTTACTTCATATTTCAAACAGCTAGTCATTGACAGCAGATCAATGTATTATTCTGTTTCTTCACCTACAGCTTTATCAAGCAGTAAAGGTGAATTCTTGCTAAATGGAAACTTTGTTGTCACAATGGCCAAAAGGGAAATTCGCATTGGGAATGCTGTGGTAGAGTACAGTGGGTCCGAGACTGCCGTAGAAAGAATTAACTCAACAGATCGCATTGAGCAAGAACTTTTGCTTCAGGTAAAAACTTGACCATGAGCCCACCACCCTTTTCTTCTGCTTGGCATTACTAAGCCCACCCAGTTCGTTTCTGTTTTGTCCACACATTCTAGGTTTTGTCGGTGGGAAAGTTGTACAACCCCGATGTACGCTATTCTTTCAATATTCCAATTGAAGATAAACCTCAGCAGTTTTACTGGAACAGTCATGGGCCATGGCAAGCATGCAGTAAACCCTGCCAAGGTATCTGCTTTGAATTTGAGTTCTGGGGATTTGAGAAGTTTATTTTATTTATTTATTTATTTTTAATAACAGCCAAATGCATGCAAACTGCAAACCCTTCTATCTGCATACGTTCTCTAATCTCTTTTCTTTGAATGTGTCTGGTCATTTTTGGCTGGGAAGTTGAACTTTTTAAGTGATTCAAGAAATTTTAGATTTCTTCATCCTAAGAAATTTTTGTACACATGTGTAAAACCAAGCAAAAATCACCTCCGCCATTGTAATTTTCCAGAGCATGGTTTTAGTAGTCATAGCATATGTTATTTATTTTGTTTTCTTTTGTCTAAATGAGGAGTCAGCAAACCACAGCCAGCAGGCCAAATCCAGCCTACCGCCTACCTTTTTTTTCTTTTTCTTTTCTTTTTATTTTTTTATTTTTTTATTTTTTTATTTTTTTGAGATGGAGTCTTGGTCTGTCGCCCAGGCTGGAGTGCAGTGGCACAATCTCAGCCCACTGCAACCTGTGCCTCCCTGGTTCAAGCAATTCTCATGCCTCAGTCTCCCGAGTAGCTGGGATCACAGGTGCATGCCACCATGCCCGGGTAATTTTTGTGTTTTTGGTAGAGAACGGGTTTCACCACGTTAGCCAGGCTGTTCTCAAACATCTGACCTCAGATGATCCGCCCACCTCAGCCTCCCAAAATGCTGGGATTACAGGTTTGAGCCACTGTGCCCGGCCTACCTACTTTTACAAATAAAGTTTTATTGGAACACAGTCATGACAATTTTGTTTATGTATTGCCTGTGAGTGGCTGCTTTTGCCCTGTAATGTCAGGGTTGAATAGTGCAACAGAGATCATACGCTCTGAAGATATTTACTGTCTGGCTCTTTAGAGAAAATGCTTGCCAATCCGGGGTCTAAATAGTTTATGGAATAGATTATTTTCCCTGAATAATTTTTTTTCCCTTTCTGCTTAGGGGAACGGAAACGAAAACTTGTTTGCACCAGGGAATCTGATCAGCTTACTGTTTCTGATCAAAGATGCGATCGGCTGCCCCAGCCTGGACACATTACTGAACCCTGTGGTACAGACTGTGACCTGAGGTGGGCCACTGTTTTCTCAAGGCCTTTATTACTGAATTGTGAGAGTCTTGCAGGAGGTCCCAGCAGGAGAAGCAAAAGGAGGGGATGCTGGTCTTTAGTTCCCCTTTCTTGTGTTTCAGTGAAATAAGCTTTAACCAATTCTCCATCCCTCTGGAACTGATTATCCAAGACATACATGTGCAGATTTCTTGTTCACCTAAGAATTAAAAATAGCTAATAGAGTATGGCACTTGCCAAAAAAAATTCAGTTGATCCTCACAACTTGCTGGGTAGGTATTAGCATTATGATTGAGTCACATTGTACGTGAAAACTTGTTTTGAAAGTCAAAAGAAAAGGGGGAGAACCTCATCCCTCAAAGTACCCATAATGACCTATATCTACCGAGAGTGTATACCACCCAGTAGAAGAACTCCTACACACCTGAAAGTTGCAGTACACTAAGGTAGCGTCATGGAAGAAACAAGAAGAAAATGTATATATGGATGTCTGAGATATTCAAACAATTCTGTGTTTAAGAAAAGTGTAAAATCCGAGGCAGGAAATACTGGGTGGGTAGAGCATTCTGAAGCTTTTCTATTTGCCTGCAAGGTTGACTGTGTCATATTGAAATATTAAGTAGTCGGGGCTTGCATTTTATACTCTGCATGACAGTTAAATGCAGTTAAGGTGAGTTGCTGTTTTGTCCTCCTTTTAAGAAGGGAAATTCAGTGGAGAGTGGTATAGGAATGTGTTAAGGTCTCACCATTTATAAGCAGAAAAGTGAATACTTAAGCACTTTGAAGGCTCCACATTACAATGCCAAATCCTATCAAAGGGTATTGGCTGCCTGTAGTGCTTTAGGGCAGATTATGAGGCCTACTTGAGGCTCTGAGAAAATAGAGGAGTTCTGAGATTGACTACTAATGTCTGCCATGGAAGTGAGAGGAGCAGTTATGGTACGAGTGTCATATTTTTGCCAGTTCTGACTGAAGGCTCTGACTTCAAAGCCCAGGATCTTTCTAGCCTCTACCCAGTGTCACTGACTTTCTAGCTCATTGCCCTAGTGAAATTGGCTTGCCAAAATATATTGACAAAAGTCATTGTAAAAAAAAAAAAACAGGAAGACATTAAAAGGCAGACGTTTATACTAGGCAATATTCTTGTTGTAGATAGTGTCCATATAAACCCATCTTTGTTTCAGCCAATTGAGTTAAATTAAAGTTCAAGTCTCTTCAGGAAAAAATAATTAGTTAACTAACCGCTAAACTGAATTAATCACTACAGTTTGGGGAAAAAAATGAATTGGTGGATAGATTCCTTGAGGCACAACCTTAATAAATTGAGAATGGTGACATTTTCTGGGTAGCCTTATATCAAATTATCACTATATTCCCCAGTACTCTGTAATGGTTATGGTAATAGAGTCAACCATTTACTAAGAACTATTTTTTCTAACAGTTATATATTATCCTATTAATATTCTTTTACTAATAGGATTGTTCTTATATTATCCCATTATCTATTATCCTGTTAATATAATTAATACCCTACTAATTCTTCAAACAACATTATGATTTATATATTATTATTCTTACCACTTTACAAATAAGGAAAATAGAGGCTGAGAGTCGTTAAACAAATTGCACAAGCTCACACAACGAGTTAGTGGAGTGACGGAAATCTAAATCTGTACCTAGATCCTGTGCTTAAATCCTAGGAGAGAGTTATTTTTATTCTTAATTCAGTTATAACGATGAGTGTTACTCATGGATTCTATTCTGGGTAGCTTCTCTTCCTTTGTGAAAAGAAATAATTCCCATGAGTTTTTTTGCCCCATCCCTGTTCCCTACCTTGCTTGGAGCCCCTTACCTGTTTTTTCTCCACTGATTGAATCAGAACGAGACTGGTTGAGTCTCTGATTATAACTATAGATACAGCAGAACTCCTGCCTACAGTGCTAAGTATGCTCCTATGATCGCACAGATGGTGGATTTATACATAGCATTGCGAATAATAGAATGTGATCTAAAAAATAAATAATTCTTTAAGAACCCTCTTTTTAAGTTTACCCATGGAGCACCAATTTGAGGGTGGAGATAATGTTTGAGCTGTTATTTTGAAAAACTATTTTTCACTTTGAGCAGATTCCAAAGTGAGCCACTATTTAATTTGTGATGATGCTGGCTTATGTGGTGTTCTCCAAAGTTTCTCCTGCATTGGAAGCCTTTAGACATAAAATGTAAACAGTGCTTATAAAGCTAATACATTAAAAGGTACCCCCGAAGCCATGAGTTTTTGTGTAAAATGATGCAAAAGATCTCAAATAGATTTCCGCTCATTGGTTTACGTGGAGTTACATGATGCTTAAAACTTGGTTGGAGAATGAAACACCAAGGATAATGATAATAATAATAATAAATTATAACAGGAATAGCTACTTTTCTTGAATGTCTGCCATATGTGTGAAATGCTACACATGGCTTGCCTCACTCAATCCCCCAAATATCCCAGTGAAATAGGTTCTGTTTCCCTCCATTTCACAGATGAGGAAACTGAGGCTTAGTGAAGCACGCAACTAGGGTCACTTAATTGACACTCACATCCAGGTCTTTCTGATTCCATAGTTCATCCTCTGATTTTTATTAAAAATAATGTCACAATACCTAGCTGTAATTAGGGCTTCAGTTCTTTGTGTTTCATATAGTAGGTATGCTAGCACACTAAGCTATTCTAAATTCTAAATTTCCCATTTGGAGAAAGTCACTATTTTTTTGACACTTAACTTTTATATGTACTCTACTCAGACCAAACAAGGACAGCACGTCAGATCATAGGCCAATGGTAATAATAGCACCTCTAATTAAAGAAAAGGTAAAGGGATTATGTCCAGGTCTTTTGGTAGATATGAAGATCATAGGGTTAGGAATTTTAAAATGCAAAGAAAAACCAGGAGTTTAGGATTAGTTTCCAAGGCCTCATTAGACAGGTGCATGCTCATTCCTAAAATTAACCAGAAGATCATGCCTATTTGTCAGCTTTTAAATGCGTAGCTTACTGGCCTGTATAGATTGTTGGGAAAATAAAATCGTTCACTGAAAAATACACCGACACAAACCAAGCCTAAATAAGGTGTTCTATCTTGCATCTATCAAACTGACAGTCAATATAACCATGATTTATAGTAATTATTGTCAAGTAGCTGTGTCCAAAACTGAAAGACTGAAGAGAAGATTGTTACTGATTGGTCAAACTCTGAAATAGCTTTTCCAAACGCATGGTTGTGGATCACTCATTTTGAATGATGATTCATGGCACACCAGTATGTCTGACAAGACTTACCAAGAATCTCCTTCCCCCTGTGGAGGTTAATAATGCTGATCAACATTTTGAAGGCCTTGAAAAGTTCTGTAATATATAAAACCTTTTGAATTCAGTCGTTCTTAAAATTATTTAATCCCACAACTTCCCCTGCAATAAAAACACACAGGCTTACACTTTTTTTTTCTCAGTTTCTACTTAGTAACAACACTTTGGAATATGGTTTCCTGAAATATAGTATTAAAATACAATTGTATTTTATGTCCCTTGAAATGAACTAAATGAACACGAAACATTGAAGACCACCATCCAGGGAGAGACTACAAAGCAGGGGGTAGCATTTTGAGAACTTTTCTAAGGCTGCGCTATGCCCTTTCCATAGACTCTTCAAGATTCTCTGCTCAGATTCTGGGGATGATGTTACTGTCAGGGGCACTTGAGCCACTCTGCCATGCTAAGCTGCTGGCATGTTTTCTTGTGGAGGCAGGACACCTTCCTTCTTCATCCAGGATGGAAAATAACCTTTCCACAAGGAAATGGTGACGAAGGCAAAGAGAAGGTAGCCAAGAATCAAAGGGCAGATGAAAGTTCCAGATGCTTCTGTTAAATTGGGCCACATTTTTGCCACACTTCCTGAAGGAAGTGAGAGTTTGCCCCACTACACTGTGACAGGATGAGATAAAGCATTGTTTTACAATTTCTCATTGAACATGTTCCGGGTTAGAACAAAATCCCCCAAATATGGTGTCACTCTATTGGAAAATCTCCATAGCCCACTTTACTTGCCAGATGGTCAACTCTGACCTACTTTGGGGCATTCATGAGAAATTCCAAGATAAGCATGAGGCCAGAACTCTTTTTTACCCTGAGTTCTACCCTGGACAGGTACACATGGAAGTAGTCTCAGGACATTGGTAACCAACAAACCACACAATTTCTAAGCAGTGATGAGTGAACAGTCAAGAGTGAAATCCAATGAAGAGTACAAGGAAATCACCCTTTTTGGATTTCTAAATCTAATCAACAAAATACATTTTAAGGTCATTTATTTAGAATATTCTATTTAGTTTAAGAATATTATTTATTTTCTTTTTAAATTTAAGCACTGCTGATCATATTCCTAGGGTATTAAAAGAACCAGACGATTGGCCAGCACACACTGAATACCTACTGTGTCCCCCCATAATCTCATTACAGGTAGTATGGATACAAAGGTGACAGAGATTTATAGATTCAAATCTAATTTTAAAGTGTATAATTGAATTGTATAAAATATAGTCCATGTCTTCAAGGAATTTAAGAGCCTTTATTTACAGATAATAATGTACACAGGTTTTAATACACTTGAAAAAAATGTTTTCCTTTTGGTAGCTTGAATTTCAGATTGACTATCGGGGTAAAATCATCACAAAGGTAACACCTCTGGCTGTCATTCTGTGACTTCTATGTACATTGGCAGCCATGAAAAACACATGGATATGTTGGTTTAAAATTAGATTTTAGCAACTGACTGTGGCTTTGGGCTTCATGGTATTCGAGTTAAGAAAGAAAAAAGAACTCAACTCTTCTATGAATACCAGTTGACTATAGATAAGGCATATATTTTTAACAGAAATGTTGGTTTTGCCCCATTATTTTTGCATAGGTGGCATGTTGCCAGCAGGAGTGAATGTAGTGCCCAGTGTGGCTTGGGTTACCGCACATTGGACATCTACTGTGCCAAATATAGCAGGCTGGATGGGAAGACTGAGAAGGTTGATGATGGTTTTTGCAGCAGCCATCCCAAACCAAGCAACCGTGAAAAATGCTCAGGGGAATGTAACACGGGTGGCTGGCGCTATTCTGCCTGGACTGAAGTAAGTTGGCTCTCACTCAAAGAGTCTTCTTGGATGCTGTCTGATTAGTTGATGGTGGCTCCTTGCAGGTGTGTAAGCCCCATTTAGGCTGTGCGGAAGAGATGACCGTGATTGATTTGTAATGCCTGACCCCATTCAAGCTTTCCAGAATAGAGTAGCATGGTTGATTTGTAATGTCTGACATGGGCATGACGTGTGGAAATTTGGAAGAAGTGGAACAACTCAACTGATTTCTTTTGCATACTCTACAAGCCATTTCCGGTTTTATTTTTATATGCCAATGAGCTAATTTTGAGTTTAATTATAAACCTGGTAAGCAAACTGATAACATGAAAAGATCTCCACCAAAATAACTAGAGTTGGCCAGCTTGTGTGTTGTTTCTTAAGAGCTGGAAGAGACAACATAGCCAGGATCTTCAGCATACTTTATAAGAAACTTAGCAACAGTTTTATTTATTTATTTTGTCCCTACAGTGTTCAAAAAGCTGTGACGGTGGGACCCAGAGGAGAAGGGCTATTTGTGTCAATACCCGAAATGATGTACTGGATGACAGCAAATGCACACATCAAGAGAAAGTTACCATTCAGAGGTGCAGTGAGTTCCCTTGTCCACAGTGGAAATCTGGAGACTGGTCAGAGGTAAGATGGGAGGGCTGTTATTTCCCCTAGGTCATCTCTTACATTCTAGTTCTGGTGCTCTCTATCTGTTTAAGACAAACCCTTGTGCACCTTTCTCCCACCTCTCCCTTTCTCCCTTGTCTCCCTTGAGAAAACAACTCCAGTTCTCTGCCTGCACCATGACTGTCGTACTGGATGTAACTAGTCTACCAGTGACCTCAGGGCACTTTGGGCTTGGCTAGATCACTCACTGTTGTAGCTTCTGTTGTGATTTTGAAGTTGCAGTCCATCACCTTCCCTCCTCTTTGAGCCCTAGCTAAGTCACTGAAAGGAAATCATGGATTTATTAATCATAAAGCTATACTAGCTCACATCTGAAGTCAACATGAAGTTTCCTACTTCCTTGTCTTTGAAATAAGAGAATTAGACCCCAGGGAGTGACCTCTCTGACTTACCCATCCAACTGCAAGAAAAAAAAATAAAACTCGGAAAAAAAAAAAAAGAAAAGAAATGGACCAGACTGAGTATTCCAGATTTATGCCTTTCTCATCCTTTACTTTATGAAGCACAAGGCAAACCCTCCATTGCTTAGCACAGATGGTCCCAGGACAACAAGAGAAAGAAGATGCAGCCTCTTTCTTGCTTTTATGATATAGTATTAGCACTCACTATTAACACAGCCCAGTGTTAACACAGCCCAAGGAGATTCTTACCAAGCAGGGACTCACTCCACGTTCCTTAAGGGGAAGAAGGGAAATAAGAAATACGAAACAGAAGTTTCCTTTTTAATGGGCCAAATCAGGAATATGGGGAAAGAAAAAGTCTCCCTGCTACAGCTCCTACATCCATGCTCTTATCCCATCCTTATAAGTGCAGTATTAACTGCTTATTTTCACCATCAAATAAATCTGAAAAGGATACTCTTAATGCCCCTGAAATGGCAGTCAATTAACAGTGTATTTGATTAACAGTGTCTGATTCCTGGACAAATGAACTGCAAACCTAGTGCTTTAGTTCTAGGTTAACAAATTGCCTTTGCTTAAAAATCTCTAGTATTTGGTTAAAAAAAGATAAGTAGTAGGTTTAAATTTTACTTAGATAGCTAATACTAAAGTATAATTTCAAACTAAGTAACAAACCTTTGCAATAATATGCGATAAAATGGGGGTTGGGAGATCAAACTGTAAATTCACTATAATCCAAAGTTGCTTAAAAAGACTGGAAAGAAAATAATAAAATATTGATAATGGTTATCCTTGGGTAGCGAGATTTTGGGTCATTATAATTTTTTCATTTATGTTTTTCTACAGTTTTCAAATTTTCTACAGTAAGTATGGATAAAATGATGATTACATTTGGCATTTATTAAATGAACATTGTGCCAAGAGCTTTACTTGTATTTGTTTCATTTAGTTTTCACAACCCTTTGCAGTAGACACTAATTCTCATTTTACAGATGAGAAAATTGAGGTTCAGAGAGATCTTGTGACTGGTTATATAAGTGTTAAAACTTAGGTTGATGTGATTTATAATTCCCCATGCTTAACTCCTATGCTATAAAATTATGAATGTTGTTTTTCAAATTTTATAGCATGGAGCTGTGTTTAGTTTATTTTGTGCTCAAAACTGGCCCAGAGACTATAAATATAGAATGAATGAATAAATGAACGAACAAAAGGAAAAAAATGAGGCTTAGTATATTTACAAATTGCTATGGGAGAGTGATTGCTGTGGGAAAAGGACACACCTGTTCCTACTCATCAATAAATAACCCCAGAAACCACAACACATTGATCAGAAATGACCCTGACTAGCTCCGCTTTTCATTACAGTGCTTGGTCACCTGTGGAAAAGGGCATAAGCACCGCCAGGTCTGGTGTCAGTTTGGTGAAGATCGATTAAATGATAGAATGTGTGACCCTGAGACCAAGCCAACATCTATGCAGACTTGTCAGCAGCCGGAATGTGCATCCTGGCAGGCGGGTCCCTGGGGACAGGTATTTTGAACGATAAGATTCTTAACTGCTACATTCTTTCCTTCTTATCTGGAGAGGACTTGCAAAGGAGCATTCCAGTGGTGGAGATTTAACCGCTGTGCCGGGTGGCATGCAGGACACCTCCATGGCACTGGATCAAGCACATGTAACTCTGCAACCATTTTGCCCCCCTTCCAAGGATTGCTGCCTGCCCTCCTGGAGCTGATTACCCTTTTACAGACCCACGTGCCTATCTTTGCCCTTTAGCTTGAGCAGACGAGTGTTTGAACAAATTCACAACAGATTTCATGTCTGGCTGATGTTATCTTCTAGCGTGCCTCTGTGGGTCTGTTACAGAAGGTGATCCAGCACCAGAGTCTCTGGCAGGAAGGTCTGGAATGAGATTTGGAAAAGATATTTTGGCTCCCAATGTCACAATTACAAAGCTCACCTCTCATAAATAAGCCAGACTCTTCAAACATAATTAATTAGATCAAAGGTTGCAAAACCCTCATGCTTGGAAATAATCTTTTCCAAGTCCTCTAGTCTGTAGGTTCCACAGTCTTAACTTGAGCTATTCTTAAAGGAGAGAGTGAAAGTCTCCCTTGGGCTTGCATCTGAGAAGCCACTACTCTCGGAATTAAGTCCTTCCTAATATAGAAGCAGAAGCGTTCAGGGTACTATTTAAGTAGCACTCTGAGTTCCCATTAGAAGTAGAACAGCTGTCTGCTGTCACTTGCGTAATCTCTTGAAGAATGACCCTCCCTTCACCCTGACCAGCCACAGCCACTCAGTCTTTTAGCCTCTATCTTCATTTCCAAATATGCATGCAACAAGTGGAAGCAGTTTTATTATGGCACCCTTACAATTTCTATCACTGATATGGGCACTTTTCTGAATCTTCCCCATTTCATAGCATCCACAGTCCAAATTGCCAATCATGTCTGAATTAATAGGGAGAGTTCACTTATACTTCTAATCTCATCTTCTTTTTGTCTGTATCTGCATAACTTTTAGGGAATAATAAGAGGAGGAGAACACAGCTTAGGGTCACTGTCAAGATCTGAATATAACATCTGTTAGAATTGACAGGCCTGTTTGTCATCTGTCTCTACACCAGGCCATTCCTAGCACATCTTATAATTAGAGATCTTTTTTTTTCCTTGAACTGAACATGCAGTTCAGGGGAACAGTTTTTTGGAGGTGTTATTTAAGGGTCGTAAATATTCATAAGAGAAATTTTGCAAAATGTAATTCAGCAAAAAGAAGAAAACCAAACCCAGTCCTACCTCTACACTGAAGAAATTAGTTGTTGCTAACATGTTTATGATTTGCTTCTAATATTTTTTAAATTAATATTGTGACTGTACTCTGCCAATTGTTTGTTTTAATGGAAATGAAACTCACATAATACAAAATGAACCATTTTAAAGCGAACAAATCAGTGGCATTTAGCATATTCTTAATGTTTTGCAACTACCACCTTTACCTAGTTACGAAACTTCATCACCCCAAAAGGAAACCTTGTATACATTAAGCCAGGGGTCCCCAACTCTTGGGTCATGGGCCATGGGCCATGGCCTGTAAAGAACCAGGCTGCACAGCAACAGTTGAGTGGTGGATAAGCATTACCGCCTGAGCTCCACCTCCTGTCAGATCAGCAGCAGCATTGGATTCTCAGGAGTGCAAACCGTATTGTGAACTGTGAGATCTAGGTTGTGAACTCCTTATGAGAATCTAATGTCTAATGATCTGAGGTGGAACAGTTTCATCCCAAAACCACCCCCACCCACCCCATCTGTGGAAGATGTCTTCCATGAAACTGGTCCTGGGTGCCCAAAAGTCTGGGGACCACTGAACTAAGCATTTGTTCCCCACCCCACTCTTCCCTCAGTCCCTGGCAACCACCAGTCTGCATTGTGTTTATGGATTTACGTATTCTGGACATTTCATAGAAATGGAATCATGCAATTTGTGGCCTTTTGTGCCTAACTTCTTTCACATACCGCAGTGTTTTCTAGATTCATCTATATTGTAGCATGTATCAGTACTTGGCCAAAGAATATTCCATTGTATGGCTATACCAAAATTTGTTTATCCATTTATCCCTCAATGGCCATTTCGGTTGTTTCTACCTTTGGCTATTGTGAATAGTGCTGCTATGAATATTTATTTCAGGCATTTATTTCAGTACCTGGCTTCACTTCTTTTGGATGTGTATCTAGGATTGGAGTTGCTGAATCATACCGTAATTCTGAGTTTAACTTTTTTTTTTTTTTTTTTTTTTTTTGAGACAGAGTCTCACTCTGTCGCCCAGGCTGGTGTGCAGTGGCGCCATCTCGGCTCATGGCAACCTCTGCCTCCTGGGTTCAAGCGATTCTCCTGCCTCAGCCTCCTGAGTAGCTGGGATTACAGGTGCGTGCCACCATGCCCAGCTAATTTTTTGTATTTTTAGTAGAGACGGGGTTTCACCGTGTTAGCCAAGATGGTCTCTATCTCCTGACCTCGTGATCTGCCCTCTTTGGTCTCCCAAAATGCTGGGATTACAGGCCTAAGACACCGTGCCCGGCTCTGGGTTTAACTTTTTAACTACCAAATGATGTTCTACAGCAACCGCATAATTTTGCATTTTTATTATCATATAATACAAGGGTTCCATTCTCTCCACATCCTCGCCAAAATTGTTATTTTCCCTTTTTAAAATTCCAAGTAAGATAAATTTATCTTACTATGGTTTTGATTTGTATTTCCCTAATAACAAAAGATACTGATCATCTTTCCATGTGCTTGTTGGTCATTTGAATATATCTTCCTTGGAGAAGTGTCTATTCAACTTCTTTGCCAATTTTTTAAAAAAAAATATGAATTGTGTTAATAGTAAAATAAAACTCATCACAGAATTTCTCTCAACTATTTTAAATGTATAATTCAATAATGTTCCTTTTCTCATTTTTTGATCTGTTTTTCTCGTTGTTCTTGAGTTGTAGGTTCTAGATGTCAATTCCTTATCAGAGATATGATTGGCAAATATTTCCCCCATCCCCTGTGTTGCCTTTTTACTTTGTTGATAGTGTCCTTTAATGCACAAGGTTTTAAATTATGATGTAGTCCAATTTGTCTATTTTCTGTTGCCCTTGTTTATGATGTCAAGGAAGTCATTGCCGAATCCAATGTCATGAAGTTTTTCTGCCATTTTTTAAAAGAGTTTTCTAGTTTTAGCTCTTATGTTTGGGCCACTGATCCATTTTGGGTTAATTATTGTATATAGCATAAGGCAGGATTCCAACATCATGGTTTTGCATGTAGGTATCCAGTTGTCTCAACACCACTTGCTGAAGAGGCTGTTCTCTCTCCATTGAGTGGTCTTGGCACTCTTGTTGAAAGTCACTTGTCCATAGATATATGGGTTTATTTCTGGACTCTAGATTTTATGTCAGTAGTCTATACATCTATTCTTATGCCAGTAGACTGTTTTGATCACTGTAGTATGTTTTGAAATTGTGAGGTATGATTCCCCCAGCTTTGTTCTTTTTCAATATCATTTTGGCTATTTGGGGTCTCTTGTCATTCCATATGAATTTGAGAATCCGCTTTTTCATTTCTGCAAAAATGCTATTAGGATTTTGATTGGGATTTCACTGAATCTGTGGGTTAATTTGGGGCATATTGTCACCTTAGCAATACTAAATCTTTTAATCCATAGACATGTAATATCTTTTTATTTATTTAGGTCTTCTTTAATTTCTTGAGCAAAGTTTTATAGTTTTTAGTGTAGAAAGCCTTTACCTCCTTGTTTAAGCTTGTTCCTAGGTATTTCATTCTTTTGGATGTTGCTGTAAATTGAATTTTTTTTTTTAAATTTACTTTTGGGATTGTTCATTGCTGATGTATAGAAACACAATAGGCTTTTCTGTTTATCTTGTATCCTTCAATGTTGCTAAATTTGTTTATTAGCTGTAGTAATAGTTTTAATGGATTCTTGGGATTCCAATGTATAGTATGATGACATCTGCAAATAGAATTAGTTGTACTTCTTCCTTCCCGCTTTCTTTGCATGTCTTTTATTAATATTTCTTTTTCTTTCCTAATTTCTCTGGCTAGAACTTCCAGTACAATGATGAACAGCAGTGGTGAAAGCGGGCATCCTTGTCATGTTTCTGATCTTGTGGGGAAAAGTTTTTACTCTTCTACTATTGAGTATGGTGTTAGCTGTGGGTTTTTTTCCTAACTGCTCTTTATGATGTTGAATAAGTTCCCTTTTATTGCTAGATTTCTGAATTGTTTTATCATGAAAAGATGTTGAATTTTGTCATATGGTTTTCTTTAATTTAGATAATCATGTTTTTTTTTCCATTGTTCTATTAACGTAATGTATTGCATTGATTGATTTTCTTATGTTGGGCCAGCCTTATGTTCCTGGACTAAATCCCACTTGGCCATGATGTACTATCCTTTTAGTATGCTATTGGATTCAATTTGTTAGTACTTTGTTGAGGATTTTTACATCTGTATAAGCAATATTAATCTGGTGTGTGTGTGTGTTGTCTTCGGCTATGGTGTTAGGGTAATACTGGCCTCATAGAATAAGTTAGGATGTGTTCTCCTATTCTTTGATTTTTTTTTTTCTGAAAGCATTTGAAAGGGATTGGTATTAATGTTTATTTAAATGTTTGGTAAAATTCATGAGTGAACTGGTACAAACTTTTTGAGGAAGACTTTGATTAATGATTCAGTCATTTTACTTCTTATATGTCCGTTCATATTTTTTATTTCTTCTTGAGTCAGTTTTTGTGATTTGTCTGTTTCTAGGCAATCTGCGTAAGTTGGCATGTTTTATCTAGATTCTCTAATATATTGGCATCACTTTTATTGCTGTAAGGTCAGTAGACATGTTCCCTCCTTCATTTCTGATATTCAGTAATTGGAGTCTTTTCTCATTTTTTCTTAGTCGTGCTAGCTAAAGGTTTATCAATTTTGTTGATCTTTTCAAAAAATCAATTTCTGGTTCTGTTGATTTTTTTCTATTATTCTTCTACTCTGTATTTCATTTATCTCCATTCTAATCTTTATTATTTCCTTCCTTTTCTTGTTTTTTTTTTTTTTTTTTGGTTTTAGTTTGCTGTTAATTTTGTAGTTCCTTAGGAAGTAAAGTTAGGTTGTGGATTTGAGATCTTTCTTCATTTTTTTTTTTTCTTTATTAGTGTAGGTGTTTGCAACTATAGATTTCCTGTGAACATTGCTTTCATTGCATCTCACAAATTTTCTTATATTCTGCTTTCATTTTAATTTATCTCAAAGTATTTTCTAATATCCCTTATGATTTCTGTTTTGACCTATGGGTTAAGAATATGTAGTTCAGTTTTCACATATTTGTGAATTTTCTAGTTTTTCTTCTATTACCGATTTCTTGCCTCACTCCATTGTGCTTGTGGGATCTCATTCTTTTAAAACATATTGAGACTTGTTTTGCAGCCTAACGTATGGTCTCTCTTTAAAAAAGATCCCTGCACGTTTGAGAGGAATATGTAGTGTGGTAGGTGGGTAATCAGAAATGCCAAAATTGAGTGGCTTCTTTTTTTATTAAGCATTCACCTAGTTTCTGCAAGGTTTTGTTTAAATTCCACAGTTCCAAAAAGTTGATTCCAGTTTTTGCCAGCTTAACAGTTGCTTCAGTGGAGGGACCAATTCTTGGAGCTCCCTAGTCTGCCATTTCTGTGGCATCACTTCCTCTACTTACTGTTTTTAGTCTGCTTTTTATAATCTAACATTTTGCCTTTTAGTGGCTACATTATTTTCCTAACTACCTGTATGCTGTGATATTGAACTTTTGGTTGTTGCATACTTTGGTGGTGTCCAGTTTTTTTGTCTCTTATAAAAATATTGATGCAAACTCCAGTTATTTCTTCAGGATAATTTCCTAGAAGTCAAATAAAGTCACAGAGCTCTATTAAGTACCTATTTTAGCCACAGCACTCTGCTAGGTAGTGTGAAAGATGTAAAAATGATGGAGATGCAGTCTGCTCCTTCTAGGAGTTCACAGTTAATGAGTTGAACCCCTATAAATATCATTTCAATGGGAGGCAGAAATAATTCCAAGGGTCATCATAATAATGAATCAGTATAATTTGTACAGAGCAGGATTGCCCACTTCGACCTAGTTTATTTGAGCGCCAGCCCTCTGGCCTACTGTGATGGAAGTATTTCTCTCTTGCAGAATGTTATGGGGAAAGTAAGGGAAAGAGAAGATTTGCTGAATTGTATATACCTTTTGTCCTCCTTCTTCCAGTGCAGTGTCACTTGTGGACAGGGATACCAGCTAAGAGCAGTGAAATGCATCATTGGGACTTATATGTCAGTGGTAGATGACAATGACTGTAATGCAGCAACTAGACCAACTGATACCCAGGTAAGTTTCCTTTGTCCAACTCAGTTATTGACTTTGGGGACCAAGGTACCAAACTGCCCAGCTGTTTAGACAAAATTGAAATCCTTTCATAGATAAGTATGTCAGTAGAGCAACCAGTAGATTAATTTGTCCAGATTTACCTGTATGTTACATTTATAATCAAATATCTTGTGTCAGTTTTGTTCTTCTCTGGTTATTTGAAGTATATGTAGATTTGCTTTTGATTCCTATTGGATGATGAATGTTGGGTTTTGGGCTCATTTTCTTAAACTCATATTTCTAAAATGATTTCAATGTAGTATTCAGTAACTAGTGTCACATGTTCAGGCGGTGATTTGCTGGAGCTAACTTGTACCAGCTCACAAGAGCCAATTGATAAATTTTGCAGGAGTTTTGCAAACTGATTATTAAGTATAACCATTACTAAAAACTGAAAATATAAATCTATAATTAAATGTAGGGTATTAAAAGCAAAGTTTATAAACACTCAGAACTTAACTTATACAATGTACGTATGTGTCTGTATGGTGGATGTACTATGTAAGGGTGTGCTGCCACCTATCTCTCCCCAGCTCTGTGTTCATTGACATCAAGTTCATAGCTTGAAAATGGCCATGATGAGAGTATTTACACCACAGGAATCAGCAAGGGCTACAATTCAGGGCTTAATTTATTATTTGGTTGATTGGTTAGACTTAAGAAAGTAATGGAGAAAATGTTAATGATGCAGATTAAATGTAAACGAGTCTTGTGTCTGTAGCAGTTACATTGTGAATAGAACAAAAGGATGTGGAAATATTCTTCTAATATCTGAAAGGTATCTGATTCAGCAAAGACATCTTCCACATCACTGGTCAGTGAGTCAAGTTCTGGCCATACATCTTCATCATTCCACTTTCATCCTACCCTTAAACATAAAGAAAATATCAACTAACATTCATGCCTGAACTACGCTCATTTGGCAATTACAAACATAGGTGGGCAACAGGTTCAAAAGTTCAGCAAAAATCAACAAATGTATTCTGTGAGAATCAGTTGGCTGTATGGAATTTAAAATATATAATTGTATATTTTATTGTTATTTCAAAATTGCTATACCTCCTTTATATCAGTAAAATTTATAATAAATAAGCATATATGTACATATGTATGTGTATGTACATGCATGTAATATGTGTGTGTTTGTGTACACAAAATATCTATAAACACACACACATCTTTTTTCTCAAGAAGCTGGTGGATAACCACTCACCAGCATACTATTCTATATGGGCCTTGATTTTGGCATCATGTATGTAAAGAGAATACATAAAGAGAACACTCGGGTTTGCATAGCAGCTTTGCTAATTGCTGAAGATGGCATTTGAACCCAGGCTATTCCCAGAACTCACACTCTGAGTGAAGCCCCATGTGGCTGATGTACTATCTCCATCCTGAACACCCTCAATCTGCTGCCTTTCAAAGTGTGTTGTTAATGGATAAAGAGTGTTAAAAAAATAAATTAATATGGCAGTGCTGTTCATGTTGTCATCATCGATCAATTAACCAACATATGTGACTTATAATAAAAAATATATTATTTTATTGAAATGTTCCAAATGATGAATGCCTGGAAAATGTTAGCTATGGCATCTAAAGCAATCATGAACTGAGGACTTGGCTGCTCCCTTTCAGATTCAAAATATATTTCCCTTTAAGTTATTCTATTATATCCATTTGACTATGGGATGGCTCCCACCATTGCAGTATGTGAATAATTCCTTCACTTTGTAAAAAGTTCCCGGTGGCTTTCTTTGGACCAAAAACAGAGGAATAGGCAAAGTCTGGAGCCACGTAACAAAATTTCACATTCCACACATAGATTTTCTAAGGCAAAGATGTCTCAGTCATATGTGACACCAAGCCTCAGCACTTTTGCACTGTGTACAGCACACTCAGGCATTTGATGAATATGTATTAAGTCACAGGATAATTTTTAACCACTGAGGCTGAGAGTGAATATGAGCAGGTGTGTACTTTTGTTCCTGTTTGCATATCTTGGAATATTACCTGTACGCAGATGACCTCAGTTCATAACAGGGACTTCGTCTGCATGATTGAGGGGTGTTATATGAAGTCCAGGCATTGGCCAATTGAATACACCTTTTATATCTACATTTGACATTCTGGGATTCTGATGTTATCTTTGGGCAAACAGGGAAAGCAAGTTCATGATTAGCAAATTCTGATTAAGAAATTAATTGAAATGTGAGAACATCATTTGGCCTTCAGAGTTTTAAAACGTTAACAACTAATGATTTTAAAATGATATCCTGCTATTTCATGACTTACATGTCCTTTTACAATATTTTTTCTCTTTTTACACAAACGGATGAATAAATATGGCTTTAAAAATCCTCAAGCTGACCCCTGCCCTTTATTAAGGCACCCACAAAAGGACTAAGATTATATCTCATTTTGCAGTTGAAGACATTGGGACTGAGAGATGTCATGTGACTTGCCCAGATTCACACAGAAATCTGAAGCCTTAGAATTCTTAGCCTTTACATTTTTATCCACCATGACCATTACCTTGAAAGTGCATTGACTTGAAAGTGACTTTGTTTTTTTTTCCCCCATCACGTCTAGGACTGTGAATTACCATCATGTCATCCTCCCCCAGCTGCCCCGGAAACGAGGAGAAGCACATACAGTGCACCAAGAACCCAGTGGCGATTTGGGTCTTGGACCCCAGTAAGAAATAGACTGGGAGAAATGGGGAGGGCAGGATGGGGGCTAACATTCTCAGACATGGCTATAGAAAGTGGGCTACTGTCCAGTAAGCAGCCATTCCACGTAATATAACTGCATGATTTTACTCCAACACCCAGTGCTCAGCCACTTGTGGGAAAGGTACCCGGATGAGATACGTCAGCTGCCGAGATGAGAATGGCTCTGTGGCTGACGAGAGTGCCTGTGCTACCCTGCCTAGACCAGTGGCAAAGGAAGAATGTTCTGTGACACCCTGTGGGCAATGGAAGGCCTTGGACTGGAGCTCTGTAAGCCAGTGGATTATTTGGAATTAGGGGGAATGGGGGAAACATTGAGGGCTATGAGGAGTCAGCGGAGGGGGGCGCCACTTGGAAATGTCAATGGGTAATATTTCAGAGCTGGATTTGTCTTATGATTTAAATTGTGCTGCTCCACTTATGTGTAGTTGGCCAAGTGTGCAAGGACTCTTAGCTAAATGTTTAAGGAATGCACATTTCAAAAAATGGATAAATCGGTTTACAGTCTGCTTGAGTGTCTGTCCTGTTGGGCTGATCAGAAATCCCAGTCTTCACTGAGTCATATTAGTATGCAGTAGGTTTGTAGAGGACCAAAAATGTCAGGAGAGTGAGGGGAGAGGCTCTTACTCTGAGTCTAGATTCCTCCTGCATCCTGTGGTCCCTAAAAATCAAGTGGCTCTTGGTTTCCCCTGACAAGAATGGGAAGTGGGAATCCTCATCCAGTGCTGTGAACCTGCCTGCTGTACACCAAGCACTATCTATGGGTTTTTTTACAAGTAGAACTTTTATCTTTAGGCAGCTTCTTGTTTTCTGCCCTGCAAAAAGCCCAGAGTTCAAGAAATACATTAGTATAGGTGAGGAGAGGGCATAAGAAGAATGGAGATTAATATCTCAATAAATATCATAATATAGAGAGAGAAATTTGAGAGGTGCAATGAAACAGAGCTCTGTAAAAACCCAGACCTTGGCATTTACTTGTTGCATGGCCTTGAGCAATGTGGTTTAAGTCCATGAGTCTCAGTGTGCTCTGCTCTTAAAGAAGACGGAAAAGAATACTACTTTACAGGGCTGTTGTGAGGATTATTTGAGATTATGTACGTCAAATGCTTAGCAGAAAGTACTACTCAATAAATAGTAGATAATCTCACTCTCATGTCTTGAGCTTCCAAACACTTATCCATGCATCCATTCATCCATCTGTCCATCCGTCAGTTCATCTTCTCTAAGATCCATCTGCCTACTCACCAGATATTTGTGAAAGCTTGCTAGAGAAAGAGCAGTGAAGAATGAATAATAAAGCCCCTACCTTCATGGAGATTATTCCAATGGATGATCCAGTCAATGAACAAATAAGGAAGTATGTAATATAGCAAGAGGTACTGATAAGTCCTAGAAAGAGGTCAAGAGGAGAAGTGGAATAGAGAAAGATGGGATGTGCTTTTAGAGAGGGTGGTCAAAAAAGGCCTGACATTGAGCAGGACCTGAATGAAGTGAGGGAATGACACACATGGGAATTTAAGTGGTACAGCAAAAGGTGCAGTAGGTATGAAGTCCCTCAGATGGAAGTGTTCTTGGCTTGTTCAGGAAGCATCAGTAAGGCCAGCATAGCTGGAGTGCAGTGAGTGGCGAATGGTAGATGGGTCAAAGGGGTAGTCAGTGGCCACATCATAAAGGGTCTAGTAGATCAATGTAAGGATTTTGGGTATTATTCAAATGAGTTGGAAAATCACTGGAAGGAAGGATAGGATTTGACTTTTGTTGTAAAGGGTTATATTTTGTGATTTTGAATACTGAGCTGACAGATTTCTCACTGAAATGGATATGGGATGGGAAAAAAAGAGGAGACAAGGGTGATTCCAAGGTTTTTGGCCTGAGCAATTTGGGAAAGTGGTGGGCCATTTACAGAAATGCACATTCAGGAATTGTCAACCCCTCCACCAAATGACTGACCCTTTCTCTTTCTGAACATTCAACCTAGTGCTCTGTGACCTGTGGGCAAGGTAGGGCAACCCGGCAAGTGATGTGTGTCAACTACAGTGACCACGTGATCGATCGGAGTGAGTGTGACCAGGATTATATCCCAGAAACTGACCAGGACTGTTCCATGTCACCATGCCCTCAAAGGACCCCAGACAGT
Source organism: Homo sapiens (assembly GCF_000001405.40). Taxonomy (NCBI): domain Eukaryota; kingdom Metazoa; phylum Chordata; class Mammalia; order Primates; family Hominidae; genus Homo; species Homo sapiens. Next base: position 64,602,054 of record NC_000003.12, on the reverse strand, counting down.
GGCTTAGCTCAGCACCCCTTCCAAAATGAGGACTATCGTCCCCGGAGCGCCAGCCCCAGCCGCACCCATGTGCTCGGTGGAAACCAGTGGAGAACTGGCCCCTGGGGAGCAGTGAGTATTCCCTGAAGTTTGCTTGCTTCTCTTTCACTTGAGGTTGGGTTTAGGGTAAAAGAGACTAGAAACACCTTTAGAGCATATTTTTTTCTTTACAAGGGATTGACATTGTGCATTTTCATTTGCTTTGAGTAACTTGTAATGGGTTAATTACAGCCCTTGATGATACTGATACTGCCTGCGTCCACCTATAAGCTGTCTCGATTGGGTGGAGAAAGGGGATATCATGGCTAGGTGATATGATCACATGGCCTCCTGGAGGTACCGTAAATACCATCAGGATTCATCCTGGAGGCCACAGGCAGCTCATACCTGTAGGGGAATTAAGAAGACAGAGAAACTTTTCTGAAAGGGAATTCTTAATGAAAGTCACTTTCCCCTCTACTATTTTCCAGAAGGGTGCAGTCTCAAAGTGGCATGGTTGCTGTGTAATTTGTAGTAGTAGGTCATTGTCCTGGATTAGGGGGAAATACTAGACTAGGTAAGATTTGTGCTTAGGAGAGAAGTACTCTAACCTTAAGGTTATCAGCACAATCTCTGAGGGAAGATGCGTAGGTTTGATCCAATGACTTACACTTCTAAATTTGGGGACCTTCTGCAGGTCCCTTCTCCTCTTTGAGCCTCAGTTTTCTTATCTGTAAAATGAGGATAACAATAATTCCTGCTTTCTTGGGTTGCTGTAAGAATTAAATAAGATGATGCAGATAAAGTGCTTTGCGCCCCGCCTGCCACAGAGTGAGAACTTAATAAATGTCGACAGTTGTCTTTATTATTATCATTATCATTGTCCTTCAAATTAGGGAGGCCTTGACAAATATCTGATATCAAAGGAAAAGTATGCTTTGGAATGTTTTGAAGTTTTTACTAAATAATTAAAAAAAAATATGCTGTGCAATACCAGACATGTTAAATGGAACTGCAGGAGGGGGAGGGTTTTAAAGGATCCTGGGTAGGGACGTAGTTAGGTGTTTACTAATTATTCAGGGGTCTTCTTTTTAATTGTTTACTATTAGTTTCCTTCTAGTACTGCTAATTCTGTTTAATTGTTTCTGGGCTAAAAAGAATTAGAAGGAAGCTGTCTGTTTCCCACTGCGGTTATGTTTCAGTAAATTAGACGTACTTTCTGATGAATACTAATTAGCCACTGAGCATTTGCACCCACTGTCTTTGCTGGTTGTGTGCAGAACAGCTGCCAAGTTGCCCAAGACCCTCGCTATCCCATCCCCCTCTCTTGCTTTCCACTTTTGGGCTTCCTTTGCCTAGATTAGAAGAGATTTCAGTTCTGAGAAAGTAAAAGGTGATCCAAGGAAGTAATCACCGAGTGTCTCATGGTTTTTCCTTGTTGACAAAATTCAAAACTCACACATGTGTAGTCTAATGATAGCGCTAGGATTTAAAGAAAGTGTTTTAGTGCTGTGCTTATTTAGGACTACATTTGGGGATGATGCATTCCTTTAAGATTGAATGATTCTGCCCTTGGGCAGAGCTCCCAATTAGGGAGGATTAGGTAAGCTTTTTGTGGCGATGGGTAATACCATTCTTTTCCTCATTGTGCCTGTTTTTTGTTTGGATATTTTTTCCCCTACGTTAAGTGAGGCTGAAGCTGGACAATGTGATTTTCAGCCCTAGCTTGACGTGTCTGACCTGCTCCCAGGAAGATGAAGGATGTACGTCATCTTTGCATTGCATTGCATGGTACACAAACTGTACATGGTCTTCCTGCCTTCCATGGCAGAAAAGGCGGCAAAGGGTTATAAACACTGGGGAATGGGAATCAAGTTTTTCAGTGGTTTCTGGAGTAAGAACTTCATTTTATAATAGATTTCTGTATACACTTGAGCAAGGTGTGTTAGCAATTAGGAGTTTTGCAAAAAAAAAAAAAAAAAAAAGAACAGAAACTGACTCAAGTGAAAGAAAAACAAACAAAGCTGTTCATTTAGCCGCAGTAGGGACAGGGACCAGAGCATCTTCAGGGCTCTGTCTCAGGGGCTGGCAAGTTTTGTCTGCAGAGGGCCAGATAATAAATCTTTTCAGCTGTGTGAACCATACAGTCTCTGTCACAGCTAATCAGCTGTGTGTTGCAGCACAAAAGCAGGCATAGACAATATGTAAATAAGTGCACATGGCTCTGTTCCAATAAAACCTTATTTCTAAAAACAGGTGGCCGCACACATTTGGTCTTTGGGCTGTGGCTTGCCAACCCTTGATCTAGATAGAGGGGTAACTAAGGGATAATTTCTTTAGAGAGTTTCTGTCTTAATGAATCTCTTTTAAGCCTTTGCCACTCTTGAGTTATTCTGCTGAGGATTCAAATTCCCAGGAAAGTCCAGTTGCCCACCTCTGACCACAATAGGGCAGAGTGTCTTAATTGATAGATGAAGATGGCATCTGCCATGAGGAGGAATGTTTTCTTAAAGGAAATTGGGCTGCCAGATGTAAGGAAAAGGATGTTGATTTGAGCAGGTAGAAAAAAACAAATATCTGTCTCCCTTTGCTTCTCTAAAGGCCATTCTCCTTTATTTTGTCCATTGTGGATGACAAATTTCAAGTACGTTTTACTAATAGATTCAAAGTTTGTTCAAATAAATGTTTACCTAAGAAAATGTTGTCATTTAAAGAGGACAGGGACTTTGTTAACAAAAGTCCAGACTGAAAGTCTGCAACATGGAGAAATGGAACTAAGAATCCCTGTTAATCAAATAATGGCAAAATTAGACCTGGAGAAAGGTTATGTACAATACTTCATCTGTCTGTGGGAGTATAAAGACCCAAGCAGGCTCAGGATTCAGATAGCTCAAGAATGTGCAGTGCAACTGCTTGGCCCAAGCTGAGAGCTATCACCAGCACTTCAGTTGGATTCTCGGTAGGAAGCATCCAGTCACTCCCTGGGTGGCCAGTGGATTGCTTGACCATGGATCAGGTGTTCATCCTTGCACCCATCAGACATATTGGAGAGAGAATACCATGGAGTTTCTAGAGCTGTTTCTTCCAGAATCTTTAACTGGACCAGGTAGCAAATCCTGTGACCAGCACTATGGAAGGTAATAGGGACACAGGTTAAAACATTGAGCCTTTCCTCAAGGAGCCTGCCATTTTACTGGGGCAATAAAGCTGACAGGTGACATAATAAAGGAATGATACAAGATTATATTATCAAGGAGAAAACTCGAGGACCAAGATATAGATGACAAATCTATTTATACCATGAAAGGCCCTTCCTAACATTTAAAATTCTGGTCCCCAAACAAAGCTAATTAAAATAATAGTTCTCTGTTTTTTATTATGTACTAAGCTGCTTAAAAGTAGGAAGGTAGGAAGTAAGGCCAGGCATGGTGGCTCACCCCTGTAATCCCAGCATTTTGGGAGGCTAAGACAGGAGGATTGCTTGAGGCCAAGAGTTCGAGACCAGTTGGGGCAACATAGTGAGACCTTGTCTCTACGAAAAATTTTAAAAATTTACCCAGGTGTGGTAGTGTACACCAACGGTCTCCAGCTATGCAGGAGACTGAGGTGGGAAGATTGCTTGAGCTGAGAGGTTGAGGCCGTAGTAACCTGTGATCGCACCACTGTGTTCTAGCCTGGGTGACAGAGCAAAACCCCACCTCAAAAAAAAAAAAAAAATAGGAAATGAATATTTTGAGATTTAGAGTAAGTATACCAGAATCATCAAAGATAGAGGTAACATTTTTATAACTTGAAAAATACCTAAATATTTTCTCAAGAGGAACTAATAAATCTATTATCCAGCTCTACATTAAAAAAGTAAACCCAATATAAAATGAAAGTGTAGATACTGATTTAAAAACACTTATAATTTGACCAGCATGGGCAGGGAAATTAACAGTGGTCCAGTTCAATTAGCAACAAAATGTATTCACATCTTGATACGGAAGAAGATGACCAGCAAGAAGCAATGTTTGATAGAGCCTATCTTGAAATAACACTGATATGAGCTACGATTAGCTAGAAAGCAAAAATCAGCCTTCAGAACCTGGAACTAACAACATACTTGCAAATGCAGTTTGAGTCTTGATAAATCGTGAGAAATACATTGCTTTGAGGACCAGATGATTATTTTATAGGCAAACTGATTTTACAAGGGTCGGGGTAAAGGACACTAGCAAACATTTTGGGTTTAAAAAGATAAAGAAGTTATGGAAAGAAGAAAACACTTCAGGTGTAAATAAGTGAACTATGAGAGGCTTGTATGGGAAATGAAATGAAATGCAAACATAACCCCATGACAAACCATGAAAGAGAGGGTGTTAGGCTGAAAGCACGGCCGAAGAGAGGTTTGTCATGATGAAATTCAATTAAGTTCATTGGGGAAGTAAAAAATAAATAAAACAAGTCTTACTACCATTAGCCACCGAAGTTCAGGCTGTTGTAAAGAGAGAGAAAGGAACATTTTATCTGCTAGGAAATGATGTCTAAATGACATTCCATGATGTTTTCCTGGAGTAATTGAAGGAGTTCATACAGAAGCTTAATTTCTACAACTGGCAATTCATTAGGCATGTAATTTGACCTCCGCGTTGAAAGGAAAATCAAATATTGGTTCTAAATAGGCACTTGAAGTTTTGAAAAGAATTTCCAAATTAACTGTCGTGTCCATCAACACCTCTGTACCTCTTAGAGATGCAGAGGGGATAAAGACAGTAAGTGGCCTGCTTTGGAAGTCACATTAGGCATTTATGGAACCCCTGTAGAGGGCCTGAGGCACACCAGAAGAGAAGACACATTTCTGCCCTCCAGGTGTGTCTATAGGATGTGTACATGAAACAGCCCCACAGTGGGGAAGTTCTTGGGTTTTCCTGATTGCTTTTTGTCCTTCGTGGATGACTTGAGAATGCTTTTCAGCACATTTGTCTTAACCTTTCAACCAGCTGCTTCTGTGTCCCTAAGATGGAGATTGAGGTGGGGATTAACTTGTCGACTGATGTGTTTAGTGTTCCAGTACCTGTGCTGGCGGATCCCAGCGGCGTGTTGTTGTATGTCAGGATGAAAATGGATACACCGCAAACGACTGTGTGGAGAGAATAAAACCTGATGAGCAAAGAGCCTGTGAATCCGGCCCTTGTCCTCAGTGGGCTTATGGCAACTGGGGAGAGGTGAGAGTGAACTATCCGTCTATAAATACAGAGGAATTGTGTTAACCAAACTGTATTTATCATTCAGATTTTATTTTCAAGGAGAAGAACTAGCTCTAGTAGAAGCTTCTGGGGTGGGGATTAACTAGGAAACCTGTCTTCTTAAATTCTGGACTATTTTAAAGTGTTCCTATTACCACTAAGAGACAGTTTGGGTACACAGGTGAGGAAAATTAGGTGAGAATACAGATAAATACTGGTTTAAGTTATTTGTTCACCTCTGATGATTAAAAAATAGATGCTTTTAAAGTGATTGAAAATATGTGTTAAATCGGTCCATGGAAGTCTTGCCCTCTTCTTCATAGTTTTGGGGTGTTTGTGTTATGCCCTGTTCCCATGGCATAATGTCTCCCAACATTCCAAGTCACTAATGAAGCCAGATTGAGTAGGTGTTATAATTCCTATGAAAGATGATGTATTTTTATTGCAGAAGTGAGTAGTTAGCTGTGTTTTCTCAAATATGGAATTATTTAGCTGCTACCTTTTCAGGGTTGCCTGTGACGACTGATAGGGGACAACTGAGTATTGGAAGCTGAGAAAACCGTGTCCTGTTCTCAGCTCTGGCTCTTAAAAGTTTTGTGACCTTGGCAAATAATGTAGTATCTTTGCCAAATATTTATATCCTCATCTGTAAATAAGGATAGTAATAGCACCAACTTCTTAGTATTTATGACCATGATATGAGGTAGTATCTATCAAATGCGTAGCACATCGCCTTTAATCAATTAACTGCCACTATAATGTAGTAATAATTAATGTTAAGAATAATTATTAATAATACTGTGACTAAGTGGGGGTTTGAGCCCTTATTATACATAGGGCCTAGATGCTTATTGTTTTGTGTTTAATTAACTAAGAATATATCTCTCTATTCTTGAATCCACAGGGAGAGCACATATTTAAAGTTTGTTGAGTTGTTCTGTCTTGACTATAACATTTATCAAATAAAACACGAGAAATAACACTTTGGAGGTCCCAGTGCCAAGGGGGGGAAAAAGACAAATGAGATTGATGGGCATGTTAGTCCACATCCTTGGCTGAATGAAATCACGTGTCCACATTTCATGGTTTCAGCCATATAACCTAGTAGTCATAGGCAGTCATAACGGGATTATTGTTGACTTTCATTGACAGTTATGTCATTCTGGAGAGCTTTGTTGAAGGGAAAGAAAAGGGAATGAGGCTTTGTGACTCATGTATTGTGGATTTCCCAAAACCTCCTCGCAAAGTTCTGTCCTGTGGGGCCTGTGATTAAGCTTCTGTAATTGGATTCAAGCCAGGAGAGTACACGAACTTGCTGGGATGCTTTGCTGTCAGCACAGACCAGATCATTCCAAATTCTGTGGGAGATCTGGCCTTGACACAGCAGGGAAACCAAATGTCAGTGTTGCTGGATTTGAGCGCAGCAGCACTGTCCAAGAAATACAACGTGTTCCTGCCTCAGAAGTTTAGATCTAGCCAGGAGTCAGAACCTTATCCAGTGTTCCCACCATGCTGTTTATTCATCCAAGGGGAAAGTCATAGTTGTCCTCACATTCAGAGATACAGTAAAATAGGTTAGTGTCATAAAGGGCTATGGAGACGGAGTCAGAGAACAGCCAAGGATTGGTGACAGCTTCTTAAAATTTGCCAGAAAATAGAACCAGTTAAGTCATTGTCTCCTTTGTTTGGTATTGGGTAGTTTTTGTTTGTCTATTTTTGTTTTGTTTTGGTTTGGTTTGGTATTTCTCAAAGAATCTTTGTTGGGAGGCCGAGGTGGGAGGATCATGAGCTCAGGAGATCGAGACCATCCTGGCTAACACGGTGAAACCCCATCTCTACTAAAAATACAAAAAAATTAGCCGAGTGTGATGGCACACGCCTGTAGTCCCAGCTACTCGGGAAGCTGAGACAGGAGAATCACTTGAACCTGGGAGGCGGAGGTTGCAGTGAGCCGAGATCGTGCCACTGCATTCCAGCCTGGATGACAGAGCAAGACTCCGTCTCAAAAAAAAAGAAAGGATCTTTGTTACTTGCTAACAGATTGGACTTGATCGAGTTAATTAACCTCCCTTCACCTTAATTGCTTCATATATAAGATGGGGCAAATAATTACACTCCTCTTGATTAGATAATATATGCAAAAGTCCTCAGTGCAAGTTAAGAGAAAGCACTTAATAACTAATACCTGCCATTAAAGTAGGAGAGTCTTGGTCTGTTTTACGTATCACTATTGGTAATTCACCTTGGTTCCATCTGTCAGAGGCTTACCTTGCCCAATGCCATAATTGAGTTTGGCTAAGAAATTAGGGAGAAAGGAAATTTGTCATTGGCCTTTCAGACAAAATAACTGCAGCCTTCCTTTTCCTTCTTCCAGTGCACTAAGCTGTGTGGTGGAGGCATAAGAACAAGACTGGTGGTCTGTCAGCGGTCCAACGGTGAACGGTTTCCAGATTTGAGCTGTGAAATTCTTGATAAACCTCCCGATCGTGAGCAGTGTAACACACATGCTTGTCCACACGACGCTGCATGGAGTACTGGCCCTTGGAGCTCGGTACGGCCCTAACTATTCATGTTTGTTAACCAAACTATCTAATTCCAAGGTATTCTGGGGCACTCCTCTGTGGCAGATAATTGTCACACTTACAAGGGCATCCCAGAAACTCTGCTATAAATAGTCTATTATTTTCTCCATATTGGCACATAATAGAATTAACTTTTTATGATATTGCCAAAGTGACTTTAAAGAATAAGTGTACCTCATACAGGACCTGGTGCCAAGAAGTAGCTGCCTTTTCTTAGCCTAAATACACACACACACACACACACACACACACACACACACACACATCATACACACACACATACATAGTGATTTTAACAGACAACTCAATAGCACACATTCTTTCCTTTTCTAAGCTGTAGTAGTTTTGACTTTTTGGGAAAGATACCTGCTTACTGAGGCCAAAGCAATTTTTCTTCAGTGACTGTAATTTGCCTGTGTGACTCGGGTACAGCTCTGAACATAATTTTTACAAAGTCTGTGCCCACAAAATAGACTAAAATCATTTAAAAATGCAAAAGACCAAAAATGGAACAGGTGACCTGGTGCCTTTTAGGGTGTCGGAAATGTTCTCTCTCTTGCACAGAGATAGGAAGCCCGTTTGGGACCATTTTTTGCTTTGGTCCTAGTCTTCCTTTGCTATCTGCTTAGCCAGCAGCTGACATGGTGAGACAGGTTTGCCACTGTAAATATGATGCAAACTTCTGGGGCAGCTCTTGGCAAACAGAAGCATCAGCTGTGTCAAAACAATACTTTGGCTGAGTTGTGCCCATAAGCTGTGGAGCCGTTAGGGCTGTTTCATGTAAATAGAGGAAAAATGGTCCTGTAAATACATTAATTGCACTGAAGCTGAATTTAGTATTGTATTAAGTCATATCCAGAATGTTTTTTTACCCAGTATGGTTCTCAGAAGTCTTAACCATCCCTGAAACCAGCTAAAGAGCAGATTAAGTGAAGTGACATGGTTAATACCTGTTGACATTTCTAAGAGTCAAGGGTTTCAATGGCTGGGGTCGTGTCTGCAGGTGTAACACTAACTATATAATCACTATACTTTGTATTAGGCAGAAATCTAGAAGAATTTGGAGCATTATCTCCACTGGTACTATTTAGCTGGACTGTTAAGTATTTTCTTCCAGAACTTAAGAAACGCCACTCTGGGTCAGAGAGCTCTGGTCTGTTGTATCTCTAGTCAGTTCAGTAGGAGCATTTTCCCTACAATAATGGCACCTTCCCCAGATGAACATTTTTGAAGATCAGAAATAACCTTAGAATCTCAGGAACATCTTCTGACATTCCCAACTTCCCTCATCTCCTATTATATATTATTTTTCGTGAAATTCCCTCTTAAGCTCATTGTGTTTTCACCCAGTTCACTAGACCAACAGCAATACCAGTACCAGAGTTATGTTTTAGAAAGTCTACTAGCTGTCCACAAAGTCGTAGTTCATTAACTTTGACCCAAAAAAAAAAAAATCTCTTAACCCTTAGGAAGAAACACACAAGGCTATTTATTGCATATTCTTGTGGTTTGGTGAAAAAAAGAAACCTGCATTTCCCTTCCCAGACTCAATTCCATTGATCATCTCAGTTCCATTGATTATTCTATATTTACCTCTCCAGGAAGAATTATTTGGGAAAACAGGGGGAAAAACATAAGTCTTAGAGAATTATAAATTAATTTCCATGGTATTCTCTTCCTTAAACACTTTCTAAATACGCTAAATTTTTTTTTACACAGGATCACTACCCTCCCCCACAGATATTTTAAGAGCATAAATGTTTAAATTTTAAAACATGAACTGCTAATTATTGTAACTGAAAACATAAGGTTTATTTCATGTAGTTGTTCTCCTTGGGCCTGCACACAGTTCTCTGAAACAGAGGAAGAAAGAGAGAGAGAGAAAGAAATTATAATGCTCTAGTATGCACAGAAGCAAGTGCACGCATTTTTAAAATCATTTTGCTGCCTATATGATTTCAATGGTTTCTTTATAAAGTGATCATTATTCAAATATGCGAAGCCTCTACAGTCTAAGAGCAAGGCCACTTCTGCAAGGCTTTTAATTGTGATCTTAAAAAATTAAATCAAAAGCATTTTCTTTAAAATATCTTTGTAATATATTACTTTTCCTAAATATATGAGTGAGAGGGCAGTCTTTCAGATTCTTACTGTAGAGTTTTGATTTTAATTGTGTGTTTATTTCTGTGGATGCTTTGGTATAATATCTTAGTAATTCCAAATGTAAGCATACCTCAGTAATTGTGTTAATAGCCATAAAGCCACTTCCATGGTGCTTCATCATTGTAACTGACGGTGAAACTAACAACAATAAAAAGTATGTTGGAGGTGCTAACATGTTGCTTTCAACAGAAAGCAACTTAGATTTATTAGGGACCAAGGGTAGCAATTAATCCTTCTGCCTGGTTGCTTTCTCTCTCCCAGTACTCCCATGCATTAGATGATGTCAAGAAGCAACTGCTGCTGTGTGAATTAGCCTTCTCCAAGGTCAAAATGGAGATTGCCTACTTCAACACTTGTTACTAAAGAGCAGTATTTAGGAAAGAAACCCCAAATCACTATTAATATAGCTTCCAGCATCCCTAAAATGAAGCTTCTGTGAACCTAGGGTTTAAGTCCCCATCTTAGATCAGCCATTGGTTCTGGCTCAAGTCATTGCGGATTTAAGAATCATGATGGTGAGAAATATCCTCCAGAAATTCAACCTTTTCTATCCTTTTTAAAATGGGCCTTTGGACTCTTTTTTTGGTAGTGTTTGTTTTTGAAATAAGGTTCCTTTTTTTTTTTGAGACAGAGTGTTGCTCTGTTGCCCAGGCTGGAGTGCAGTGGTGCGATCTCGGCTCACTGCAACCTCCTCCTCCCGGGTTCAAGTGATTCTCATGCCTCAGCCTCCCAAGTAGCCGGGATTATAGGTGCCCACCACCACACCTGGCTAATTTTTGTATTTTTAGTAGAGACGGGGTTTCGCCATGTTGGCCAGGCTGGTTTCAAACTCATGACTTCAGGTGATCCGCTGCCTTGGCCTCACAAAGTTCTGAGATTACAGACATGAGCCACCATGCCCAGCCTGAAATAAGGTTCTTAAACTCACATGCCTTTCAGTTGACTCCTGCAGTCAGTCCCAGGAGGACATTAAGTAGTCTATGCATATGTCCTATGACTTGAGGAGTAAATTGGAAAGAGACCTCTATACTATCGAACCACAGCAGAAAGTAGGCTAAAAATCCAGAGCGTTCTAGAGAAAGCTAATTCATCTAGATAATCACAGATTAAAAGTCTGCTAGGTGATACCATGTATCCAAGATGGGTCTTCGGTGTTCCTTTGTGCATTGCCCTGTCAACCTGCTTGCTGATCACCTTGGAAACTGTGCTTCTCCTTAGGAGAAATTGCTTGTTCGGGTTTTTCATGACAAACCTAAAAATGTTCTCTGAGCCTTGCTTTAGGTGCATTGGAATAATGCTTGTCGACCCAAGTAATGAGAATTTATGAGCTCATGAAGGAATTGTGCTTTTGTTTCTGCCTGGCTAACTTATGAATTTTTGTCTACCTCATTTTCGTATTAAAGTTTGCAGCTTCTGTAGGTAGGAAGAGAAAATGTTTGATACCAGTATTTTATAACCTCACTGCTTCTCTCCCTAGAAGAAATAAAGATTGTAAATATCACTACCATATTTTCTAAACACAGTTTTAAGCAGCCACACCTAGAATTTTCTGAATATTTTGAGCAGTACAGATTTCTATGTGTTATATAATAAAGCATATTTATTTTTTCATGTTATTTAATTTTATATACAATGTTTAAAAAATCAGTGTTTATCAGCAGACTGTAAAGGCAAGTAGGCTCTGTGGATTAGAAATGAATGTATATGTTTCTTTTGGTTTTAAAAAGATACATTTTAATTTTGTAAATTCCCTCCAACCTGTACAACCCCTCCCTCAAATCTGAGTAGCCAAGTATCTAGCTTTGTGTAATTAGACAGCTTCAAGTATGTATTTTAAAGGGATACTTTAAAAACATATTTCTGAGTTGGAAATGATGCTTAGATTTATAAACAAAAATATATGAGGCTTAATATTTTGTTGGGTATTTTTTCTTTTCTAGTACTGTTGTCCTGAATTATTGAATCTCAACTATGAAATATGCATGCTCCATTTATTGAATTTGTAGATAATGATAAATTATAGCCAGAAGACAAAAAAAGGTGATTGGAAGAAATGGTTCTGAACACATAAGAGACAGCTAGGTACAGGAAAAAGCAAACCTAATGTGCACAAATTTGATTACACTTTATTCTGTGTGTTCAGATAACTGTAAAAGGCTTACAGCATTTGTCAATTTTGTTATTTGTTCACTGCAATACATTTCAGAAAGCATTTCTTATGAAAGGAAAATAAAATACTACAACAACTACCTTGGAAGTTTCAAGAGAGCCTACCCTTTTCAAAAAATACCTAAATCATAAAAATGACCCGGAGGCCTATTGATACCTCATCCTCCTCCTGAGCCTCCTTTTTGCAGTATAGGTTATTATGGTATTCATGGGTGAAAGGACCAAGGTAAGGAGGGTCCCTGTATGAGTTAGGGTTTATTTTTAATAAGGTGAGAAATAAGATAACTTCTCCAAAGGAAATGAAGATAACAATAGCTAACGTTTGCTGTGTGTTTACTGTATAACAAGCCAAATTAAGCAAATACACATCACATTAACCCTCTTGTTTTAACCCATGAGGGAGGTGCTGTTAGGAACCCATTTGACTAGCCGATAATCTACTTCAGTGATAGGACCTTGTCGTTAGGGTACTGACTATTAATCTTGTTTTGGCAGAAAGAAACAACCTATGTTCAGAATGAACTTTTAGGTTCCTGTTTATATTCCATAAAGGATGTGCCTAAAACTCAAACTTCATTTAGCCTCAACATTATTTAGCTAATTATGACATTGTCCATTTGATTCCAGCAAAAGAAAATCCAAATTCATTCCTGTTATTGGTAAATTCCCATAACCAGCAATTACAAAAGCTTCAAACAACTGTTGTTTAGGGAATGGCAAAATATTCCTCTCTTTCATTTTACAGATACATTTTTAGCCAGATTAACAGGATGATATCAAGATTTTGACTATAAGGAATATCACATTAAATGCATATGTATTTTTTATAAATATGATACTTTTACTACAATGAAGACATGTTTAAACATATTGCTGGCATCTTTAGAAAATAAGAGCCACATTATTTGGCTGTATCAGTATGGAGTATAAAAAATAAGATAGTTTTTTGTGGAACAAAGTGTTATGACATACGAATTTACAAAGTTTACCTTAGTTCTGTGTAGCACTCATCTCTAATGTGTTCAGAACAATCAAAATACTTGCCTGCATCTATTTCACTGGAGACAAAACTTAGCAGGCTTTTAATAATCTTTTTTCAGTATTTACAGAGATTGTATGCCTATGAAAGACTGATCCTGCCTTCTGATGCTATTTTGTGGTAGCTTGACAGGTTCTATTTTCATGGATTTAAAAAGTCCACAGGTTGGGGGAGCAGGGTTAGGAGTGTTATTGGACTCTGAGGAGGAGTCCAGGTCCTCTCCCTCACTCCTGTTGTGGAGTTGCCCTTCTGGAATGGAAAGAAATAGAAACTTTGGAATGTGGAGTGGGAGGTAGAGGTTGAGTCCAAGCATAATTGGCTAGGAGGGAATCCTGGCGATTAGTGATGGCAGTTGAGGAAGATTTATTTTAATGCCAGGGGTTGGGGGTTGGGGCAGAATAAAAAAACTCTGGGTTGTTTCTTTAAAAAAAAAAAATCAATTTTTAACAAATACTTTCTAAGTGCCTATTGTAGGCCAGGGACTGTTCCAGGTGCTAAGGATACAGCAGTGTACAAGTTAGAGCTCTTTGTTCTAAGGGAGCAAGAGAAATTTTAGTATTAAATCAATACTAAACAAATGTAATTAAAGAACTGATGCTTTGGTTTTCCTGGCAGCTTCGCCACCACCATAAAAATAAAAATACAACTTGCTATTAGGGTAGGTACCTTCATGGATACTGCTGATGTTTATTCAGTAAGTATAAATTAGCAATTTTATCTTTGCTTTTAAACGTGCAACTGGCCAGTCATTTTAAATGACAGATGCTGCCTGGCTGATGGCACAGAACTTTTAAAAACCTCCTATTGGAGAATATGCTTCCAATCACCATTCCATTAGAACCCAAATGTGAGTTCAGTGGTCTGAGAGCCAGGATGAGTGGAGAACCTAATCTTCTGCCTTCTCCCTGCTGGGTCCTTGGCCTCCACACAAGGTGGAGAGTTGTGGTCTGAGGGTACTTTTTCCCTTTGTTATTTAATGGGTACCAATTAAAAGATGTGGAATGTGCGGATCTCCACACCATCTTCTTTGCTTGTTGCTGTTGTTTTCTCTAAAGTGGGATCATTGTCATGAATGGTTTTAACAACCATAATCTCTCTTTCCTGAAATTTATAAAATAGAAAATTGGCAGCCAAGGAAAGCATGTCCAGGGGTAGTATGGAAGATGACTCATGTAGGCTGAACCCAGAAATCCATCACTCTTAGCAAGATCTGCATCCCCTTTCTCTTATGAGAAAGAGCTTATGCCTTGGCCAAAAAAATCTAGTAGCTTTCTGCAGCGATGTAAATGTTCTCTATTTTTGCCTTCCTTTATGGAAGCCACTAGTCACATGTGGTTAATACTGAGCACTTGAAACATGGTTAAGTGACAAGGAAACTGCATTTTTAATGTAATTTTTAAATTACTCTAAATAGCTACCTGTCGCTGGTGGCTACCATATCGGACAGGGCAACCTCAGGCAACAGGACATCTCTAACAATTAATAACAAACTAGCAAAGAAATCAATAAATTTATAAAAATAAATTGGGGAGAAAAACCGTATTCCACATGTAAGGGGTTCCCCCATAGGATGCCCATGCATCTGGTGATTAGCATTCTCTTGCCTTTCTTGTGTTTCGTGCCTTTGTTTTGGAAAACTTCAGTGGGTGTTCCTTGACAGCTGGGCATTAGAAAATGCAGAGGACAGTGAAAAGATGGCCTATCAGAACCAGGGGTCTTGAGAGTAGTAACTCCAGGGCTTCATTGTAAAAGCAGCTGTTAAAACAAACTCTCCTCTGTGAATCTCAGAGTTCAAGTTCATCGTGGCCATAAGTTCAGTTAAGGAGAAAGCATGTTTATGTGTTCAGTGGGTTGAAAGGGCAAGGCTTGAATGATGCTTTTTAGGAGACGGCAAAAGTGGAAAACACCAGGTAGCCACCTTGTAGAAGCTTGAATTCCAGGAGATCATTCCCTCTTTGAAGGAAAAGTTTCAGGAAGGCAGCTTTTCATATTCATTGAACCCAGTAGGTGAAGGTTGAGCAGATTAGCTTTGCAGGGCTCTGTTTCAAAGACACATCAGAAGAAACCGAGTTGAGGCAATGTCTCTCCTCCATGACTGTAAATGTAGTCATTTAATTTTGCAAAACTTAATGTCTACAGTGTCAAAAAGAAAAAAACCTCTTATTCATTTACATTTTTACTCTATACTGAGGGCCCCAAGAAATTTAAACTTATGCAACAACATTGACTGCAAATTGACTGATAATTGCCATCAGTTCTCTTCCTCAGTGGCCAGATAGAGTGTTTTCCCCCCGTTTAGGGCAACATCCTGAATTAAATTATAATCTGACAGATGGTCTGTTTTTAGAAGCACTGATTAATCTACTATGCTCACTCTCAGGTTGACTATGCACTAAAATGAGAAATAGTTCAAATGATTCTCCCTAAGCCATTTTCTTCTGAAATATCTCAGACAGTGAATGAATTGATAGCTTCAGTTATCCACAAAGGAGCAGATTTTTTTCCCCACTTAATTTGTCACACAATGTGTTTCCTCCCATAATTATAGGGAGGACTTTGATTTTTTTTTTATTATAACAACCACTTACATTTTGGAACATTTACTTTGTGCTCAGAATTATGCTAAACAATTCACCCACGTTTGTCTAACTTAATCCTCTCTACATGATGAAGTCAGCACCATCAGAGAAGTTGCTTAGTTGATCTCACTGCTCAGTAGTGGTCTCTAGGTCTCACTGCTGGGAAGTGGCTGAACCAGGATTTGAATTTAGGATTTTCTGAATTTTAAGCTAGTGGTTTAAGCCAAGATATAATCCCCTCATCTCATTGTTTAGTTGATGAAATGGTAAAATGTAACATGAGTGGAAAGGGTATGTCTACAATGTAGGATTTTATGTTATCCCAGAGTGTAACTATTAATATTTGAAATGTTCTGAAGCTAATTGAGCCATTTACAAGTTTTGCTTAGGGGATAAGCAAAGAAAATCAGGAATGAATATAAGAAAATTGTCTCAAACCAAGTAAAAGAGCAAGATTTGGGGTTTTCAGAAGATTTTAAGAAAAAAGCAACCAGTATTAAGCACATATTGGGTGCTATCTCTGGCATTTTTAGTAGAAATGGAATAACTTGAGGTATTTTCTTTATTTAGTAGATATATAGATAGTCAGGATGATAGATTTTATTAGAGCCAGTCAGGTGACTTTACATCTGTTCATGGTGATGAGGTTCCTTGCAGAAGGTAAGATGCTGTAGCACTTACAAGTGAATTATGAAAAATGGTAAAATTTACTAAAATGTGATCTCACCGTAACTCTCTGGTTGAAATAAAGCATATTCAATGCATTGGAACGTCTTCCAAACTATTTATTGAGCTAAAATTAAGCTATAGGAGCTGAACTCTTCTTTTAGCAAAGCTGTCTTATTCATTCCCATTGGTAAGACAGTCAACCACCTTGAACCCTGTTCTTGCATCCTCTTCCTCTCATCACCCCTCATTCTCACAACTACCTCTGTATTCCTTAGTCCATGTGGCAGGTGAATAATAAAACAGTTACGCTTGGGAACTTGGTAAGATGAACAGAGGGAAATACAACAGGGAAAAAGCAGACTGTGTTTGCTTCCTTTTTCTTAGCTAGGACAGAGGAAGAAATATAGACAGAGCCAACACATTTTAAGTGAAAAACCTGTTTCCCCAATCATTTATTTAATTGCCCCATACCTGAATTTCCTTCTGCCTAATGAAACCCACAGTTCAAACTGGGTGCCTCTCTCAAACTAGGCATACTATAAACAATGTTGAAATGAATGAATGAGCTCAGCTACTCAGGTGCTGAACTCCTTATTACATTAGCCCAGAAATATGGAAGTAAAGAGCTAACTGGTAGAAGGGAATCATTAAAAAGAAAGGCATAGGATTATTTAGTGCTGTTGTATTAATAATGATGATATCCTGACTTAGAGAGTTGTACGGTATTTACATAAAAGAGTGTCCTTGATTTGAGGAAAAAAGAGTTTTAGAGATGATGGGATGTTATGTCTCTAAATTACTCTCAAATTTTTCAGGGAAAGACAAAATAATAATAGCATATAGAGAGAGAGATGGGGGGAGCAAATGTGGTGAAATGTTGGCAATTGGGGACTCAGGATGAGGGGATAAGGGAGATCTTTATGATGTTCTTGCAATCTTTCTATAAGTTGGAAAATTTTCAAAATAAGTTACTTTATAAAATTTCTTAAAGAAACAAATGTATTCAGAGTGTGTTTTTTCCTTCACAAGGAAGTAAAGAGTAGATCTGGATTTATTTCACAACTTTAAAAATTCTGACACATTCTAGGAAGCTGTTTTTAATCTGAGATTTGCACTGTAATGTGATAAAAAAGGGAGTGGGGTGTGGCAGAGCTCAGCAGAAACAGAATCTTTCCTACTTTTTTATTGGCCTTTTCCCATGATTTTCTCTTTCCTAAGCCTTCTCTCCTCCTCCCTCCTCCCCATCCCACCCATGCAGCTAAACTGAAAGGCCTCTGAGAATGGTGCATTTTTTTTGCTTCCCTTTTCCCAGGGGAATCTAGACTTTTATTGCATCTCTTCCTAGTAAATTCCAGTAAATATCTGGCCATATGCAGACTCTGCCTTTTCTTAATCGACTGCTATCCAGTCCACATCCAGATTCCTTTGAAAATGAAAGCATTTTCCCAAAAATGTGTGCTGTTTGTTTTCCTTGAGATTAATAAAAGCCCCACCTAGCCCACTTACCTATTCCTGCCTTGGTATGTGTCCTTTCTTGGTGAAATCATTATTTCCTTCTTTTTGGTTGTCTTTGAATCAGACGTAACATATCCGAGCCCCCCGCAGGGTGCAGGGTCATGGACATAATGTCAGGGAGGAAGTTCTGTTCAGAAGAACGTGTTTGTTCATTGTAATTGGGATCTTCATTGTTGTGCATGGGAATTGATTTCACGTTGTACACGGCACGTTTTCTATAGATGGGGGCTTCCTAACCCTTTTAGCTGGAGCCCCTGACTTCATTGAGCGGATGTTCAGCAGGCCCTTTACAACTCCCATCAACAAAGAATCTCTGTGTGCCCTGACCTCACCAAGTCAATTTGAATCAATTCAGTTTTGAGAACTTGCTGAAGGACTTTCTGAGAACCTTAGTATAATTCAATAGTTCTCAATTGGGAGGTGATTTTAGCCTGCGGTGGACATTTGGCAATGTCTGGAGACAGTTTTGGTTGTTACAATGGGGATGCAGGTGCTATGGGCATCTAGTGGGTAGAGGCCAGGAATGCTGCTTAATAGTCTACAATGCACAGCACAACCCCAACAACAAAGAATTGGCTTACCCCAAATCTGGAAATAGTGCCACCATTGAGACATTTGGAGCCTCATTCAAAAGCGAAAGCTGAAAGTCACAGTTGCAAGTCCCGCAGCTATCTGAAAGCTCTTCTCTCTGGAGAGTTGAATTTCCCATAAAATGTAGGTGAGATTCCAGGGAGCCATCAAGGTCAGTCAAATCGAAGAAAGGTTTTCAAGGATGAGCTGAAAATATGAGATCTCAAACTTGTCTCACCAGACTGTGAATCTGCAAATCAACAAGCACCATCACTCATTTTGTGGGGCGGGGTTGAGGGTTAAAAGAGGTGGCAGATATTGTAAATGTGTGCAGATGTGCCCAACTGACCAACAGACATTCTGCATGGCAACTTTGACAAGAGTAATAAACTAAAAACAGCATAAATGTGGGTGGGCATTTCTAAGAAAACAAGGGTTATATCCTCATCATGTTCATAATGTTAGCATTGTCTGATAGCACTGATAGTTCATATATAGAGATTCCTTTTTAAGTTTATGTTTCAAACAGAGCTTCCCATATCAGTGATAGAATATGAATATATGAATAGGTCAGCAGTATCTAGGGATTGGTCAGACTTGAGCATCAGAGTTGAGTATATAGGTTTCTCTTTTGAGAACTCTTCTGGAAGTAGGATTAATTCTAGTGAGCATTTTACCTGATAATTTCTGATTAGGGACTAAGACAGCAGTACATAAAGTGTTCCATGGATTGTGAATAGGTATGAAGAAGGGTTTCCCAACCTTGGCACTATTCATATTTGGGGCCAGATAATTTTTTGTTGTAGGGACTGTTTGGGACATTGTAGATGCTTATCAGCATCCTTGACCTCTACCTACTGGATGCCAATAGCATACCCCCTCGGTTGTGACAGTGAAAAATATCTTCAGACGTTGCCAAATGTTCCCTGGGAGGCAATATCACCCTTCCTTTTCTGCCAGGTAGTTCTATGAATTTCTCACAGCAGAATTTCTCTTTCCATATTCCTATGGGCATTAGAGAGGTAGAACATCAGCATTTACCAGACATATTTGATACTAAGTCCCTATTTGTTAAGTCAGAGAAGTCTGAGGTTATAAAATCATTCCCTTCCTCCTCAAAGGGAAGTGAAATCCTTATATTGTAGAGATCACCAAGTTTTCATAGTCAGACATTTCCACTTTGTCTGGGTTTTTAAAAAACCTATCAGAGAAAACTATACATAGGGGATCACCTTTTCCAAATATGTGGCATTAACTTGGCTTTCCTATACATGAACTTCTGGGGAAGCAAGTTTCTGCAGTTCTACCTCCTCGCACCTCCTCTTTTCCACTCTGCAAATCTTTGCTCCTCTAGCAGATGGCAAATGCTATATATTTCCCAACCCCAACCCCCATGCCACACAAACACACTCAAAACGGCAGGTACAACTCTGAGATCAGAGGGTCAGAAAACATTTTAGATGATATGTCTTGGTCCCAGAAGGAAAATCAATCTCAATTCTTTTCCTTTAAAAAGGTCATTAACAATGGCCATAAACACTAGTAGTGACTCCAAAGCTTTGAGACTGGAGAAGAAATCTATTGGTAGAGGAAAGGCAAAGAAAATAAACCCAAGAGACTGTCATCAACCTCAGAAATTTTATGGTGGGACCTACACTCTAATGAAACATTGGATTTTCCCTGCAATGTTCAAACTTTATTTGATGGAAGACCACAGAAATATGTATTAAAGAACAGACTTATGCACTGGTGCCCAATGTGGAAGAGATCTTGGTTTTCCATAAGGGAAGTGGATGCTGTCTTTCAGAATTAATTGGAACCTTAAATTACCAATTGGCTATGTGAAAAGCCCTTTAAAATTAGAAATTGAATTTTGACTTTTGCCTAACTGTAATCTTACCGGTAATTCTAGGCTATAAATTGAGCACATGCAAATGTTTTGCCTAGGAAAGAATCCCTAAAAAATGAGAAATCTTGGCCAGGCATGGTGACTCACTTTGGGAAGCCCAAGGCAGGTGGTTTGCTTGAGCCCAGGAGTTCGAGACCAGCCTTGGCAACGTGGTGAAATCCCATCTCTACCAAAAATACAAAAATTAGCCAGTCTCACAACCTGGTCTCTAAATAAATAAATAAATAGATTAAAATTTTAAATGAAATTAAAAATTTTTTTAAAAAGAAAAATTGCCCCTAAACAAAGACACACCACCACCACCAAAAAGCTCACTGCTCTGAATGAATGACCTTCTCCACTTCAGTAGTTACCAACTGATGGACAATTAATTGTCTTACATTTCCTGATGTGGCACATATAGGTGCCCATTTGCAATTGGCCAAATGGATTTGACTAGAAGTGGAAAATAATAACAAAGGCCCTCATTTATTAAACATCTGATGTGAGCCCTGGCCTTGACCAGGTCCTTTGTGTGCATTATTGCCAATCCTCTTATAATCCTTGCAAAATAGGTCTTATGATGTCTATCGTGCGGACAGGAAAACTGAGATTTAGGGAAGTTAAGAAAGGTTCCCAATAATTATACAGTCAGTAATTATTGGATCCAGACCTGATGGACTCCAAAGCCCCATGTTTTTCCACTGCCTCTCTTGGGGAGCTTTCAAAACTTCTAGAAACATGAATTTTGGTTTGTGATGCATAAAAGAAACAAGCCTGAATAGAAACCAGTTCAGCCCTCTTTTGCTTTATAAAAGTCCCTGGGACTGGGTCCTTGGAATCTGAATGTTTCCCAAGGGTTTTTAGCCAGATTCCTGATTTTGTTTATTTTACTTATCACAAGTCAGAGATAGCTGAATATTTGCATTTCTGAATAGGATCTTTTTTTACATTTCACTTAGTTTTGAATGGCTTTCAAAGAAACTCAAATTTGGACTGGGTCACCCAGCAACCTCAGGCCAGAGCTTTGAAATGGATCAGTTTCCCCCTGGACTTTTACAGCATCCTAAAATGATGAGAATTAGTACATTTGTAAGGAAAGGTCCTACTGAGCTAAGAAAATTTGGTCTTTCTGGACACGGCCTGATCCTCATATTTGGGTAAAAAGTACTCTCCATAAGAGTTAGACTTCGTGGGGACTGGCTGTAGAGAGTTTGCAGGAGGGTGGCTATGATTTCATTCTATCAAATTCACTTTACAAAATCTTGGGCTCGGTATTGGTTTTAGAGTCCTGGATATCCTATACTTAGAAAGCAAGGCTTTTTCTAAATGAAAGAAAACTTATTAAAAAAATTGATCAGGATCACTGAGACACATTGTTTTGGAACAGAAGAGTGAATCTTCAGTTTTATGCTTTTAGATGTTTCCAGCCAAAAGAAAGAAAATACCTGGCCTGGATAAAACCCATTCTTGAGTATTGCATTTCATTGTATTCTGTTTTTCATATATATATACACACACATACATTTTTGCACCCATCTGACAAAAATGTCACTCTAAGATGACATCTTCAGGGAGAGGAAACAACATTATATGACACGCAGGGTATGTGGTGGGATCAGTGGCTAAGAATGCACTGTCAATGTTTCTTGCATTTACAGGGCAGTGTAGTATTCTGAGTTCCTAGCTTCTGCCTCTTGTCGGCTTCTTTTATATGATATTCTCAGATAATGTTCCCTTTAGATGTCGCCTGTGCATTTAGTTCTGTAGATATGAGTTAAATATTAAACCACAAGAATATGTGGCTAGTTTTGGACTGAATGGATATAAGAGACAGGAGACAGCAATTGTTATTTATTTGGTTCTAACAATAAACTGAGCATTGTGCAGAATGTTTACTTAATCTTTATTCTTGTGAGATAAGTGGTTCTAGGTTCTATTGGATATTATTTATTCACTTGTTTCATGCATTCATTTGGACATTCCATAAATGTTTGAGTGTTTTTTATAAACCAGGTACCATTCTAGGCATTTTGGATATAGGAGTGAAAAAAAACACACAAAAACCTTTGAACTCATTACGCTTACCTTCTAGTGGAGAGTGGAGACAAGCTACGAATCACAAACAAAACAAAAAAGTCAAATATATATTATGAAAGAAGACGGCAGTTGCCATAGATAAAAATAAATTAGGGAAGAAGGATAGGAGATAGCGTAGAAGAGTAGGTGAGAATTAGATTAAATTAAATTAGAGCTTAATTAAATTAATTAAAAGGAGGTTTAGGGAAGTCTCCATTAAGAAAGTGACATTTGAGCAAACATAGGGGAAAATACAAAAGGAAGCCATGTAAGTATCTGGGAGAAGAGTATTACAGGTTAAGGCCTGAAAGCGGGAGTACACCAGGCATCTCTTAGTGATACCAAAGAGACTAATGTGGCTAGAACAGAGGATGTGAATGATAGGATAGGAAATTACAGATGAAACTGAGGGAGACGAACATGGAGGCAGACTGTTGGGCAAGTAGAGGAAGGAGGGTTAGCCTATTGGACGGAGTTTTTGTTTTCACTTTGAGATAGGAAGGGACTGGCAGTGAAAACGTGGGTGGAGGCACTAAGCAGGAACATGAATTTGTTTTTAAAGGTTGACTCTGGCTTCTGGATTTAGCAGAGGGTACAGGAGGAACACACATGGAAGTGGTAAGACCATTGTAGTAACTCAGATGAGAGAAAGCATTGCTCAGATGACAGTGGTCACAAGGGAAGTGGTAAGGAGTGGTAGGATTTGGAAGAATTTTTGAGATAGTGCCAAAGGATTAGCTGAGAGTTGACTATGGGGTGCAAGAGTCAGAAAGGGGTCACAATGACTCCCGTTTTATGGACTGGACAAGTGAAAGGATGGAGTTGCCACCGATTAAAATGGGGAAGCCTACAGGAAGAACAGATTTGTGGAGGAAGAGCAGGACTTCTGTTTTGAACATGTTAAGTTTGAGATGTGTAGGCGTCATCACTTCATATCTCTGTTAAACAGAATTGAATATAGATGTTTGCAGTGGTTAAGCATCCTGCCAAAAATAACAAAGAAAGATATTTCCAGTCAGACCAGGTCTGACTGTCCTAACACCGTATTCATAGCCACTACACCCTTCTGCCTCAATCTTTTGATTTCCATCTGAATACATCTCAGAGTAGTGTAGGAATCATTTGAATTTGCAGAAAACCATCAAATGTAATTTTAGCCTTTTTCAATGCCAAGTCTTCTGTGTTGTGAGCCATTTACATTTTATCTGGTTATTACTGCTCATCCCGTCCTTTCATAGTGGTACTTTTGAGCCTTTTTTTTTTTTTAACCAAAGGAAGGCAGGAAGAGGAGACAAGAAAAGCCACAAAGGACTTGAATAATGCATATTGAGAGTGACTGTGTGCTGTCCAACCTCCCGATAGAGCAATGCTAAATTGGAGGATGAGCATCTAATTTGATAATGGTTAAAATGACCTTTATCCCTGCTGCTGAGATACATTTCTCTGGATACAGGCTCAGACACGTATGCAAATCTTAGTTCTGGAGTTGGCATTAATATCCACCCACAAGTAAATTAATTACATAAGCTGCTTCCCGAAAATGTTATAAAATTTTCAGGATAGTCTACCTGACATGCTGGCCTGTAAAGATGCTCCTTTCACAATGAGCTTACAGAAGAAGGGCCAGACAGGCAGAGAAAGTAAGACTGGAGGAAGCAACTGAATTAACTGTGTCCTGGTGTCTTTTAAATGACTTGTTGACACATAGATAGTTCTTTGGGAAGAGAACAAGATCCAAGGGGCAGATATTGGTTAGGTACATGGATCACTTCTCTACAGAAGCATTTCAGAAGGTGGCTGAAGCTTTCCAGCTCTGTCCCCTGACTGCTTTTGACAGTAGCATAAGTCATGTCAAGTGGGTCTGCCCCAGCACTGTCATCTCCTAGCAGACTGACATCTCCAGGTAGCCTTGAACTCTCCAGTCCAGGCCTTCAATCACAGTCCACCTTGAGAGTACCAAGAAACTTTGGTCACTGTTCCTACCAGTCATAGCTTTCCCACCAATTACTTACTCAGACACAACTTCACTCACCTCTGGAACAAATTTCTCACCCACCGCCCTCCCTGTCTTCCAGACGGCTTTCATAAATAATCCCATGGCAGGCATAGAGTGGGTCCTTGTATTATCTTCGCCTCTTTCTTGAAAAATGTGAACATCATTATTCTGCTGATGTCAGGTTACAAATAATCACCCGGTAAACCTTGAAAGGGAAAAGAAGTCCTACAAAAACAGGCAATGTGTTTGGGAATAAGGAATCAACAGGCTAATAGAGCCCTGTTACCCACATGAGGGGTAACACTGCCTGGTGATTATTGTCATCAGTTCCCCAGGGTACTCCTGGATATAGCCACGATAGAATTCACCAGGTGCTACATTTGCAGATTTCCTTGGTTTTTGTTTCTTTCTTGATGGGAAAGACAACGGTAAAATATTTCCACTCTTGGAGAACAAAAAGAGCCCTAATTTGGGTTTCATAGCTTGCATAACTGATTTCATATACTGCTATATTTAATGTTAAAATTTATTTTCCCCTCTAATATGAAGTTGTTACATTGTGAGATCGAAGGTTGGGGAACTGGAGCGCCCTGTCCCCCATATTCCTGGGGGCGTTGGGGTGGGAGTGGAAGATGTGAGCCCCTCGTTGTCTCCCTTTATTTGCCTGGCCCTGCCATCTCCCTTACTAAGCATATGCAGGGCCACCTACTTGGTTCTCATATTGACAGCAGCCTTCGACTGTGCTCCAAG
Source organism: Homo sapiens (assembly GCF_000001405.40). Lineage (NCBI taxonomy): Eukaryota > Metazoa > Chordata > Mammalia > Primates > Hominidae > Homo > Homo sapiens. The sequence goes on along the minus strand of NC_000003.12, from coordinate 64,576,809 downwards.
AGTTGACATGTGAATCTTGGTTCCTTTTCTTAGACCTTTGTAGCGTTGCAAAGGCTGGAGTGTTGGGGGGCAGTGGGGATGGGAGGATGGCCTAATGCCCCATCCGGCTGGGATGACCGTGACTCCCACATCCGCTTTCTTCCTTGGTGTTCCCTGCCAATCTCAGGCGCTCTCAGCTCCTTTTCATGGTAATAAGTGCCAGGGTGGTCCCAGACATAAACAGCCATCAGGCAGGCCTTGTCAACACTGGCTTTACGCCCTGAAGTCACAGCCCTTGTTTCCTGGTAAAGCTTTCTCTCCATTTTTCCTCAATATTTTGGTTGTCGCTGCCACTGTTCAGAGCCATTCTTGTTTTGTGAGAAGCCTGTAAAACCTCCCCTGAGTGAGTTCATTGCCAATAAGGAGATGTGTTTTTTGACAAAGGACTGTGACAACTCTCACAGCAGAGCAGGGCGTGGCAGGGAAGTGAGTGACTGTGGATTCTGTAATGGTTATCATTGACGCTGCTTCTGTGGCTCAGGACATTTAAAGAAATGGCATAACAAAAGACAAGGGAGAAACGCAGGAGTTCTTGAGAAAACCTAAGTGTAAGCAGGGAATGATGGAGTAGAAAAGGGATGTGGCATTCAGATACAGCATCTTTCCTCTCCTTACTCTGGTGAGAAGAGACAATACTGGTAAGTAATAGTCTCTAAGAGAGAAAAGGGCACTACAGAAGGAATCTTCAACGTATATAACTGCTCTGTGGATTGATTTCTCTGGGAACTTTGGAAAGAAAAGCACTTTGCCCATTCACAGGGATGAGATCTTGCCAAAGTCCCACCTTTACCTATCAATGCCTCTGTTAGAATGTTAGACTCCATTAGTTAACAAAATTTTTTTAAACTCACCTTTTAAACTTCGTGTTAAGAGATATTCTAAAAGGGTCCACTGAATAGAAATAATAGTAGTAATGATGCAAAAAAAATGTACCATTTGTATGCTGTCTGGCTGAAACACAAAGAGCTTTGCATGCATTGTCTCATTTAATTGTAACACAGTGATATTGGGTACAGTTACTACTATTCTCCCATCTTACAGAGAACAAATCTGAGCTGAGAGATGAAGTCACTTGCCCCTAGTGGCACCTTGGTAAAATGACAGGTAGGGTAGGATTCCAGCCCAGGCCTGTCTGACTCTCAAACCTTTGCAACATTTTAAAGCAAAATGAAGACAAGCACCCTCCCCACCACCCCAGCTGCCATTTCCTGTGTTGGCAGCACCCAAGCACCCCTTGGAATTTGCTCTTTGCTGGTGCTTTGGAACAAGAGGTTGTTACACTCTTGCTTAGGGGTGAGAAAGAATCAGAGTGTGTGGTTAGCTGTGGTTTTTGAACAACACCATAACCTAGCCCCAGGCCCCCATTGCGACGGGAGCCAAATAGCATTCTGTGCTAGGGACAGAAGATTCTTCAGCCTGCATTTTCTCCTTCCCTGCTGTGTGACCTTGGGCACAACATCTCTCCTTTTCTCTAGTCTTGAATTTGTAAAATAAATAGATGGACAGAATAATCTTTGAGATGCCCTGCAGATTGAGCATTCAAGAGATTTTTCCTTGGTGAATTGCCAGGGGGCCAAAATTTACAACCTGCAGCCTTCCCTTCTTGACCGTGTAAAGAGCATTCACCCATCAATGGAAATAGTAATCTACTATGTGGCATCTGGCAGGCCTCAACGAGTTAATAAACCCTGAAAAATGTCCAAGAGAAAAGTAGGGTAGCTTCAGTCAAGGGGAAATGTGGCCCTTTATTTATGGGATTGTATGTTTGCTTTTTATAGTGTCTTTCTTCACAGGCACTAAAGGTGTTGTGAGAAAAGGCATTAAAGTCAGAGCTATTAACATTGCGTAGCTACTCTCTTCGTGGGAGACTGAGGAATCAGGCAACTCTAAAAGTCTTAAGAGACATTTCCTGAGGTCCTTGCTTTCTGTTGTTGCCATGGGTAAGTAGAGGTGAGCAACTGGTTGTCTTAACCAGGCCATTTTTCCAGTGTAGCTTAAGGATTAAAGTGGTTGGGGTGTGTGTGTGGGGAGGGGGGCGGTGTGTGTGTGTCTTGCCCTGTCAACCAGGCTGGAGTGCAGTAGCACAGTCATAGCTCACTAACCCCAAACCCCTAGGCTCAATCAATGCTCCTAACTCAGTTGCCCAAGCAGTTGGAACAACAGCTGTGCATCACCATGCCCAGCTAATTTTTCTTTTTTTTTTTTTTTTTTGTAGAGATGGGGTCTTGTCATGTTGCCCAGGCCAGTCTCAAACTCCTGGGTTCAAGTGATCCTCCCACCTCTGCCTCCCAAAATTCTGGCATTAAAGTCATGAGCCAGAGTGACCAGCCATGCTGTATGTAAAGCCTAACTCTCCTGCTTCCTGGTGCTATGACCCTGGGCAAGTGACGTCACCTCTTTGACCCTCAGTCTCCTTATCGATACAAAAAAAATCCTAATAGCTCCTGAGCCACCAGACTGCTGTTGGAATTAAATGAGAGAAACCAGTGTTCTTTATCCCAATATCCTGCTCATAATAAGAACACAATGAAAGGTAGCTAGTATGATTTTCAGGAGTTCTGCTCAAACTGAAAGAGAGTGCTCTTGGGGTGGCCTTTTTGAATCTAAATAACTTGTGCCAAATGAGTTCAGTATTAGCACCATGAGTCGGATTCCAGGTGGTTCTTTCATTCCGGCCTTTACAAAAACATGGCATTGGTTTATAGTACACCTCTGTGATGGCTATAGTTTTCATATGTTCATTCATTTCCATAAATATTTGCTGACTGACTACAGTGTGGAAAGCAGCAAGTAAACATGTATGAGTTGCAGCTACTATCTTTTTTCCATGTGGTAAGCCCCACATGGTTTTCCAGGCCTTCCACTGAGCAATGTTTGAAACTTTGATCACTAAATCTATATCCTTGTGTTTATGGTCTTTCTTCAGTGGAATAGTAGGTACAGGCTGGCATCTCCTTTGCCTCCCCCAACAGTGTGACGCTCATGCAGTATTCACTTCATTTGTCACTGTCATTGGCAAAGGCAGTCCTGAACCTTGGGCATATGCGTTGCATCCTTTCTGATGACATACTTTCCAGATGAGCTGTGATTTTATGTTTTGTTAAAGTTAAAAGGAGAGTGGAATCAAGAAGAGTTTGTTGTTGTATGAAAAGATACAACTGAATATTTTTTAAATGAAGTGATTTAGATGTTATTTTCATAGTCTGTAGACTCACAAGGGAAAGGCCTTGAATAGTAATTCCTTCAGTCTCCTGTCTCAAAACACCTATCTGAGTAATGGTTAGCCATCTGTTGTCAAAAATCCTTAGATCAGAAGAGCCTTGACAACTTGGTAATAGGTTCTCGTATATGACATTTATCTTGGCCTTTCAGTGCTTGTTATTTCTCACCTGCTATCAGCCAGTCCTGTGGTTGGAAATATGGACTAGTTGGTCAGCACCCCCATTTCATATTTCATGTATACAGAATCTCATCAATCCAGACCACTTGGGAATGGGAATCACCTAGATACATAGAACTGTGCCCAGACACTGTGCTAGGGCTGTCCCCCTGGCCCATGCATTAGTCCTTGCATAGCAGGCATCTGCTATAACTCAGGCAGTCCTGGTCCTCATTCAGTCCCCTTCTAGTGCTTTTTCTAAGCCCCTGCCTTTTCTTTTTTTCTTTTTCCATTTTTTTTTTTTTTTTTTTTAAGATGGAGTCTCACTCACTCCGTCGCCAGGCTGGAGTGCAGTGGAGGATCTTGACTCACTGCAACCTCCACCTCCCAGGTTCAAGCGATTCTCCTTCCTCAGCCTCCTGAGTAGCTGGAACTACAGGTGCATGCCACCATGCCCAGCTAATTTTTGTATTTTTAGTAGAGATGGGGTTTCACCATGTTGGCTAGAATGGTCCTGATCTCTTGACCTTGTGATCCGCCTGCCTCGGCCTCCCAAAGTCCTGGGATTACAGGCGTGAGCCACCGCACCCGGCCGCCCCTGCTTTTTCTAAGCCCCTGCATCTTCCAGCCCCACCCAGAAGCCTCTTTCTGGCCAGATCCTGTGTACATCTCTGACCTCTACCTTCCCCTTCTTATTCCTTCTTGGTTCTTTATGGTATCTTTAGCAACTCTGTGTAGAAATCCATCTTGTTTTGGATGTCCAGGTCCTTGGCAGCCTCAGCAACCCCAGGGATCCCATTCTCTTTAGTTCTCCAGCCCTTCTCATTCAGGCAGACACACCAGGGCTGTTTTCTGGCTTCTCAATAACTAAGAAACCACGTTCCTCTGTATAAGTGAAAGGACCAATGTGGGGCATCCCTAAAACCAGAGACAGCACACCAAACCCATATTCGTCTGCACCATATCCAGTGCTACTTCTTGAGAGAGAGCCCTCGATAGAGGTTAAGAACAGACGGCCCATGTCTTGAGTTTCCTTTCCACCAGATGAATTGAAATGCAAGGATTTCAAGCTCTTAGACCTTAATTAGTGAAAAGTGTTAACACAATCTCTGAACAAAACACCACATTTCAACATCCCCTTCAAGCCACCCAACAGAAACAAAAGCCTGAATACCCAGGCACTTGGGATGCTGACCTTGGTGCTGCTAAGTAACAAACAGAGATTACATTGTCTGGGAGTCTTGCTCAAAGTTGGGAGGAAGATCATTCTGTTACACAAAGTTGGGTTGTTTCCCAAGAAAAAAAAGTCAGAGTCCTATTGGCAAAGTAGGAGGCTTTTTGGCTGTGAATTTGAGGAATTAAATATTCCCTAGAGCAAGAACTATCAGATGTGTAACCAATAAATAGCACGTACTAGGTGACACACTAAATTTGACGATTATGTCTCAGTGACACATGGTGATGTAAAAGTCAGTGCCTGAGAAAGGACTGGAAATGATCTGATGGAAATTTCCCTCAGAATGTAAGAGCTGAAACTTGTGTTTATTTGATTATCAAAATGATAGCCCCTCTATCAGGTCATAGTAGGCCCATTAATAAACCTGTTAGATTTGAACATTTCCACGAGCAGCTGCTTTTCTTCATTGGTAAGTTAGAAAGCATTAAAAGAAGAGTATTTGCTATCAGATTAGATACCTTGAGAATTTCCTAATTGCCTTTAGATCTTAACAATATTAGGCAGATAATAAGTATGGCAAGTGCTGCATTGTTTTTTCCAAGTCAATTCCAGTCAAGTCCCCAAATTTAAAAACAAAAACAAAACCCTGGAATGGGTAGGTTACAGCTAGTCCAGATAGTGAAAAGATAAGGCATTGTATTTAGAAGCTACTTCATTCATCTTCATTCCATTAGCAATAGATGTCAGTTATACCTCAGATGAATTTTTATCAGTGAGGTTGGTGATAATTTAACTATTTTTCACTGTGCTGTTATTGTTTCCAACAGAAATGTATTCATTTGTGTTGAAGTCATGTGGGAAGCACTATATAAAGCATTGTGGTTATGCCATTCTGAAAACACCAATTGTCTCCACTAATAGTACCTATCTCTATTACTGAGTTTCACTGGGTTATTGGGATGATTAAATTAGATGATGCATATAAAGTCTTAGGGCAGTGCCTGGCTCATAAATGTGAGAGAGTTGTACCTTTTCCAATTCTTCCTCTACAGGTTGTTGCCAACTTTTAGGCTGTAACTTCTGATGACCACAGTAGATTACTAAATTAATATTTCTAACAACTCTCTTTTCCCTTATATATTAAGAGACAGCTTGTTTGGACTATTTGTATATTGAAGTGACTGTCCCTACATATAGACTTGTGTTAAGGTCACCCATGTTCATTTGATTACTCTGACACAACTATGTTTCTTCACCCTAGTCAAGCAAATTTTACCACCCATGATTCTATATCCTTTAAGTTCAACTCATTTCCTAGAAATAAATATATCTTTGACTCCCAATGCTGTATCTCCCAGTTTTCCCCATCTCTGTAAGTGTTATCACTATCTACCCAATTGCCCAAACCAGAAACCTGAAAGTTATCCCTGATACTGCCCTTTCCTCTCCACCCTAGAGTAGATCCATCATTTCTACTTCAAAAAAATACATCTTTTTTTTTTTTTTTTTTTTTTTTTTTGAGACGGAGTCTTGCTCTTTCGCCCAGGCTGGAGTACAGTGGCGCTGTCTTGGCTCACTGCAAGCTCTGCCTCCCGGGTTCACACCATTCTCCTGCCTCAGCCTCCCAACTTCCCCTACCTAAGCATTCCTGAGTGACTTTCTCATTTCCACTCACACTGTTTTCCCACTTGGGCTCTACTCAGGCAAAGTAAATGTTTTGAAACAAAAATCAGACCATGTCTTACTCTGACTTGAAACTCTTCAGTGATTTTTCATCTTGTGCAGAATAAAATCCAAACTCATAATTGTAGCTCATAGCTTTGCTGCCTGACCCCAGGAAGTACCTCAGTGAGCCCTCTTCCAACCATTCCAGCCTGTTTGTTTCCTAGTACTTACCTCAATGAATAATCATATATTTATTTTTGTCATCACTTAATTAATGTCAGCTTCCCTCACTGGTCTGTAAGCTCCATGAAGACAGAGACTTGTCAATTTTGTTTATCGCTACATTTCTAGTACTTTGCATAATTTCTGGAACATTGTAGGTGCTCTATAAATGTTTGTCGAATAAATAAATGAATTCATTCCAAATCTAATTGAACCCTTATATTATTTTCTTTTCAGAGAAATGTTTTAAAATATTAAAATTGGTCACTATTAATAGGGATTATCTGTGTGCAAGTCATCAGCATACTTCTAGAGATTTGTGGAGATACTTCTAGGAACTTCATTCTAAAAGCCTTCTAGAATTATATCGCAAAGTCTTTATATAGATCAAACACTACAGGTTGAATGATGAATATTTTTGTTTTGGTATAGATATTTCAAGTTGGATGGCTTCCTTCCATCCTGTATACTCCATTAAGATTTTCAGAATGACTACTCCAAATCATAATATTCATAAGATTAGAGCTCAAATGAAAACAGCAATATTTTCACCTCCTAAAGTTAAAAAAATTAAAGCCAAATGTATTAATATACGTACTTCACATTTCTCTATGAGCAACTATTGAACTTTTTATAGTGGTTTGTGTTTACTAGAAAAACATGTCTGGTACATTTATGAATGGATAACTGAGCATGCTTGGTAATAGTGGTTGAGTTAATATGTTTCATGAGTTACATGTTTCACATGGTGCTATTTATTAGGCATAAAAGGGCATGTTGGTAATTTAACAAAATCACAAAGTTAGTGGGGGAAATAAATATTGAATAGAAGGAAATGACACTTGAAATCTGTTTTCATTGCGTTTTCACATTTTGTTCTTCATTCTTAAATTCATTTCCCTCTAAAAAGCAAGACCATTATATTGGGAAATAATGTGTCTTGAAAACCCGAGCCAGCAGCTTATGATCTGAGTGGTAATGACTTCTGTAATCACTAATGAGGCAATGGACATTGCATATCTCAGCACACTCACTGGGGCCAGCCTCTTGCCTGTTTTACAAGAAGCTGTCATATCAAATTTTTGTCCCGACTCCATGGGCACTTTGATTCCTAAACCTTTCTGAGAAACCTAATCTGAAATCAAAGTCAAGTTTCTCAGATGTGGTCAGACAAGGTCACATTTAAAACAGTCCAGTGAATCTGCAGATCAAAGTTGAAAGGTAATGCCTCCCTCCCAAAATTGGCACAGACTTACCTGCTAGCTTACCTTTCAGTTTCTAACGTGCCTTTTTCACCTCTTCCCAGTGGACTGGGAAAACGAGAGCTTATCCTCTGGAAAATGGTTCAAGAGTTTTATTCTTAAATCATTTAATTAAGAAATTGAACATAGTTGTATTTTGGAAATGCACCTTTATCCCAGTCAGTGAATCACAGGCATTTTGTTGAAGAAATATATCACTATTTCATAGTAGGACTTCTTAAAATCAGAATTTCATGGTAATTTCAGGTTCATGAGCTTTATTTTTGGCTCCAATTCTCAGGATTTACCCACACTCTTGAGTGAGCCAAAAATGCCACACAGGATTGCTGCTGTAATGCTGTGGACATTTTTTTTTTCAATGCCACCTTCCTTCCCTATTAAGCCTTGAGATATTATCCAAACTGGCGCTGTAAAAGAGGGGAATGGTAACTCTTGTTAGGCATTGTCTTAACATCTCAAGACGCAGGTTTTTTCTCAAACTCCGTGTAATTAAAAAACAACAACAACCTTGCCATTGCTTTATATTGCAGTGTTCTGTCTCTTGTGGTCGAGGGCATAAACAACGAAATGTTTACTGCATGGCAAAAGATGGAAGCCATTTAGAAAGTGATTACTGTAAGCACCTGGCTAAGCCACATGGGCACAGAAAGTGCCGAGGAGGAAGATGCCCCAAATGGAAAGCTGGCGCTTGGAGTCAGGTGAGCAATGCTTCTCCTCTACTGACTGCTTCCTTACGTTTGGCCACGTGGCTGACCCCAGTGTGTTCACTTGTGTTTCTATGCACGGTTTTGGTTTTACCGAGGGGAGCTCGGGGACTGGGAGGGGAGAATCATTACCTAGATAGTCAGGATACTTACTAGCTGTGTGACATTGGGCTCCAGCCTCTGGAGCTTTGGATAATACCTATAATTAGGGGTGGCTGTGAGGGTGAATTCTAAGTGGAAATAGGGATCAGATGGAGCACAGGTCAGCCCCTCAATACTTCACTGATGGCATTGCATTATCACCACATAGAAAACTACTAACTCAGACTGCACTGAAGCTGACTGTGGTCACCTGGCAGAAATTGAGTCTCAGTTTATCTTGGAGGTTCTTGAAGAAAGGGCTGTTGACGAAAGTTCTAGAAAATACCTCTGCCCATTTGCTTGCTTACAAAAGGTGAAGGACAGAAGAGAGAGTTCTCTGTTATTTTCTAGCTATATGACCTTGGGTAATTTAATTTTCCTGAGCCTACTACACATGGCTCTTATGACGATTTAATGCAATCATGAATGCCCAGCGCTTTGCAGGGGTCTTCAATCTAGTAGGCTCTCAAGAGTTATATTTTGTTTGGACAAGTGTGATGTGTGTATGGGATGGAGAAGGGTGTGAGTACCCAAGACACTGATTACAGTTAGACTCCACTAATTCTAAACATTTCATAAGCTAGTCAGGAACTGGGTGTGAGTTTCCCTATTGAACTTGAAACAGGAACCTTAGAAGCTTCTGTTTAATCTCTAAACACTGGATATGTGAACTAAAGCCGTTCATATCAAATCCTTAGAGTAGATCTGGTAACTCCACACTTGCACATTTTCTTAGTTTGGTTGAAGGTGCTAACTTAAAAGTAATAAGGCTCAATTTCTTTTAAAACATTCTGTATTTAATGCTGCTCCTTCTCTCCACTGATCTGAATCAATGAAGTTTTACTGTATTTCCGGTGCTTCCATGCAGTGGAGAATCATTCAGATGACTCCAGATAATCGATGGGAATCTAGGTTCAAGGTTGGCGGGCTCTAGCATGGATTCTTCCAGAGCCTAGAATCTTGATTCTTAAGGCCCCAAAGCAGCTTTGGTCATAGCGTACATTAATGTGGGGAGGATTCGAGAATCCTCCATTTCAATATGACTAATGGAAAATTCCTTCAGAAACCTGAATGTATTTTCAATGCCCTGATCTGGCATCACTGCCCTCCATATCCTCCAGTCATCATTCCTCAGGGCAGTGGCCTCATGCCTCTCAAGGCCTTTATCATAATGAAACATGGGGGTTTTGTTTGTTTTAATTTAACAATAAAAAAAAAATCTATACCCAGCCAGAGCTGGTTCCTCCTTTGCCTTCCTTCGGGGAGCATATTCAAGGCAATATTTCATACCAGTCATCCTTCTTAATGTTTTTCTAAGTGATCCTTGTCATCTGTTAACTTCCATCCCTTTTTTTTTTTGGAGCTATTCGATTCATGTAAAAGCTTGCAGCTAGCATTATTTAAGATACCACGCTAATTAGCTTGTCTCTTGTGGACTTTCATGATCTGTTACTTTTTTTTTTAATGTTCCTTGGCCTCTACTTATCTGTTTTATTTACCTCTGAATATTAATTAAGTTCAGAGCATATAAATGATGCTCATGTTAAAAGCCAATATTCACAAAGGATAATTAAAAGAATCTTTTGCTCTTTATTGGTAAACACAGAGTGAGTTTTAATCCAGCATCATGTGATCTTGATGGGAAGCCTAAAATTGCTTACAAAGCTGAAATGATTAGGTTTAAACCCTGGGGGTTTTTGCCAACATAAGGTAATAGGATTATCAGAATGCCTCCCCAGAATAAACTGCACCTGTTCAAAATGATTGCTCGGAAAAGTCAAGTCACCTTTGTAGAAAATGCAAGTAAACACAGTTATATAATGGTCTGTGGCCAGCCTTATAATGTCCTGATTTGATTTGTAGAAATAAATAAGAAAAGCAGGCAAGACAAAGTACTGCATGGGTAAAATTCAATTTGGGCAATTTAGAAGTGTACCTGAAAATAATCAGACCCAGTGGTTAATGGAGAAAGACGGTCTGCATGATTAAAGATTATTGGCTTCCTAATGATCCAGTGGTAAACAAGAATATCCCTAAGACTGTGATAGTAAGCAAGAGTAATGATTGTCCACTTGCAGCAATATTTAGAAGATTTTATATCTGGTCTTTCTGTTTTCTGCTGGTAGTTACAGCCTAGTCATCCTGTCTTCAAGGTAGGAAAAATAATTGGTTTAATTTCTCATCACATCGAAAGGTCTGATGATAATATGATATATAGGATATTCGGATAGAAACTACAATAGCCATGCTAATCTTTACAGTTTCTCTGCTAGTATTGATGTTTTGAGATTTAAAGTGGAATATTTCACTTCTGTGTCTTCTGAAATCTTGAATTTGTAAAGAAAATCAGCTTTTCTTGAAGGAGGGGTGGAATTATTCTTACTGAAGCCTTAAAGGGTTTTTCTCTCTCCAAAAAGATTACATTTCATTTGTTTAGATATTTTTAATCAAGAGCTAAGGAATGCCTATGAACTTTTACGACAAAAATTAGCATCAAGTTCTTGATTCAGACTGACAAATGTGAAGACTCAATATTCCCATGATACAAAAAGCGTTTCACAGTAAAACTTTTTTAACTTATCCTATCGCTATAGAGTTTTTAAAATAAAGATCAAAAATAAAAAGAATAAATTATCAGATTAGAATGAAGGTAACACACCAATGCATTAATCAATCATGAATTCATGCAATCAAGTCATTCATCAGTTCTGAGATGCAGATCTTCTTCACAGTTCAACACCTTTGTGGTCAGGATGGGCTTCACAAACTATGCAATGTCATGATTTCCTTAACAGCCCTTGTTGTCTTTCTTAGTGCTACAAAATATAATGGTGTGTTTTGCAATCAGTGTTGTCTTACATTCAATGAAATAAGCATCAATTTTTAAAAGATCTCCAGTGCTAATGCTGAAATGGAATCTACCATCCATTCTTGATTAAGACTTTTCTTATAATTATAATTAGAGCAGCTGTATTGTGATGTCATTCTGAAGTGTCCTTCAAGTGTTTAATGGAGAAATGTGGCAAATGTGTGGCTTGTGTTCTTTGAGAAATTAAGGAAGCCATATGCACATGGTCAGTGAGGAGAACTAGAGTTGCTTTAGTATTTTGTGCTTTCCATTTATTTTGTTTGTATTTGAAGCATGAGCATTGGTATTGAATTGTTTGAAGACAGGCCTCTCACCCACACCCTCACTGACCTGCTACAAAAGACTGCATCATATTAGCACCAATTTAAAAACTGGGATCGCAAACGCACATTCGCAGTAGCTATGCTACCTTGTCTAAGACAAATTTTACTTTGTGTTTTTGGTTTTGTTTTTGCTTGAGTTCGGGTGATTATCTCTGTTTTTTTGTTTTATTTATTTATGAAGTATCTGCCTAAAAGGTTTATTGGGAAGTATCAGAGGTATTTTATGTAAAATGCTTAGCCTAGAGCTAAGCTTTCAAATGGGGGTGATTTTGTACCCCATGGGACATTTGGGAATGTCTAGAGACAGTTTTGTCACAAGTTGGGGGGGAATAAGGGGGAACTAGCATCTGGTAGTTACAAACCAGGTATGCTGCTAAACTTTCTACAATGCACACGACAACGCCCCCCCCACACACAAAAAAGAATTATTTAATTGAGAAACCTCAGTATACTAGCATATACTGTATGCTAGTATAGAAACCCTAGCATATAGTAAGTGTTTAGTAAAAGTTTGTGTTATTATTGCTATTATTGTTACTTATAAAAGTTGGTTTATATAGTTGTTTTTCAAACTAATCGCTGCTTTAATGTCATCACCATAATTTCAGCAGTAATCCTGGAAGAAAGTATATAAAACTATTTCTAGGTTTTCAAGTATATATTATGATTCCCTAAACATCAAAAGTTCAATGGAGATTCTTTCTCTCTATGGAAATAAGCATCAAGTTCCCCTTTTAAGTTGGTGAGTTCTGCATACTAGCATTGCACAGTGGGGAGTAGAGAGAGATGAAACATAGCTCCCAGCTCAGGAGTTCAGAGTGAAAAACGTCTACTTTGAAACCTGCACGAATAGACTGTGGTGGTGGGATGATGGCTGTGGGGGGAGCACATTAATAGAGGCCATTCAGATGTTTTCATCTGCAAACGAACTAAAAGGTGTACTGAACAGAACAAGAAAACTTGGATTTACACACACATACACATACCACCACCATCACTGCCTCCGGGGTCACACAGAGGTCTTTCTGCTGCTGTTTTATTCATGGGGTGCCTGCACAAATCTCTCAGAATTCCAAGCAAGCCTGGCTGGCTCTCTATGCAAACTGTTGCCTCCCTTGAGATAGCACAGGAAGAAAAGTTGAACACAGAAAACTAACTCCGATGGAGTGGACCTCATTTTGAGCAAAGATTACTGTGAATGCATTATTCAGAAAGGCAGGCTTGTACCTTGCTGTGAGCACTTAAGTCATGTAGAAACTTTTGAATGTGGTATTTCAAAGCTGGCTTTGCATCATGAAAATCAGAAGCCAGAATGACATATCGTATAATTGAACTTTCCTGTGTCTTAATTTGTCTTTTGAAAAATTATCAAACATTGTAGGAAGTGATTTTTTAAATGTTGGATACTTATGGCTCTTAGTACCGTGCCTTCGTTGAACCATAAGTAATTTTTTCAATTACAATAGCTTCAAAAAGAGGTTTCATTTATTTAGTAGCCTGAATAGTCTTATACATTCTAAAAGTCTTTAAATATGTTTTCATTTTTCTTTAGGTTATTAAAACATTATGAGATTCTGCATATAGTTGAGTCCTATACCAAACTCAAATTTGTTTACAATATTCTTTCTGTATTTGTATTTGGATATATTGTTCCAGAAACGTGCTCTTTTATATTTAAGACCCCAAATTGAAATAGTCAAAAGACTTTTTGGTTGTTGTTTATTGATGATGATAATATTTGAACATGTCCATCATTTATGGGGTAACTCTATCATGTTACAGTACATTCTTTTCCAGTGTAATCAATGGGAAATATTATTCATGTAGCTCTAATGAGCATTAAATGGCCATTCTCTATAGATAGGGTCATCACTTGTGTTCAGGAATCCTCCCATTACACCCAGGACATAATGACTTTAAAAGTCTGGTTTCTTGTGGGTCACAAACTCATTCAATCCAATTAATACAATTGAGCCCAAACAATAGTAGCTATGTTGATCCAAAATATTTTCTTCTGTTCAGCTAGCTTTGATGTGAACATATGGTTCTCCTCTCTGGCATAGATTTATCTGAAACAGTATGATTTCTCAAGTTACCTTCTAAATATCGTTACCTGTTTTCTTAAAATCTGAAATGGAGAGAAAATTACCATTCAGCAGAATACATTTGGGTGTGATTCTTGATAGTAAATTTCCATTAATAGTCTCAAAGAAAGTTGAATGTTGCTACAGGTTAATTGGAAAATAATTTTTTCAAGTTTGAAAGGTCATGATTCTATTATTTAAGAAGACTTCCTCTTAGGAATATGGCTTTAATGTATGTTAAGCTTATTTTCTCAACACCAGACCAAAAAATGGAGGCTGAGCTATCACAAAAATTTGGAAATAATTTTTAATAGCTAAGTGTAATAATATACCATTCTTTCCAAATGTTGCCTTTAGTTTCTGGCTGTCAAAACCTTAATCAAGACAATAATTCTTGGCCTGGCCATAAGTGAGATTATGAAACCCAGCAATGAGGAAACCATTAAAAAATTAATTTAGAGGAAAGTTAATTGCAGATTTAATATGGTGTTTTGCAAGTTGGTCAGCAAAATGTTTCAACATGATTAACAATATTTTTCAAGGGCTGAAAACATTAAGCCCGAGGAAATGGTTTTTCCTGTCAGCTTTTATTCTTCATATATTCATCTGAGGTTGTAAATAGACACAAATTCTTTAGTGAATTCTGTGGTTAAAAAAATATCGCCTTATCTCCATGAATAGGAGCAAGAAAAGGAAGAGACTGGAGAAAATAATTCTACTTATAAAGTCCTAAAATCTTCAGTGGTTTACTTCTCCTTGGGTTATATTTTTAATCTGCCAAGAAATTCTTCTTGTACAACACTGTCTCTCCAGTTTTCATGAGTCTCAAATCCTCCAGGATAGAAATCATTTCAAGTTTTCATTTCTCATGGCAGCACTATTTCCAGGTTGTGCTAAATGATTCATAATGATTTTTATTAACCTCTTCAATCCTCTAAGAATTACATTAACTTGAGGGATTCCTCCAAACTTGAGCACCTTCCTCACTCTCCAGCGTGGATAAGATAAGCAGTGAGTTTCCAGGTTTAAGACATGATCTAGGATCCCTTTCATTGCAAATTAGAAAGCGATGTGATAGCTATGAAAGTCATTGGATTAGGAGTGCATTCCCCTCCTCTGTGACCCTCGACACCCCCCGCCCCCCCAAAAAATAAATGAGCCGAAGCTCCCACTTACGTTCTCTGTCTTCTTAGTGCTCTGTGTCCTGTGGCCGAGGCGTACAGCAGAGGCATGTGGGCTGTCAGATCGGAACACACAAAATAGCCAGAGAGACCGAGTGCAACCCATACACCAGACCGGAGTCGGAACGCGACTGCCAAGGCCCACGGTGTCCCCTCTACACTTGGAGGGCAGAGGAATGGCAAGAAGTAAGTAGAGCCACAAAGGGGTACCTGCCAGGCATTTCACGTGTGCGCCCCTTGCTATCCTCACATCTGTTCCCTATAAAGCCAGAGAAGTCACCGAGCACGGTTACAATGCTGGCTCTTTCCCAAAAGGTTCACTGTCAGACTCGCGCATTCGCTCCAACAAGGGTGGGAGAACTTCTTGTTTTTAAGCAATTCCTACGTCTGTCTGTATTCCTGAGTGTTCCAAGTCTGGCCGCCTCAAAAAAAAAAAAAAAAACTTTAACAGGCTGTGGGCCGAATGCATTCAGATATCTTTCACAGAAGGAGGGGGAGATAGAAGGAATATTTTAAATACGTGTCTCCAGATTTGGTCATTCTGTATCTGTTTAAATAGCCGCAGGGCAGACTTTAGGTAGAACCTACTCTGTATTTTTCCTCTTTCTATGACTTTGGCTGTCAGGTAGAAGATAGGCATTCATGTGAAACCTTGATTAATTAGTGAAAGATTTCTAACATTTAAAAAAAAAAAAAAAGGATGGTATCTGAAGAAACTGCTCCGTTGATGGTCCGTGCAGAAGTGGACAGGCCTTGCTTTTTCCCTGGCTTCAAGTTAATGTTTGGTTAAGGAAAACATTGTGTCCATGGGGAAAAGTTTGGCCAGGGAGGTTTTATAGGAGGTAACCTCTGTTTCCAGAACAGAAGATTAAACTGTAGAAAAGGGGGGGAAAGAATTAGAAAGCAAAACAATATCCACTGATGTTGGCATAAAAAACAAAATGCATGCTGCTTGAGGTGCAGAGATAATGAAAAATAAGGCAGGAAATTCCCCACCATGAAGAGTTTTTCAGAACATAAAGAAAGGGTATGGTTTGGAGAACAGTTAGACTGTACCCCTGGCACTGTGCTGGGTACTTTTTGTTCATTGCTTCCCTTAATCTTTTTAACCACCAGACAAGGTGAGCATTATTATTATTATCATCATCCCATTTTGCAGGTGAAAAAACTGAGGTTCACAGAATCTGTGTCATTTGTCCAAGTGTCACATACCTAGCACCTAGCAAGTGGAAGAAGCAAGACTTCATGCTAAGCTTGTTCTCTTAAACCATTAAGAAATACTAGAACTGCATTCTTTACCCCATTGGGATTCAGCCGCCCAGCCCTGTCTTCCTCTTCCCTCGCCTCCTCATGGATTACTTCCATTGGTTGCAGTAATTTCTTTTCTTTAGGAAACTCACCCTCTCCATCTACTCAGTCTTTTTCCTGTTTTCCTTCTTTACTTTTTTATTCCCACCAGACAGTGGCAGGGAGGAATGCCTAAAGCAGTTACATTTCAGATTAACAGCTCTTGAGCCACACCAGTTATTTGGAACCCTAGAGACTATAAAATTCTACAGACTTGGTTCATATCCTAGCACTGCCACACATTAGCCAAGGGAATTAGAACAAGGATTCTTGATTTCTCTGAGCCTTGGATTATCCATTTGTAGAATGGGGATAAAATAACTTTTCAGAGTTGTTCTGAGAAAACTGGAGGTAATAGTGTTATCTATTATGGTTTGGGGATTGGCAACGTCAGATATAGAAGGAAGAGGAGACTCCCTCATCTCTCTCGCTCTCCCCCTCAGTGTGACCTCTTGATTCTCTTTTTTTCAGACCTACCATGGCCTGCTCTCTCCATCTCCCTC
Organism: Homo sapiens; assembly: GCF_000001405.40. Taxonomy (NCBI): domain Eukaryota; kingdom Metazoa; phylum Chordata; class Mammalia; order Primates; family Hominidae; genus Homo; species Homo sapiens. Next base: position 64,559,913 of record NC_000003.12, on the reverse strand, counting down.
TTTGTGTCACGCTAAACTCAACCCTGCTCCGAGGAGCGGAAAGTAAGAGAGTGTTCAGAAATGAATCTAAGCTGACTGCTTGTGCTTTAGCCAGCTTTTGAAAATGCTAGAGCCAATCACGAAAATGCACACTCTGTTTACAATTCCTTTTGCATCCCGAAGAATGGAAAAACCTTGCCACATATGCACTGAGGAAATTCCTCTTCTCTGATCATGCACAATATGCCTAAAATTTACTTCTTTGCATGTGTCGTGCAGATGGATCTTTTTTAAACCTTACTCAAATATTCCTGTTAAACTCTGTGGAAGAATAGACGGCTTCAGGAGATAACCTGGCCTGGGCCTCTATTTAAGAAGCTTACTAGAGGGTTGCCATTCTCACAAAGAGAAAAGACTCTGTGAGTAACAGGAAAAGCAGAGTCTAATAGTCACCCTCCTGGGAACACGCTTTCTCATCTGCCTTCACCCAAAGTGGAGGGTCTAAGGAAGGAATACTGGGGTGGTGAAAGTGGACGGAATATCATAGGAGTATCTCCTATGATATTCCTATGGTATTCTACAGGAGGCCTCTCATTGGCAGAGTGAGGCCCAGGGCAGCTGGAGGTGGGGAGAAGCCCCACCAAAAGTCTTCATGTTTCCCATACATGCAAGGCCTGCTGACAGCCTGCTCAGAATGTCCCCAAAGCAGCAAGACTGAGCGTGAAGGACGACAGTAACTGGGCAATTACCTTAATTGATCAAATCAGGAAAAGGGTGGCCACGCCTCCTGTTTGCCTGGGGTAGTCCTCATGTAATTATTAATTCTTCCTACTTTTATGATCAAAAGCGCCCTTGTTCAACAGTAAACTGGGTGGTCACTTGATAAGACAGAACCCTTCAGGCTCCCCTAAATCACAGCCCTCACCTCCGATCTTGCTGCCACCGCCTCTCACATCCATTCTTTCAGCCACCGTTTTACCTGATATCCACTGATGCAGGCACACGTTTCCACTTTTCTCCCACACCTAGTGACGTCTTGACCTGAGGTCAGAGAGTGTGCCACAGGGCAGCCTCTCAGCCCACTGAATGGGATGTGCAGGAGCCCCCCATTATAGGATACCCCTTCTTTCTTAGCGGTCCCTGGCCACCACCTCAGAACTCTTGTTTGCTTGAGTATGCACTTTGCCTTTTGCTTCCCCTTTTAATAGTCCCCTATGTGGACTATTAAAACCCACCAGTTTGTTGGCAAGGTGTATTGCATGCTTGGTCCGTAGGATATGGCACCATCCTCTTTTTGAGAAATAATCCAAGCATCTGCCTAGAGAAGCACAGTTTCTGCACCCTCACCATGGCCATGGTCATCAGGGATGTTCTGTACAGCCACACAGGTTGTATACTGCACAACTTTGAGGGATGCCATTTTTATACAATGTGAGGAGCGTCCCCTAGAGTTGTATAGTACAATGGCCCTAATACTGAAGATAATAAAAATAATAAAGCTTATTGTTTACTAAGCTACAAACTAGGCACTATGTTGAGTATTTTCACATGAAGTGCTTCATTTAGCCCTTTCCATAACTCTCTGATGTAGTATTTATATTTTTATCCTCATTTAATAGGGGCAACTTGCGGCTTAGGTAGGTTAATTTATCAATGATCATGCATTTAGTAAATAATATGGCTGGAATTTGAAGCCCGGAAGCTTGCACGCTGGCACCTACACTCTGAATCATTATCTTCACTAATCCGATGCCAAATACACCTAAAGTGAATTATTTTATTTTCCTCTCAATGATTTGCCAAGCCTCTTACTGGAGAGTTGCTATCAAAGTGTATTCCCTTTACTGGGTTGTAACACCTACCCCTTCTAAAAAGGAGATTCTTGATCTAGTTAGCTATCAGACTTTAAGCCATGTCACCAGGCGAGTCTTGATGATGTTGGAGCCCCTCAGTGGACTTCCTGTTCATTGTGAAGCCCATTGGTTGTTCAGGGGAAAGGGGCCTTCTTGATACCATGAGAGTAGAGCCCAGACTTTCAGATATAGGGTAGAATAATTGGACAAGAGAAAAGTGCTCTATCCACACATCCACATCTCATTTTGTTTACATCCTAGAAACAACATGTTGTAGGCAAAATTCTGTTCAGTGTGTGGCTCTGAAAAGTTGACTCTGAATTTCTAGACTTCACTTAGCTCATCTGCCAAATGGGAATTCTATGGCAGACTTTGCTCAAGGGTCACAGTGAGGATTTGGTGAGATGACATGATTCGACATGGTGACTAGCACATTTTAGGCCATCCCAAAGTAGACTTCTTTTTAGTACGGTGGCCTTCCGATGGAGGCTTCTGGTGATGACAGCAGTTTGACTCAGCCTGCACCTTATAATGTTGGGCTTCTAATATCACCCGCCAGCTTCAGGTGAGTAATTTGTCCTCGCAGTGGTCAGTTTTACCCACTTTAGAATTATAATGCTCATGAGGCTGTTTGGAAGAAAAAAGTTAAAAAAGACTTTTTAATTCTTTTGAGAATTATTATCACAAAGGATTTACTTGTTAATAGTATCACAATCTGACATATAAATTCACTTAGAGCAGCAGAGGTCCTTCTGGTCAAATTTGAATTGTGATCGTATGGGGCCATGCATCTGCAGCATTGAGGAATAGATCTCACAGGTCCTGCATGTGTTCTTTTCCCCCTTTACCTGGAATACACTCTTCTCTTGTAGTACCTCTTCATCATAAGACCACCTTCCTCTGACCTTCACCTCAGTCACCCTTTCTTATCCTTCAGGCCTCAACCTAGATGTCACTTCCTCTCAGAAGCCTTTGCCAATCACACCACCCCACTAAATCTGAGTCAGATGCTCCTCCACTCAGCTCTCACAACACACGCAGATTACTGTACTCTGGCAGTTAACACCTGGAATTCTCATTGCCTGTTTTTCTCATCTATGTTATCAGTTATTTAAGGTCAGGAAGCTTGTTCACCAGAATCTTCTCTATCATTTAACATGGTACCTACAACATCAAAGATACCTGTTAAATGAATGAATCTGTGAATGAATGAAGGAAACAAAATAATGGATGGGTGGAAGGAAAGAAGAAAGGAAAGGAGGGAGAAAGGAAGGAGGGAAAGATGGAAGCAAAAAAGGAAGGAAGGAGGAAGGAAGAAAGGGAGGGAGGAAGGAAGGAAGGAAGGAAGGAAGGAAGGAAGGAAGGAAAAAAACATAGAACAGTGCCTGCTAATTGATGGACTTTCATCTTTCACTCTATAGAATAAAGGCATTCTAAAATGACTTTTAGAACAGTCAAGCAGGCTGGACACAGTGGCTCACGCCTATAATCCCAGCACTTTGGGAGGCCAAGGAGGGAGGATCATTGAGCCCCAGAGTTTGAGACCAGCCTAGGCAACATAGTGAGACTCCATCTCTACAAAAGATAGAAAAAATTAGCCGAGTATGGTGGCATGGACCTGTAGTTCCAGCTACCTGGGAGGCTGAAGTGAGAGGATTGCTTAAGCTCAGGAGGTCAATGCTGCAGTGAGCTATCATCAGGCCACTGCACTACGGCCTGGGCAACAGAGCAAGACCCTGTCTCAAAAACATTAAAAATAAAAAAATAAAAGCACAGTCAAACTCTGTTTTTCCTGTAAGAACAGCTGTTTTATTTTCTTCTCACAATGCCATGGACAAGCTGTGCTCAGATATGTCTGACTGTTGCAGAACTGCTCACCTCGCTGCTGTTTGGTGCGGTATGGGGACTTGGGCCACTCTGATACATACTTGGAGTCTGAGGGCTTTTATTAAGATCAGCTGTAGAATGATTTCCAAGTGCATCTCCTTAACACAGAAAAGTTAGAAATGAGCAGCAGGTCCTTGGTCAGTTGATTTAAAAGATTTTCCTGAAGTTAACAGTAGGGAATGACCAGGTTTTGATGTGCGCACAGAGCCAGATACGAACTCTTTATTGCTCATTTTATTAATTTATTCAACCAGCGTTTATCAATCCCTTGTGAAGTTCCAGGCATTAGGCATTAGGGATGCTCTAAAAATCCCAAACCACAAATAATCTGCTCTGAAAACCCCAAAATGCTGTGGTCATTCTGCTCCCCCGCTTCTCCACCCATGCCATTTCTCACCTCCAGCCACCGTGCATGCTGAGCCCCTCCTAAGAATGTCCTCTTCCCCTCCTTGCCTGGTGAACTGATGTCCTCCATCATTCTCCTGCTCATCTGCTGCTACCTGGGCCCACCTTTGCAGCATCATGGGAATTGCCCCGTTGTGTTTCCTCTTCTCTCCCTGGTGGCTTCTTACTCAATTACATGCTCTGTTACAAACACAACTGCTTACACAACTGCACAGGTAGCCCTAGGTGTTAAACCCCAGGGGTCACCAGTCAGCCAGCTGAGCTAACACATGGGAACCCAAGTTGGGAATAGCTGCCACCCTGGGTGTCCTAACAGGGAGAGAGACAGGGTACGA